>NC_000012.12:131016867-131318490 GCF_000001405.40 Homo sapiens | reverse complement strand
CTCTTTCATTCACTAATCTACTTATTCTCTCACTCACTCCCTCCTTCACTCACTCTCTCACTCACTTAATCACTCATTTATTCCATCATTAATTCACTCCCTCACTCACTCCCTCACTTTCTCATTCACTCACTCATTCATTCACTCACTCATTCTCTCATCCACTCATTCACTCCCTCACTTATTCACTCCTTCACTCTTTCACTATTCATTCCTTCATTCACACACTCCCTCACTTACCCATTCACTCACTCATTCACTCCTCATTACTCATTCACTTGCTCACTCACTCACTTTCTCATTCATTCACTCACTCATTCTCTCACTCATTCACTCCCTCACTTATTCACTCCTTCATCCACACACTTTCTCACTTACTCATTCACTCCTCATTACTCATTCACTCACTCCCTCACTCACTCATTCACTTACTCATTCATTCACTCATTCACTCATTCATTTACCCATTTATTCACTCACTCATTCACTCCTCATTACTCATTCACTTATTCACTCACTCATTCAATCAATCACTTAACTCATTCATATGGGAGGAGACATTTGGGGAGGGGGCCGGAGAACCCCAAGTGCAGAAGAGGACCCGGGGGTTTGAGCCCAGGCTGGGGAGGGGCCTCTCAGTGGCAGAGCATAGTGTGAACACACTTGCACATCATTATTGAATTGGAAAATGAGATTTCCAGAACCAGGTAGCCTTCTCTCTCTGGGTGCCAACAGCTAGAACATCTGTTCCTGAAACAGTGATATGGCCGTCAGCACAGTCAAGAATTGCACCATTTGGGAGGCAGGAAATCGTTTCCAGGAGAAAGTGCTCCATACAGATGGCTAAGCATCTGGTCCTGGAGAATCTGCAAATGCAGAAAACTTCAGGATTTAAAAGAAACTCAGATTTGTTCCCTTTACCTAATTGTTCCCAACCCTTCCCTGAGCCTTTTCTCTTTTAGAGACAATGGAATGGGCTAGAATGTGCTGAAGGGTGCGGAATGCTGGGCAGGAATCTCACCTCTGGGGATAAACCACAGACAGGTGATGTGGTGGGGAGAATTTCCCCGCTCTTTCCAAACCAGTGGGAAGTTCCAGTTGGGAACATATTCCCCAGGGCACTGAAATATTAAAATAGAGCATGGACTTATCAGAATGGTGCATGGACCAATCCGAATTGACCACAGACCACACAGACTGGAGCATGGGCCAATCAAGATGAAGCATTTTCCAATAAGGATGGAGCATAGATCAATGAGAATGGATTATGAGATGATGAGCCAATTAGGATGGAGCATGAACCAATCACAATGAAGCACAGGCCAGTCAGGCTGGAGCATTTTCCAGTCGGAATGGAGCATGAGCCAATCGCAACGGAGCACCAGCCAATCAGGCTGGAGCATTTTCCCATTGGAATGGAACATGGGCAAATCACAATGGACACCCGTCCAAAACCCAGCACAGAGGGAGCACTGTGTCCAATTGAGTGTCTGTCATGGCTGCACTCACCAGGTCCCCTTCTTATCCTGCCACCCTAGGCCGTGGGTCAGGAGACAGAGGTGCCTGGAGGAGCCAAGACCAAGCCCCACTTCTGCCTGTGCAATGGAACACCCAAGCCGAGAGAGGACTGTGAGTGACAGAGGGACAGGAGCCCAGGGATGCACTGTGTCTGTCTGTCTGTGCAGGAGCCCAGAGACCTCAGGCAGCCCCAGGCTTCCAAGCTAGCATTTGTGCTCATCACATCTGGGGTCGACTCCAGGACAAGCTGATACTTACAGACACAGAAGGCGATTTAAACGTGTCCCCAGGAGATGACAATGTAGTCTGGGGTGAATTCATTTGTAAGAGTCTGTTGACATTCATTGTAAAAGATGAGTACTTCTCACTGGTCCTCACATGTCTCATCCCTGAGACGGAGGGGGAGAACATCATTTTAATTGCCATACGGTATGTGTTTCCTGAAGACTTTATGGCTGCTTTGCAGTTTATCATTGAGGGGTAGATTTATAGCACTGTCTGTGGGCCCTTGCCTGCACTGGGCTTGTCAGGCTCTAGGTAAAATGGAGAGGGTCTATGGGGTGTGCCCTTTCCACGCAGGTGTCTCCAGAGCTGACTTGTGGCTCAGGGCCAGAGGCAGGTCTGGGACAGTCCAGCCAGAGATCAGAGCCCAGGCCTGCTGTGCAGGTCCAACTCCCAGTGCTGACCCTGACAGCTGTGCTGTGTGATCCCAGAGCCATCCTCACCACTGAGCATGGTTCCCTTCTCTGTAAAGCAGGGAAACTGATGCTCTCCCAGGGACACCACTCAGCAGCTATTCCCCCAGTGCCTGGAACAGCCCCTTAAGGATCACCCTTCACCCAGCCTCAGTCCACGTGGTTTGGGGACATCCCCAGTCCAGGGGCAGATTCCATAACCAAGTCACAGTCAATCAGCACAACGCCCTCCAATGGGAGGTGACTGGCTCAGGCATAGGGGTGTGAAGCCATCAGGGCCAATCAGGTGCAAGGAGATTTGGGCTGAAAGGGTCTGGTCTTTCTCACTGGCTGTGACCTGAGGTGGGCGTGGCACAGATTGCCCTGCTGGAATCAGTGGGCAGAGCCTGCTTGAGACTGGAATCCACATGGAGGAAGCAGAGCCAGGGGTGGACCAGGCCTTGGTGATAGTGACCTGAGCTCTGGACACACCCAGATCTGAAAACAGGCCACTCTCGCCCTCTCCTAGAAGCACCCATTAATCCCCTTTGGGGCTTAGGCCCTGCGAGTGGGGTTTGTGTCACTAACATCAATGAGGACAAGATGGTCTTATTTCAGAGAATAATCAGGGAACTGTGAGACAATCCACTGAAACAGGAGGTGATGCTTGTGCCTGGCCACAAGAACCCTAAACAGAGGTTGCTGTTAGTATACGGAGCTCTCCTGCTGCTGGGGTGCCCCTCATTTAACCGAGATGGATCAGGTAGAATGAACCATTTCAGCACGACAAAGTCCAGATGGAAGTGTGAGTCTCAAATGTGGGCATCATTCTCATCAGTGCTGGTGTTTCTGCATTGCCCCCGACCCCAGCCTGGCCCGTGAGACACCTGCCCCTGGGTGTCCTTGGTGGGTGCTCCTCTCCCTCCCCCGAGCAGTGGACCAGGCTCATCCCGGACCTCCTCCTTTCCACCTGCTCCCCATCCCCAGGGTCAGCCCCTGTGACTCAAACACCTTCTACTGCTACTGACCACACACCAGAGGGAGACCCACCCACACCTCTGCCATGTCACACTGACCTTCACCTATTTCAATTTTCTTCCCTTATCACCACCTGAGGTTTTAATGTAGGTTATTTTGGTTACTCTTTGTTTGCAATGCAAACAAGCCCAGTAAGGGACAGGACTTGGTCTTGGTCTCGGCCTCAGCTGTCCCCCATTTGTTGAATGGACAAATGGATTGATGAATGGATTAATGGATTGCTGGATGGATGGATGAGGGGAAGAATGAATTAATGGGTGAATGGATAGGTAAATGGATGAAAGAATGGATGGATGGATGAGTGGGTGCATGGATGAATGGATAGATGAATGAATGGATGGATGGATGGATGAGTGGGTGCATGGATGAATGGATAGATGAATGAATGGATGGATGGATAGGTGGATGAGTGGGTGAATGAAAGGATAATGGAAAAATGAATGAATGGATGAATGGTGAATGAATGGATGGATGGGTAGATGGATGAGTGGGTGAATGAATAAATAATGGAAGCATGAGTGGATGAATAGGTGAATGAATGGGTGGATGGATGAATGGATGGATGGAAGGATGGATGAATGAATAGATGGATGGATGAATGGATAGGTGAAAGAGTGGATGGATGGATGAATGAATAGATGGATGGATGAATGGATAGGTGAAAGAGTGGATGGATGGATGGATGGATGGATGGATGGATAGATGGCTGATGGATGGATGAGTGGGTGAATAAATGAATGGATGAGTGGAGGGACAGATGGATAAAAATTTGCACAGCTCACACTCTCCTCTCAAATGATTTTTCTGAGTCCTTCCCACTTTCACTGGCTCCTGGTCACCTGCCCAGTGTCCTATCTGCTGTGCCTCCCTGAAGTCCATGAGGACCCTGTGACCTGCACTGGTCAGAGAAGCCTTCTTGGAGGAGGGGGCTCAGGTAGAGCATGGAGAAGAGAAGAACTTAGGGGTGGAGTGGGGGCACAGCCTGCAGATGGTGGGGAGGGAGGCTCCATCCCCAAGTGGTGGGTGGGGTCTCACAGCCTCGCTCTGGCTCTGTTGGACTTGGGAGAGTGCTGGTAGCTAAATATGCTTTTTCCCAAAAAGTCTATAACCAGGGGATGGGAAGTTGGGCAGGTTCACAGCCCAGCAGGAATGAGGCCAGGAAGAAAACAGGATCCAGACCGAAGCATGTACTGCTCATTTGAATATCATTTGCATGGAATTCTTAGTGCTCCTCCTCTCCCCACTCCTTCCCTGCCGCCTTCTCTGGGGCTTAGCTCACAGTGGGGCTTGTCTCAGCTCCATTAGACACCAGGGAAGGCACAGGCAGCACCACGAACACAGCTGGGTCCCCATTGAGTGTGGCCATGAAGAGAGAAAGGGCCTCCTGGGGCTGGGCCACCCCCTGGTGGGCTCATGAAGACAGAGGGAGCCTTGGACTGGGGACAACCAGCAAGCCTGTTGTGCCCCTGCTGGGACTGCCCTGCTGAGTCTATTATTAGGTTGCCCTTTGTTTGCCTGACCACGGGGGGCCTGCAGGACAGGACGGCCTGGGGACAACCTCAGAATGGGAGGGTTTGGGCCCCTCCTCTGCTCCCTTTCTTGGAGTTTCTTGTGTGAGAGAGGAAAGGGCTGCTTGGGCCACCCCACAGGAACCATGAGACCATAACTGGGGCTGTTTTAAGTCTCCAGGGGTGTGGAAGTTGTGGTGCAGGGAATGAACCAGGCCCAGCCTCTGGGAGAGAGAATGGGGAGCTCCCTGGGCCCTCTCCTGCCCCTACAGTTCACAGCCCATGGGCCAGAAGTGGTCCATTTCATAACCATGAAACCCTGGGGAGCACATGGGCTCCTGAAGAGGACCAGGGCCTCTTCTGCTGCCATTTGGGATGACACAAGTTCTGTAGAGCCGGTGGAGCCCATACGAGGGTGGGAGTAGAGGGTGACACCCTCTGGCACAGGCTGGGGAGAGACCCCAGGCAGCTGCGTGGGGAGTGCAGGGCCTGGGTGCAGGCAGCAGCCTGGGGTGTGTCCCGCAGGACCCCAAGCAGAGGCCATGGGTGCGGAAGAGAATCCCAGGGCAAATCTCATGAGAGCAGCACTGGGACACGTCTGCCGCTAAGGTTATTCTAAAGGCAGAAGCACAGGGACTTCCTGAAAGGCTGCATAGGAGCATGAGGCTTGGGCTCGGCTGCCTGGAAGAAGTGCCCTATTATTGGAGGCCAGAGGATGAGACCGAGGCAGGCTAAGGAGGAAATCATGGCCCAACCTGGGCTCAGGGCAGGGGCCCGGCTGGGGAAACTCCTGGCTCAGGAGCAGAGCACGGGAGGAGAAGCACAGCCGGCCCCTGCTCTCCAGGCCTCTGGGAGGTTGGGAAGTGCATGAAAGCACCTCTGAGTCTTGGGTTTTCCATCTGCACAGTGGGCAGGATGATGACGGGCCCTTCTTCCCTAGAAGGAACTTTTTAGGCACAAATGAGGAAATAACATAGAAAGACTTGGAGGCTTCGCCCACATAAGGCAGGAGATCACTCCAAGGTAGGATGACTGCTATTTTGATTGGCTGTAATCAAATGTAATGTCTTGTTTTCATGATTTGGATTGGAGGTGGAAATATTAATTCGAATCATCTATCCTGCAGTAAACGGACCTCCCTGATGGTGGCTTCCCCCGTTCCCTGTAACTGCCTGTGACTGATGAGCCATCAGCAGGGATGGGAGGGATGGAGCCTCGGACATCATTTACTCACTTCTGCTTGTTAAATAACTCAGGACCTGGGGCCGCTTCTCAGGGCTGGGGCTGAGTCTCCGTGCCCACCGTGGTGCTGGGCATATTTGCTGTCTCTGGGGAGACAGATGCGAAGCAGAAAGGCAGAAGGAAAAGCTGTCAGCCCAGGCGCTCCTGCCATCCCACGCCGGCCTGCAGGCCACCGCCCTCTGCCCATCCCGGAAGGACGTGTTTTCCTCTTAAATACCTGAGTCAAGGGGCTGGGGTGCATCTTTCCCTCCGCCCTCTTGCTGAGCTGCGTGGCTGCATTGAGGGGATTTTTCTGTCTCTGCCATTAAACAAATCCTGGCAGGCTAATTAGCTGTGGGAAGTTTCAGGTGCTTTCATTTTCAAAAGAAGTCAAAACAAGCACATATTATGCTTGGAACAAGCCTAGCTTTCTAATGAAAAGAGACTGCAACTGGATCATCAAACAAACGTAAACAAATAGATCAATAAATGTGCATGCATACACGTGTTCACAGAGCACAATTTGAAGGTGAAACGTGAAATGAGAGCCCGTACAGAGGTGTCAGCCATGAGATGTGCAGGGGCCAAGGGTGCAGGGCCAGGGTCAGGAGGATGTGCAGTGGAGCCGGGTTAACGTTACTGCCGCGCCCTAAGAAACGGGGAGGGGAGGGGAGGCAGGTCTGGAACCACCTAGGAGGCAGATTTGGTTGATTTGTTTCAGGAATCCTTTCTGCCTTGTGATTTAGGAGTTAACGTTTCCTTCTCCTCTTTCTGCTCCTCCTTCCTCCAATAAAGTGCCTGACCTTCATCAGTGCACACACAGGTGGCACTGGCTCAGGGCCCATCGAGGGCCAGTGTCCTGGGCCCTGCAGGGCATGTCTGTGGGAGGGCCACTAGGGTCAGGGGACAGGGCCGTGGGGAAAATCTGCCCCGTGGATGGATTTGACCGCAGCCACGCTGTCCTTCTGGGGAATAAAGGAGGAGACTTCCCTTGTCCCTGGGACAGCAGGCGCTTCCCCAGGTGGTGGCCCCTCAAGGGCTCCTCCCCAGCACGCTTCCTGCCCTCCCACTGCTCTGAGTCAAGTTCCTCCCGCTCACCTGCTGACTTCATTCCTGGTCCCCTCATCGTCATGGGCGGGGCCTTCCTGAGCTGCTCCCTTAACACTGAGGAGCTTGACCAGCCACAGGGGCCTGGCCCTCTCCAGGGTGCTGAAACCTGCTGCCGCTTCCTGGGTGGGGACTGCGTGGCTGTCCCAGGATAAGCAGATGTGGGACCCCGTGGCAGAACTACAGTTGTTTTGATGTTTCCATCATGCCCTAAATCCAGCCAGAAGCAGCTTGAAGATACCTGGTGCGCAATGTCCTGCCGATAGCCGGCGGCTGAGCAGACGCCTGGGAGAGAGCATCTTTATCCTGGATGGGCTCAGAGGACCTTCAGAGTCCAACGCACACCTCTCCAGAATCCATTCAGGCGTCTGCAGGCTGGAGACTGAGGGCAGAGGAAACAACGCCCGTGGGATCATCACCCGGCTCAGCAAATGCTCATCAATCCTTCTGCACTCGGCACTGCGCTGGGCCCCTGGGGCTTTAGAGAGGGTGAGATGTGGTCTTTGAATCTGGAGAGTCATCGCGTAGTTGTGAGCCACACTACAGCTCCTCAGCAGAGGAACAGTGAGGACGCAACATCAAACAGAAGAATCTTGAAGACGAGGCAAGGGCATTGAGGTGCTGCCACCGCCTCCGGCCGGCTCTTGCCGCAGCTGATAAACGTGCAGTATTGGCGTTGTCGGGAACTGGCTTTCTGGGGCCTCTGTCACTTCCCGTCTCTGCAGAGCTTGTGATTGAGCCTGTTCACAGGACACCTTCGTGCTGGACACAGCTTCCTGTCGTGATCCAGAAACTCACTGAATTTAATCTAAGATTGCTAACAAGAGTTTCCTGGGGCTTTGGAGGGGACCATCAGGAGTGGTGCTGCTCCCGGAGAAATAAGAAAACTGTGTCAGTCAGGGCTCAGCTTCAGCTTGAAGTGGCAGAAATGCAGCTCACACTGGTGTAGGTCAGGGAAGTCCACATGAAGCGGGGAGAGCAAGGTGTGACTGGGTCTCTGTGAGGCTGGAATAGGGAGCGGGAGCTCAGCATGGTGCTCTTGCGTCTTTCTCTGTGCAAACTTTGCTTCCTCCACTCACACTGGCTGAGCCTCACACTGACCACTGTGGACCCCATTCCTCTGGCATAACAGCTACGTGGGTAACAGACTCCAGCATTCCCTCCATGACGCCTGTTCACTGTCCTTGTAGATTTCGAAAGGGCTAGAAGAGAAGAATGTGAATGTTCCCCGCATAAAGGAAAGGTAAATATTTGGGGTGGCAGGTATCACAAGTGTCTTGATTTGGGGTGGCAGGTATCACAAGCGTCACAAGTGATCTTGATTTGATCACTACACATTATATGCCTGCACCCCGAATATGTACATCTATTATGTATCAATAAACAGTCTTGGGGAGAATCTTTGCTCTACCTGACCCAGCTTCTGTCAGCAGCCCAGCCCTGAACCAGTCGCTATGGGCAGAAAGGCAGCCGTCTGAGAAGCTCCCAGGCTGTGGGGTGAGGGGCAGCAGCCGGTCAGTGTGAGTGGATTTTCATTTGTCTTTTTCAGGTTCTGGACATGTTTTCCCCCCAGGGGAGGCCTGAGAGTCTCAGAGGCTGCAAGAGCTCCAAGTCCTCCACGACTCTCTTTAGTTCCTTTTCTGGGGAGCAAAGGCCACTCCTGCCTGCCCAGAGTCAGGAACCTCATTGGGGTTTGTGGAAGCAGCTCTGATTTGTTTTATTCCAGAATCCTTTTTGTCTGCAAGGAACTGGATTATAATTTTGAAACCATTTTTTGGCACTAAACTGATACAATCCAGGATATTATGAACATGCAACATTCAGAAAACTGGGAGAAACTGGTCATTGTCATGTGTCGTTTAGAAATATCAGATGCTGGGCCAGGCATGGTGACTCAGGCATGGTGGCTCATGCCTGTAATCCCAGCACTTTGGGAGGCCAAGGCAGGTGGATCGCTTGAGGTCAGGAGTTCAAGACCAGCCTGGCCAACATGATGAAACCTCGTCTCTACTAAAAATACAAAAATTAGCTGAGTGTAGTGGCACACGCCTGTAATCCAAGCTACTTGGTAGGCTGAGACAGGAGAATTGCTGGAACCCAGGAGGCAGAGGTTGCAGTGAGCCGAGATCACACCACTGCACTCCAGCCTGGGCAACAAGAGTGAAACTCTGTCTCAAAATTTAAAAAAAGCAGGAAAATGTAACCTGGGTGTCAAAAGACCCTAAACAAGACAAAACCACACAGGGCTAAGGTGAAAAATATATAATTTTGTCTACATCGACATTTAAAATTTCCATATCAGTAAAGATACAGTGAAAAGATTAGCCACAGACTCGGAGAAAACATTACACGACATAAAACAAAAGATTCACACACAGAATCTGTAAACGCCTTCCTAGAGTAATGTGGAAAAGATAAACAACCCAGCAAAAATTCAGGCAAAGGATATAAACAAACAATTTATGGGAGAGAAATGTCAAAGGGCAACATAGAAAAATACTCAACTCAGTAGGAATGAGGGCAAACAAGTTAAAACAAGATACAACGTTTCACCTATCTGATGGGCAGAAGTGAGGAAATGATCACGTCAAGTATTAGCCAAGTGGCCGGACACAGTGGCTCACACCTGTAATCCCAGAACTTTGGGAGGCCAAGGCGGGTGGATCACGAGGTCAGGAGTTCGAGGCCAGCCTGGCCAAAATGGTGAAACCCTGTCTGTACTAAAAATATAAAAAGTTAGCCGGGTGAGGTGGCGCAGGCCCGTAGTCCCAGCTACTTGGGAGGCTGAAGCAGGAGAATTGCTTGAACCCAGGAGGTGGAGGTTGCAGTGAGCTGAGATTGCACCACTGCACTCAAGCCTGGGCAGCAGAGCGAGGCTCTGTCTCAAAAAAAAAAAAAAAAGAAAGAAAGAAAAAAGTATTAGCCAAGATATGCGGAAAGAGGATTCGTGTATGCTGTTTGTGTGAATGTAAGTTCGAATGGTCTTTTCTAGAGAACTATCTGGATGTATCTATTGGCACAAAAAGTGCACACATGCCATGGCTCCCAATTTCACTTCTCAGCCTCTACCTGAGCATGGGCAAAGGAGGCGGGTGCTAGAATGTGTGCTGCCACGTCGACAGTCATCCTGGAGACATGGGGAAAAATAAAACTTTAGTCTCTTCCGAGGGTGATTTGGTTAAATACAGCCTATGGTATGTCCATGTTATGGAATATTGTGTAGCAGCTGATGCAAAATGGTAGCACTATATATATGCATATGGAAAGATTTCTAAGGCTTGCTATTCTACAAAACAAGCAAGGAAGAAGACATGGCCCCAGTGTGATGTGTGTGTGTGTGTGTGTGTGTGTATAAAAGCCATGGTGAAAGGGGCACTTATTTCCATCCATATGGATGTATGGATGTAAAAGCTTAGAGACCCTCTGGAAGAAGAGACACCCCCACTCCCACCAGGCCACAGTGTTTTTCTGGAAATGAATAGGAATGTGGTGAGCAGGAGGGAAAGGATGGGGTGGAGTCAAGAATGACTTTCACTTTAATCTTCAAATGTACAGTTGATATTTGCATTGATCTTGAATCCACGTATGGGGAAAAAACAGCAAAAACAACATATTTGCTCTAGGGGATGGTGTGTGGCTGGGAGATTAAGGAAAGGGTTGAGGGCGGGGCAGGAGGAGATGGGGTTTGAAGGATCAGGCAGGATTTACCATCATCCCTTTTTAGTAGTTATTTGAGGCATCACTTACACTCAGTAAAATAACAAATCTTATGAGTACAGATGGACGGGACTTCACATATGTACAGGCCTTGTGACCGCCCCCAAGTTGAGGCACAGACACCACCCCCAGGAAGCCCCTCATGCCCTTTCCAGTCCACACTCAGAGGTCACTTTTCCTGTGCTCTGTTTCCACACAGTCTTGCCTGTTTGGAAACCTAAGTGACAGGAACTGGATATAAATGGAATTCTGTGACGTGTAGTATTTCATGACTCCCATTTTTTTCTCAACATAATTTCTTGAGATTTCTCCCTAAAACTGTCTTTCTCAGGAGTGATCGTAGAGTAACGTTGCATTGTATGAAGATTCTGCTATTTGTTTCTGCATTTGCCTGGATTGTTTCTGGGTTTCACTATTTTGAACAAAGCTATTGTGTCATTCTCGTGCAGTTGTTTGTTGTGGACATATTTATGGATTTTTCTTACGTTCCCAGGAATGGATTTTCTGGGTCATGGGATTGTTCTATGTGTAACCTTCTTAGAAGCCATCAAAGAGGGTGCCTTAGGGGTGCACCATTACACCCTCCTCCACAAAACCCATCCAAGAGGGTGTCTTAGGGGTCCGACATTGCACCCTCCTCCACAAAACCCATCCAAGAGGGTGTCTAGGGGTGAACCATTGCACACTCCTCCACAAAACCCATCCAAGAGGGTGTTTGGGGGTGCACTATTGCACACTCCTCCACAAAACCCACCAAAGAGGGTTTCTTAGGGGTGCACCGTTGCACCCTCCTCCACAAAACCCATCCAAGAGAGTGTCTTAGAGATGCACCATTGCACACTCCTCCCCAGAAGCCATCCAAAAGGGTGTCCTAGGGGGGTGCACCGTTGCACCCTCCTCCACAAAACCCATCCAAGAGAGTGTCTTAGAGATGCACCATTGCACACTCCTCCCCAGAAGCCATCCAAAAGGGTGTCCTAGGGGGGTGCACCATTGCACACTCCTCCCCAGAAGCCATCCAAAAGGGTGTCCTAGGGGGTGCACCATTGCACACTCCTCCCCAGAAGCCATCCAAAAGGGTGTCCTAGGGGGGTGCACCATTGCACACTCCTCCCCAGAAGCCATCCAAAAGGGTGTCCTAGGGGGTGCACCATTGCACACTCCTCCCCAGAAGCCATCCAAAAGGGTGTCCTAGGGGGTGCACCATTGCACACTCCTCCCCAGAAGCCATCCAAAAGGGTGTCCTAGGGGGGTGCACCATTGCACACTCCTCCCCAGAAGCCATCCAAAAGGGTGTCCTAGGGGGTGCACCATTGCACACTCCTCCCCAGAAGCCATCCAAAAGGGTGTCCTAGGGGGTGCACCATTGCACACTCCTCCCCAGAAGCCATCCAAAAGGGTGTCCTAGGGGGTGCACCATTGCACACTCCTCCCCAGAAGCCATCCAAAAGGGTGTCCTAGGGGGTGCACCATTGCACACTCCTCCCCAGAAGCCATCCAAAAGGGTGTCCTAGGGGGTGCACCATTGCACACTCCTCCCCAGAAGCCATCCAAAAGGGTGTCCTAGGGGGTGCACCATTGCACACTCCTCCCCAGAAGCCATCCAAAAGGGTGTCCTAGGGGGTGCACCATTGCACACTCCTCCCCAGAAGCCATCCAAAAGGGTGTCCTAGGGGGGTGCACCATTGCACACTCCTCCCAGCTACACACAGGAGTTGCAAGGGCCCCACTTGGTCTTCAGCAGGAGGTCAGCTGTTCCAATTCCAGCCATTCTTGTGGGCATGGACTGGAGTCTCACTATGGTTTAATTTTTACTTCCCTGATGTCTGGCGATGCTGCACAACTGTCCCTGTGCTTATGGGACGTGTGAGAATCCTCTTTTGTGAATTGGCTAATCTAAATTTTTGACCAATTTTAGTCATCACATTAAAGCGTCTAATTAATAGGGTCTCAGGTCACACATTCATGATTCTAAAATCTGGACAAAGCAGAGCGTAGAGAACACCTTCTCTGCTCTGTGAGTTTATCTTTGCTTAAAGCCGTGTCTATTTAAGTCTGCGTAGCCCCTTCCTTCTCCCAAACCCAGTTTCCTCTTGTGTGAAATAGCGCAGGCCATGACTGAGTGCTGCTCTTCTGCAGCATCTGGGCAGGTGTGGCTCCCCTGGCTGGGACTTGGAAGCTTCTGGAGGCTCTGGGTTGATTCCTTTGCCTGTCAGTCAGTTTGCTGAAGGGCAGGATTGGAGGTGGGAGAGGCACTCGGCCTCCAGCTGCAGAGGGAAGCTGCCCAACCTCCCTGAGATGCCATGAGGCTGAATCAGGGGAGTCTGTGAGTCCTTCAAGGGGTGGCCACGGTGCAGAGAGTTGAATTCCAGGAAAAATCCCCTTTCCCCCTGGCTCAGCCAGAGGGCAGGGGCCTGAGATCTCCGGGTGTGTGCAGTGCTCAGCCTTTTGTGCAGTCAGGGATTCCATGGCCCCCTCGCCCTTCACAGGGAGGAGCAGACATTTGACTGAAGGTGTGAGTAGAGGGTCGCTGGGATGGAGGTGATGGAGACACTGTCCCTGGGTCCCCGCTGAGAGATGTGTCCCATCCATGGCCCTGTGGCCGGGTTCATTGTGGGGTGATCCCCCGCCATGGTGCCTGCACACTAAACACATAAACTCCTCTGCCCAGGATGCCACAAAGCCTATCCCCTCATTTTGGAACTCAGCACCTTCTCATCCCTGTCCTGGGATTCAAATTCATTGCTTACAGAAGTTCAAGGCAGAGAGAGATATGGGTAAGGATAATGGCAGTTTAAGCTCCCATCTCTGAACACATTTGACATTGTAATGAGGCAGGTTCAGCAATACACTAGACGTGATTGATATCGACAGGAGAAATTCCCGTCTTCCAAGCCAGCTCTGCACTCTTATCCCAGGCACCGCATCAGCAACAGGAAAACAAAGAGAGGCACAGGCAGCCCAGTGCCACATTCTGGGGGTGAATCCACTGCAGGAAATGCTGCCACAATTAGCTGAGAAACCTTACAGGTCTGTCCCTGGGAGTCGACCGGGGGCTCTGCAGAGAGGACCCTGAGCAACAATCAGTTATGGGATAAAAGGGACTCTCCCATGGCCCCTAAGCAGGTACCTCTCACAGTGAAGGAAAATGGGGAATTTGAGCCCCTAAAGCTCTGCTACTCTGGGACCAGCAGCATGAGCATCACCAGGAGCTTCTCAGAACTGAAGACTCTCAATCCCTCCCTCCACATCTGCCTCACCTGTGGATTAGAGCCCTGAGTGGGAACTGGACCCATGGCTACCCAGAGTGAGGACAACCTTCCCCAGCCCTCCTTGTGGCCTCATGTGACCAAGTGACCCATTTCTGACCAATGCACTAAGATAAGAGGGCCATGGGAGCCACTTCCTGGTCATTTCCTGACAGAGGTGAGCCCTCTCCTCCTCCTCTCCTCCACTTCCTCAGCTGTGAAATAGGAATGATGATGATGTTGATAATGGTGATGATGATAGTGATGATGGTGATGAGGATGATGGTGATGATGGTGATGATAATGGTGATGGTGATGATGATGGTAATGATGGTGATGTGATGATGGTGATGATGATGGTAATAATGATATTGACGATGATGATGATTGTTACAATGATGATGATGGTGGTAGTGGTGATGATGGTGATGATGATAGTGATGATGATGGTGATGGTGATGATGATGGTGATAATGATGTTGATGGTGATGATTTTATGATTATGATGATGATGATGGTGGTGGTGATGATGGTGATAACGATGATGGTGATGATCATGGTGGTGATAATGATGACTACGACGGTCATGATTGTCATCATGATGATGATGATGGTGATGATGATGATGATGGTGATGGTGGTGATGATGATAATGATGATGGTGATGGTGGTGATGATGATGATGGTGATGGTGGTGATGATGATAATGATGATGGTGATGATTATTGTGATTATGATGATAATGATGGTGGTGGTGATGATGATTATAATGATTATGATGGTGATGATGGTGATGACGCTAATGATGATGGTGATGATTATTATGATTATGATAGTAACGATGGTGGTGGTGATGGTGATGGTGATGATGGTGGTGGTGATGACGATGGGATGATGGTGGTGGTTATAATGATTATGATGGTGATGGCAATGGTTATGGTGATAATGATGTTGATGATGGTGATGATCGTTATGATTATGATGATAATGGTGATGGTGGTGGTGATGATGGTGATGATGGTGGTGGTTATAATGATGATTATGATGGTGATGATGGTGATGGTGATGATGATGATGATGGTAATGGTGATGATGGTGATGTTGGTATCCCAGAGAGAGAAGAGAATGTGGTGAGATCATGACACGTCTCAGAGCACAGACAATCCCACCACAAACGCTGGATGAAATATACTTATTATTGTTATAATCATCTCAAATTATTAGGTATGTGGAGACATTCCCCTCCCAGGGGCCATCTCCCCTATCCTGGACTCCCTCTTTATAAACAGGAGCTGAGGTCCCCTATAGAAAACTTCCCTTCTGGTATTGCCCTCAGCAGCACGCCCTCCATAGAGCATGTAAACTTCCCCCAGACAAGGAGGAGACACAGGTGGGTCCCCTGACCCTGTACCAAGGGGGTCAGTGTGCCTGGCATCCTGGAAAGAGTGATTAATGCAAGGAAACTTGTGTCCCTGAAATAGGCCATGATCAATGGCATTTGAGTTGCACTTGGCTAAGGGATTGGAGAATGGACATCAGATGGCAGGTGCTGAATCATTTTACTAATGAAGCCTCTGCCTTGCCCACATGATGAGAAGTTTTCCATGGGAGGCTTTGGAGCCACTGCTTTTTTTTCTTTTTTCTTTTTTATAGAGATGGGGGTCACTATGCTGCCCAGCTGATCTTGAACTCCTGGCCTCAAATGATCCTCCTGCCTTGGCCTCTTAAAGTGCTTAGATTACAGGTAGGAGCCATCATGCCTGGCCCAGAGCTACTGCATTAAGGGAGGTGCAGCTGGTCTCCCCAGGCTGCTGTCTGCACATCTTAGTACATTAGCGTGGAGCTGGCAGGCAAAAATGTCACACACCTGCTGAATTCACTGTCTGGCTGATTATTAGTGAGGGGGGACATCTTTTCTTTTGCTTAACTGTTTTTTGATATTCCTTTTCTGTGAATTACCTGCTCATAATATCTGCTCATTTTTCTATCGCTCTTTCTTTCTGTTTGTTATTCATTTATGGAAGCCACTTAGAGGTTGCATGTACCAAACTGTTGACTATTAAGCATGAGGCAAACGTCGCTCCTCAATCTGACCTTGCCTTTTCACTTGTGTGTGGTGGTGGTGTTTACAGGAAGAGGTCTACAGTTCATCGCAAGGCTCTAGAGGGAATCAGGAAGTGCCAACCTGAGGTATGCCATTTTGGCAGCAGAATTCTTTTGAGCAGAAAGCATTGGAGTTCCTAAAATTCTTTACCTGCCTAAAACCAGAGCCTCCCCCAAACAACTCCATTGTCCTAAGTGTCTCCCCAGGAACAACTGTAATCTTCTCTTCTTGGAGGGGAGAAGCCCCCCCACATCCCGGCAGACATTGTCACAAAGGACCATGTCTCCCATCTGCCCTCCTGAGGGCCCATTTATCTCTCAATAAAGTCCTTTGCGTTTCCGTAAGTGCGCCTCTGCCCTCCCTACCCACGTTAGGACGAGATGTGAGCTCCAGAATCTCACTGCTCCTCTGGTATTTGCTTATTTCTGGGACACCCTCATGCACGTTAAGTTTAAAATTCCAAATGCATGCTTTTTTCCTGTTGATTTTTTGTCTTTTTTTGAGACAGTTTCACTCTTGTTCCCCAGGCTGGAGGGCAGTGGCGCATCTCAGCTCACCGCAACCTCCACCTCCCAGATTCAAGTGATTCTCCTGCCTCAGCCTCCCAAGTAGCTGGGATTACAGGCATGTGTCACCATGCCTGGCTAATTTTGTATTTTTTAGTAGAGACAGGGTTTCTCCATGTTGGTCAGGCTGGTCTCGAACTCCCGACCTCAGGTGATCCACCCGCCTTGGCCTCCCAAATTGCTGGGATTATAGGCATGAGCTACGGTACCCAGCCAATTTCTTCCTGTTAATAACTTTCATCTGTTTAACTCACAGGCCCCCAGCCACTGAAGGTGAGAGAGTAGAGGAAAAGTTTTCCTTCCCCTACAGTTCTTTGAAATTAGTTTTCTCACTTAAACCTCCACTCTGCTCTCCCAGCAACCAGGGAAGGTTTCTGCATTAAATTTAGTTCAGGTCAAGATTGTAAAAGCAGAAACCCAGGAGGAGAAGAACGTCTGAGCAAAACAATCTTCCTAGCAGAGTTTCTGTTTTAATACATTTCCCCAGGAGATGGGTTTCAGCTGGAGGCCCTTTTAACCAAGTTGATCTTTGCCCAGAGGGTGGGGGGAGCTCCGTCCCTGCCGGGTTCTTTGAGGCTCTTCCCAGTGTGAATTAAAGGGTTGGGGCTGGAGCTTGGGAAAATCTCCTGGAGGATCCACAGAGCCGGGGGCTGCTGCCAAGGTCTGAGGTGCGGCCTCTGGAGGGGAGCCCTGCAGATCCCAGCTGCCCTGGGCTGGGCCTCCTGCTCTGGGCCGTCCTCTCTGCTGATCCGCTGGGGTCAGACCCCGGTGTGGGTGGAGCAGCCACAGGACACATGTGGGTCTCGAAGCCTCCTCTCCTGTGCTCCTGGGGAACAAGTCAGCAGCAGCCCCTGCTCTTTTCCTGCCTGGGCCACCATCTTCAACAGGTGAATGCATCTCTTTAAAGCCTGGGATGGAGGATAGAGGCTAGGGGATGGGAATGGGGAGGGGACTCCTGGAGTCCCTGGGAAGGAGGAGGAGGAGGAGGTGGCCCTGGCCTTCAGAGCCCAGTGAGGCCCCATCCCCTGTGAAGGCTGCACTCACCCTGAAGTGTGCCTGTGCCCGAGAGACTTGTTTCCACGTCAGGGTCTCAGGCTCCAGGAGCCTCCAGGTGAGCCAGGAAACAGGAACCTGTCATGCAGGGGATTCCCCATCCCAGTTAAATACTTCCCACCCCCAAGTCCCGAGCTGGCACTGGGGCCTCCTGTCTATGTGGTGGGTGTTCTCAGGAGGGAAACCCTCCTCCACTTCCCTGCCAATCATACACTTTTTAAAAACAAATCCACAAATTAAAACATTTTGACAAGCCGAGGAGTGATACACCTAACGCCCAATGAATGAGCAAAGAAACGTGAAAAATTCATGCCTGATTTCACTCCGTATCACAAAAATGAATGTGTTACTCGGGCTCATACATTTTAGAAAGGAATTTTTGCTAAAAAACAAAAATTGCAACCTTCAGAAATGTTGTCTGCTCCCACGGCTCTGAAACAAAAGCACACCCTTCTCCAAGCAGGAGAGAGCCCAGCTCTGCTCCCCGGGGACACCCAGGGCCTTCACCCCAAATAGCGGATCCTGTGGGACCCATAGCACTGGGGCCCTGGGGCACTGGGCACTGGGCCTGCGTGGATTTCCCAGCGTTGCTGGAATTCCGTGCTTCGCAGCAAACTCCTTCATGCGGGGGAAGCCGGAGGAGAAGGCCCAGGGAAAATGGGTTGTAGACAAATGACAGGCGCCCCGTCCTGGGGGAATCAGGAAGGGGTCCTGCAGCCCCTGGTGTGGCCCTTTTCCCATGCACAGTCCGGGCCCCCCACGGCTTCTGCAGGACCCACCTCAGCTCCGGGTCCAGGCTGGGCCAGCGCTCTGTCTCCTCAACGGTGAAACGGGTTGCTCAACCCACTTGCAGGTTGTTGAAGTTCAGGCCTTATCCTCGGGCACAGTCGGTTCTGGAAGCCACAGTCTGCTGCCTGCAAATGTGCTCCTCAAATCGCCTTCCCACCCGCAGCCCCTCAGCCCACCGTGGTACCAAGTGGCCAAAGTCTACGGCCATGCCCCCCGAACGCCTACGAGCTCATCTGATCTCGGAAGCTAAGCAGGGTCGGACCCGGTTAGAACTTGGATGGGAGACCAAATGGCGCCAGCGCTGGGCTTTCTTCCTCAAACCCCACGACCACGACAGCGCGATAAACAGGGACCCTGTTGGAGGCCACGTGGGTCACAGGCCTGCACCGGACACAGCACTTCGGCGAAGGCAATGGGGATCCTGATTGGCCGCCCAGGGCCCTCCCAGAGCCAGACGCGGAAGGGGAGGGAGCTCTCCCGGGAGCCTCACGCGGGACACTGAGCACAGCCCCTCCGCGCACACGCGGTTATCGATAAACGCAGACGTGACACGTTCGTGGGTTCTATTTCCCTGGAGGGCAGCTGGGACTGGTGTGAATTCTCCCGTCTCACCCCACAAATCCTAACGGGCACCCGCGAGCTTTCTCGTCTCGACTTTCACACGTAAATTGTGTTTTCTTTTTAAAATGACTCGTAGCGCGAGCTCCTGGCGTCCGTGCCAGGTTGGAATGGAGACGCTGTCCCGGGGGGAGAGAGGGGGACGGTTGAGAATTCTCTGGAACCCCCAGCGGCGCAGACACCCACCCGCGGCTGGACGCGCGGAGCCCGCCCTGGGCCTCCCTCCCCGGCTTCAGGTCCCCGCCTCGGCCCTGCCCACCTGGGGCTGCGCTCCCTGCAAGTCTGCGGCCCCCACGCGGCCCTCGGCCCCGGCGCGGGTCTTCTGCGGACGCCTCCAGCCAGCTCCGGGTCCCTGCGCGGAGGACGCTGATTCGTGTCGTTAAGCGGGTGAAGCGGGTGTAGACAGAGGTGCGTCCTGCCCTCCCCACCCGCTGCCCCCGCAGCAGCCACCGAGCCTCGACCGGCGGCTTCCGAATGCACGAAGTCCACGCTCCTGCCCGGGACCCTGAGTCGGGGCCTGGTCCACGCGCTGCCGCCGCCTCTAGGGCCCTGACCCCTCCCGGGCACAGCGGGCCCGTCCCCGGAGGCGATGCCGGCCCGGGTCTGCCCTGCGGTTCCCCCTCCCGCGCTGCTTCCTGCCCGCAGTAGGGGCCGCTCCTCACCGCGCAGGCCCCGCTCAGAGGAGCCCCAGAGCTGGAGAGGCCCCCGCGGCTGGAGAGGCCCCGCCGCCCCCCAGATGCCCCCGGGGCCCTGCCCGGTTCTTCCCTTCCCAGCCCCGACGCCTCTGGCTTCACCTCTTCCCTTCATTTCACGGATCCGCTTATTTCAGGGGAGCTCCAGGAGGGCAGGGATTTTGTCCGTTTCTTTCACTTTTGGATCTGCAGAGCCCAGGACAGCACCTGGCCCGTAGTAGATGCCGCAAGAAACGCTTGTTGAAGGAAGGAAGGAACGAACCCACGAGCATTGCAGGAGGATTCCATGAAAGATCAATTCATCCCACCTCACAGTAATAGGCACCCTGTTTCCTCCCAGCCCCGAGATTGGAGAGTTTGTTTTCATCCTCCTGTTGTCTGAACACAGCACAGAGCAATCCTGAGACACAAAGCAACGTGCCTTTCGAAATTTTTAATAAACATGGAATCTTGCTATGCTGGCCAGGCTGGTCTTGAACTGCTAGCCTCAAGCGATCCTCCCTCCTTGGCCTCTCAAAATGTTGGGATTATAGGCGTGAACCACTGTAACCAGCCTCAAGACAGACTTTCTAAGACACAAGATTCCGCGTGTCAACTGTATCCACGGAAACCATTCCTTAGTTTATTGTCACCGCCATTCCTAACTCTGATGTGAAAATCCCTGCGTTCATCAACATAACCCAGTTAGGGTCGCACTCATCACGGGGCCCCCATTGCCTCTGGCGCACCCCACGACTGACATCTGCGGGGCCTTCGCGCTAGGCTTCGAGTTTCAGCTTCCGCACCAGGCCTGCCTTTCTGCAGGGGCCAGGGTGGGGGTCGTGTGCTGATTGGGCCCTCTGAACCGCCACCGCTGCAGAGGGGCTGTTCCTTCTGTCACATCCCTTGTGCCCGAATCCACCCTGTGTCTTCTCTTTTCTCAGCAGGACATTTTAAAAGCCCAGACCCCCTCCTTACAGAGCAAATGTCCAGGCTTCGGAGGTCACTGTCACATCCCAAGAACCCCCTTCACCAGGTGCCACTCTTGAGACTGGACTGAAGCCCCCTGGAGAGGTGAGCTTGGTGGGCTCTGTAGGTTTAGGGAACTTTGAGGTTCACTGCCCTTAGGAGGGAAGCCCTCTCCGGTTCTCCGCAGTCCCCACCGTTCCCTATCGTCACCCCTGGGCACCTGCACTCCCACGGTTCTGCCTGGGCCTTGGGGGCATTTGAGCCCTGGGCCCATCCTGAGTTGGTTTGGAGGCTGGGCTGTGTGGAGCTGTGGAAGGCCCTGGGCATGCGGCCAGCTCACTGCTGGGAGCCTGGTTTTCTCACTGTCCAGCTGTGTGGCTCGGGGGCCCCCGTCTCTATGTCTCAGTGATGACAACACTGGCCGTGTGGGTCCTGGTGGGCCTTGAGTGGGTTCCTCTGCTCAGACATGAGGTGCTTAGACCTCACCCTAGCTCTGCCCTGTGACCTTGGCAGGTCACCCGGGGTCACTTTCCCATCGGAGTGGGGGTGGGGACTGGAACCAGCCACTCCCAGGTCCCTCCTCTGAGGTTGCTCTTGGCACTGGTCCTGGGGACAGGGCTGCAGGGGACTCTGGCCTCTCTCTCCCCTCTCAGTTCCACTTGCCTTTGTCCTGCTGCCTGAGGTGAGGACATGGACGGCCGGGTACAAGACGGGGCAGGCAACCTCGCAGTGGTGGTAACCCTGTGCATGAACCCTGGGCCTGGCACGTGGACCTCCTGTGACCGTCCCCACAGGCCCGTGAGGCTGAGCTTGGCACTGCCCAAGACCACACAGTCCATGCGCGGTGGAGCTGGGGTCCAGGCTGCCCACCAGGGCAGTGACTACAATGGTGGCAGCAGGGGACGGTCACCGTCATGAGCTCAAGCCAGGCGCTGCACTGACCTTGAGGGAGGGCTCCATGCTTCCCCTTCCCACAGCTGCAGTGAGGCCTAGCAGAGCAGGGTCGGCTGCGGGCTTGAGTCCTGGGGTGCCCCTGGGCTGACGGGCCCTGCCTGACCTGCTCCTCCAGTGCCCCAGCCCTGCCCCACCCACGTCCCCTCCTCTCACTGCCCCCTGGCCCACTCCGCTGCGGTCTCAGTGCCTTCCCAGGCTGGGCATCATCTGATGGGAGGAAAATGAGGGCCCCAGACTCTGTGTCATCCTGGCAGGACCCCTCCCCTCCCATGGCTTTGAGCCCATGAGATGGCCTTGGACAAAGCGGCAATGGGCCCTTCCTGAGACACAGTGCGGCCATCTACTGGAAAACTGCCCAGTGTGACTCTGATGACTGTGATGTGAATCCTACAGCAAAGTTGAGCAGTGCGCAACCTGGGCTACTGCACCTGGCAGCCCCGGCTCCTCCTCGTCTGCCTCTTCCTGCTCCTTCATTCTCCCCCAGAGCTCTAATTGTCACTGAGATTTTATGTTTCATTTAACAAATGACTGTCTCCCCGCTTGAACAGAACCTCCATGGGGGGAGGGAAGAGTGTCTGTTGTATAAATAGTTGTATTTCAGTGCATAAAACAGTGCCTGCCTCAAAGGGAGGACTCAGTCAATATCTGTTGAATGAATGAATGAATAATTGCCTGGGTCAACGAATGAATGGCTGAATGAATGATTTCTCCTTTCCCTCGGCACTGTCTGGAGTCCCCAGGACAGGCATGGGCAGCAGTCGCTGGTCTGTGGCCTGTCCCACTGGACTTGGGGTTCTCATGCTTGGTCTGGGCGGAGATCACCCACCAGGCTCCCAGGTCGATCCTCTGCTCATGGGAAGCTGCGTCCGGCCCAGCTGCCAGGAGCTCACTGCAGGGTGGAGGGAAGAGCAGGGACGATCTGCGAGCGCCTGAACAGCGCACAAGAGCCGAGGAGCCGCTGCTTAAAATGCAGGCGTTGAGAGGAGTTTCGCCTCCTTTTTTGAGTTGAATATGAGATTTCCGAGCAGCCATGACGAGTTGGGTTGGTGGAAGTGGGGAGTCCGTTCCTCAGTCAGATGGAGGAGGGGGTCCCCTTGGATCTCCTCTCGGGGCTCGAACCCTGATACTTCAAGGTCTCTTCCCACCTGCCCTTGGTGGATCTGGAAAGCTCCTGGGAACAGGGTGGGTCTTCCTTGTTTTAAAGGTTGTAAGTTGAGAGCACCTCACATAACTGCCTGGGGCGGCTCTGACGGGCCTCAGTCTGCTTGTGATGTCACACAGGAAGCCCCTGGGGACTGGGCCGCTCAAGTCCTCCTGGGTCAGACCAGATCACTGGGCCTGTGGGTTCCGCAGTGAGTCCAGCATCGTTTCCTGTGCAGTGACCCAGGCCGGGTCCCCATGGGCTCTGACTAGGGGACAGTGGGACTCGGGGTTGGGGGGCCTGCTTGAGTCATGGCTTCACTGTCCACTGTGACTGGGGACCCCCAGGGGGATTTCTGGGGACGCATTCACCTACTGCACTGGGGTTTCTCTTTCAGAACCACAACACCCTGGAAGGCAAGAAATGGGGAGCTGCATCTGCATCCACAGGGTCCCACCAGCCTGGAACATCCCCGCTGGTCTAGAATCCCACCCCACACACCCCGCTGATCCTGGGCCCGTCCCTGTGACCAGGAGACGGAGTCCAGGGACTCCCCAGGCCTGGGCCACGCGACTGCCCTAAGAGCCTGGCATCAGGGAGCAGTGCTGTGTGCACCCCCAGGTCCACTGAGAGTAGGGAGGGGGCTTCCCCACGGGTAGGTGGGGATGGAGGGTGGTCCGAAGATCAGGAGACGGAGCCCCGCCCCTCTTCGCAGGTGAGCAACAAAAGCTCTGAACAGTCAACTGAACTACTTAGGGCGACTGGCGGGAATCCAACCAGGTCTGCCTGACTGTGTGTCTGCTTGTGTGTCTCTGCTGTCTCTCCATCTATCTGTCTGTCTGTCTGCCTGTCCATGTGTGTCTGTCTCTCATCTGTCCACCTATCTGCCTGTCTGTGTATCTGTCCGTCCATCTGTGTGTCTGCCTGTCCATCTATCCGTCTGTTGTCCATCTCTCCATCTATCTGTCTGTCTGTCTGCCTGTCCATGTGTGTCTGTCTGTCATCTGTACGCCTATCTGCCTGTCTGTGTGTCTGTCCGTCCATCCATCTGTGTGTCTGCCTGTCCATCTATCCATCTGTTGTCCATCTCTCCATCTGTCTGTCTGCCTGTCTGTCTGCACAGCCCCTGACCTCACACTCAGGCTGCGTTTGCAGCAGCCGTTTCCCATCTAAGCATCCGTGTCCTCCTTGCTGAGTTGGAGGTAGGAAGTCACATTGACATTCTGTGTGTCTGTGAAGGTAAATAAAATTATAGACACAGGAGGAGCAGACTGTCTGCTTCTTAGAGATAATGAAATGACTTCTGGCCATGAGCAAAGTGGACACTCTGTCTCCGGGGTCAGCAACCCACCTGCTGGGCCCCAGTCCCTTCTGTGTCCTGGGGTGTGAGGCTCCCAGGAGGCCATGCTTGGTAGAAAAGGGTCCTATGAGTGGGCCAGGGCAGCCAGGAAGCCAGAGCCACCCAGGGAGTGCCATGGGGGCCACTTAATCATGGAACTCGCCACAGAGGGGCTGGAGGAGCTGCAGAAGAAATGGTGGGGCAGTGACCCCGAGTTAGGCATCAGCAGGAAGCCACTGCCATCCAGGGCTGCAGGGGCTGGGGAGGGGTGAGCACAGCCAGGGGCTGGGCGGCCAAGTCCAAGGCACCAGGCACAAGCATCCCTGTCCTCTCCCTGTGGAGCCACAATGGCTGTGCTTAGTTCCTTCAGCAACGTGACGTGACGGCACAGTGAGACGTCGCCCACCAGGGAAGCCCACAGAGACTCAGCGCCCAGCGACTAGGGGGCTGGTCACGGGGGCACCTCTGCTTGGCGCGCACAGACATTCCAGGCCCCCAGAAGGAAACGGGCTCAGGATACCACGTGGTTTCCACAGGAGTTTAGACACAGGAGCTCCTCGCTATTGAGGGAGGTTGTGTGTCTGCGCAGGGAACTGCTGCAGCCAGATTCCAAGACACCAGCCAAGGGCACCCTCACCAGCAGGCCTTTCCCAGGGCCATCGTCTCAGACCCGCCAGGTCACTCTTTCTGGGCACTTTCTCAGGAGGTTGCTCCAGTGCAGGATGGAAGCACAGAGAGTCCGGGGTTGTCACATGATCCTGGCTGAGTGTTTAGACCTCCAGAGAGGAGAGCACAAAGGCGGAACAGGAAGCCCAGAACTGCCTCCCGACAGAAACACCAACTCACAACAGCAAGGCCCAGAAGCCTTTCTGAGGCAGCTACAAAGCTCTGCGAATTGATACCAAGTGTAAGAAGGTGTAATCTGTGACACTGAGGACATAAAGCAGGGGGTTGTAGAAAGGATAGAGGTTTTGCATGCAGTTGGAGTTGTTATCAGCTTAAGGTCGATTGTTATGAGATGTTTTATGCAGTCCCCATAGTAACCACAAAGAAAATACCAACAGAAGAGCCGCTTCAAGATGAAGCTGAACATCTTCCCAGCCGCTGGCTGCCAGAAGCTCATTGCAGTGGACGATGAACACAAACTTCGTAGTTTGTATGAGATGCCTGTGGCCACAGAAGTTGCTGCTGATGCTCTCGTGAAGCATGGAAGGGTTCTGTGGTCTGGATCAGTGGTGGGAACGACAAACAAGCCTTCCCATGAAGCAGGGTGACCCGACCCACGGCCATGTCCACCTGCTACCGAGTAAGCGGCATTCCTGCCATAGACCAAGGAGAACTGGAGAAAGACAGTGAAAACCTGTTCGCCGTTGCATTGTGGATGCCAATCTCAGCATTCTCAACTTGGTTATTGTTAAAAAAAAAAAATAGGAGAGAAGGACATTCCTGGACTGACTGATACTATGGTGCCTCGCTGCCTGGGGCCCAGAAGAGCTAGCAGAATCCGTAGACTTTTCAATGTCTCTAAAGAAGACGACGTCTTCTTTAGACGAAGAAGAAGACGTCTAAATGTTGAAATGTTGAAATGTTTCAAATGTTAAATGTTGAAAACCCTTAAACGAAGAATGTAAGAAACCGAGGACCAAAGCACCTACGACTCAGTGTCTTGTTTTCATTTTTTTTTTCTATACAGAGTCTCACTCTGTCGCCCAGGCTGGAGTGCAGTGGTGCGATCTCGGCTCACTGCAACCTCTGCCTCCTGGGTTCAAGTGATTCTCCTGCCTCAGCCTCCTGAGTAGCTGGGACTATAGGCGCCCGCCACCACCTGGCTAATTTTTGTATATTTAGTAGAGATGGGGTTTTACCATGTTGGTCAGGCTGGTCTCAAACTCCTGACCTTGTGATCCCCCTGCCTTGGCCTCCCAAAGTGCTGGCATTACAGGCGTGAGCCACCACGCCCGGTCAGTGTCTTGTTACTCCATGTGCCCTGCAGCACAAATGCTGGCATCTTGCTCTGAAGAAAACAGTGTACTACAAAAAATAAGGCAGAGGCTGCAGAATATGCTACACACTGGCCACGAGAATGAAAGAGGCCAAAAAAAAAAAAAAAACATCAGGAACAGACTGCCAGGAAATGCAGACTCTCCAGCGGTGAGCTCCTACTTCTAAGTCTGCATCCAGACAAAAACAAGATTTTTTGAGTAACAAATAAGATCAGACCCTTCCAAAAGAAAATACCTATAGAAGATACACCAAAGAAAATGAGAAAGAAATCAAAGCAGCTCAGTACAAAAAAACAACAACAAAGAAACACAAAGAAAGGCAGCAAGAGAGGAAAAGAGGAACAAATAATTATAAGACAAAGAGAAAACAATAAAATAGCAATAGTAAGTCCCTCCCCATCAGTCATTAATTTAAATATAAATGGGTGAAACTCCCCAGTCAAAAGACATAGAGTGGCTGAATGCATAATAAGATGCAGCTATATGCTATCTACAAGACACTTTATATTATTTTATTTGTACAAATTCATGGGGCACATGTGAAATGTTGTTACACATATATAATGCATAGTGATCAAGTCAGGGTATAGGGTGTCCATCACCCAAGTACAATATACTTTTGTTAACTATGTTCACCCTATTCTGCTATCAAACATTGAATTTATTTTTCTATCTTACTGTTTTTTGTACCCTTCCACCAACTTTTCTTCATCCTCCCCCATCCCCACTCACCCTTCCCAGTCTCTGTTATCCATCTTTCCACTCTCTACCTCCATATGACTTTAGATATAAGGACATACACAGGTTCAAAATGAGAGAATGAACAAAGATACTCCATGCAAATGGTAAACAAAACAGAGCAGAGATGGCCACATTCATGTCAGACAAAATAGACATCAAGTCAAAAACTGTCACAAGAGACAAAAAGGACTTTACACAATGACGAAAAGGTAAATTTACTGGGAAGATATAGCAGTTATAAACACATATGGACCTATTAACAAAGCACACTAATATGTAAAACAAACTGACAGAACTGAAGGGAGAAGCACAGAAATGCAGCAGGAGGTTTCAATACCCCATTTCCAATAATGGATAGATCAGCCAGACAGAAGAACAACAGGGTGAGAGAAGACTTGAGCAACAGCATAGATCAATTGGGCCTGAGAGACACTGGATCCCTGGTGTCAGGGGAGCTTCTCATCATCCCCCACTGCCTCCCTTTCGGGCAGCAGATACGGGGTCTGCACGGCCCTGCAGAGGGGTTGAGTGAGTGTAGTCATGGATTTGGGAACCCTGAAGGGAGAATGTCATTGTCCTAAGGCTGGGAGACAGGCTGGGTGTGCAGGTGTGCATGCGGCATGTGTGTGTACAGGTGTTCATATAGATGTGATGTGGGCGTGTGTGTGCAGGTGTGTGTGCAGGTGTGTGTGCAGGTGTGTGTGCAGGTGTGCACGTGCAGGTGTGTGGAGCTGAGTGGATGTTAGTGTGCACGTGTATCTGTGTATCCACGTGGGTGTGTGGATGTGTGCATCTAGTATGCATGAATGTGCAGACGTGTTTTCATGTGCATATGTGTGTATGTGTGTGCATGGATGTGTTTTTGGTTGTGTGTATATGTGTGTACATGTGTCATGTGCCAGTGTGTATTTGAGAATGTGTGTACACAGAGGTATATGGGATGTATGGATGTGAGTGTGCATGTGTGCATATGTGTGTACATGTGTGTTATGAGTATTTGAGCATGCATGTGCACACGGGTACATGGGGTGTGTGGATATGAGTATGTATATGCGTGTACATGTGTTCTGTGCAGGTGTGTACTTAAGCATGTGTGCATAAGTGTGCACACATGTCTGTGGGATGTGTGTGAGTGCACATGTGTGTCTATGTGTGTGCATGGCATGTGTGTGGTGTACATCCGTGTGGGTGTGTACCTGTGTGCAGGTGTGTGCAGATGTGTGTTTCAGTGTGTGCGTGTGTGCACATGTGCATTTTGTTTAAAACTCAGGGGGAACCTGTGGTGAGAGGCGTCCCCACAGCAGGCCGCTCCCCACTGAGCTTATTCCAGAGGCCGTAGGCCTCTCGCTGGGGGAGGGGGGCTCAGGGCCTCGGCGGCAGAGGCCCAGGTCACATCAGGGTCACAGCACCAATGGGGCTGGGTGGATGTGGCTGCCAGTCCAGCTGGTGGGAGCTGGGTCACTGGGGAGCAGCCCCCAGCCTTGACTCTGGCAGCCAACTGTGGCCGGGTGCGCCCAGGGCTGCCGGGACTTCTGGTTCTCCAGGATGAGGTGGAAATCCAGGTTTTACCTGGAACATCCCAACTTTGAACTATTGGCAACAGACTCAGAATTTCCCAGGACACCATATGGGCCACATGAAGCATCCCAGGCTGGGTGAAGCCCCTGCCCCACTGGCTTTCTCAGGACTAATGGTGGCAGCAGCTCACAGCCCTGAGGCAGGAGCCATCCGTGCTCAGGGTTTTAAGCGCTTTTTCTCATTTTGTGCTCTCCTGGGAGGTGCAATTTCGAGGTGATGGAAGCCAACAGAAGGGGTGACCTTGGGGGATTGGCCCAAGGTCACCCGGGCTCAGGGGTGGGGCCGGGATGGACTCTCCTGGACTTTGTGCTGTAGCCCCCCAGCACCTGCACTTCACTGCCTCCCTGTCTATTAATTCATAATGCTAATAATTATTAGCTTTATCATCACCGTTATTGGACGCCAGTCCAGCGCTGCTTCTGGCAGGAAGGTCTGAGGCTGTGCAGGGAGGAGGGAGAGGCCTCTGTCTTCCTCCCTTCCCCACCCGCCTCCCCTGGAGAGCAGGGAACGGAGCAAAGCGTCCCTGGGACTGGCTTGCACCTGCTCAGAACCTGAGGATGAGCTTAAAGCTTTCCTTGAGGAGCTTGAACCCTAGCTTGTCCTGCCGTGGTCAGCGTGGGGACCCTGCTGTCCACACCTCTGGGGACCCGTCCACGCAGGCATCTTTCTCTCTGTTCCAGGGGGACAGAGACCCTAGGCCTCTCCTCTGGGGTCTCTCACCACTTGGAGGAGAGGTGGGCTCCCCGCGAGCTCCCATCGGCTGCTGCTGTTGCTGGGCTGCCTGTGCCTTCCCTTTGAAGCTACAATTCACATTCCCGGTATCTGTGTACATTCCTGGTTCCAATGTCTTCTGCAGAAACTCCCTGCCCTGAAGTCTCCCTGCCTTGCTATGCTCTATTAGTGATCACCCACCATGACGGTGACAGGTTGCATTAAAGTCATGAAGAGCAGAGCTCCTTGTGAGTGGGTCCAGGATGCTCCACTTGGCTGGTGGATGGAGCAGCCGCAGGGCAGGACTTCTGGGGACAGCTGTCTCTTTTCTCAGGTCCTGGCTCAGCCTGGCTGCTGGGTGCCCCATTTCTGGACTAAACTTACCATGCGAGTCCCTAAAGGGCCTCTTCCAGGACTGTCCCAGATGAGAAGACCTCCTGGGCCCCTCCTCCCTCTCCCCAGGGCGACTGTGAGCTCCGTGGGGCCCAGGACGGCCCCACAGGTTTCCCTGCAGAGAACTGGGCAGAGGCTGACCTCCGCAGGCACCCTGGGCCCCTGACCATTTGACGCTGCTTGCTCTTCTCCAGACGCTCATCCGACCTGAAGTCACAGGTGCTGGTGCCATGGCGACAGGTGCATAGCAACCCACACATTCTCCAGGCCAGGGCAGATGGGTTTATTGCTCTTAGGCTGGGTTAGTGATGGCTGCACCCGGGACAGTCACAGTCAAAGCCGCCTCGAACACAGGGCCTGACCACCCAGGAGCAGCCACAGGAAGACAGCCCCGAGCTCTGTACAGATGACATGAGGTCACACATGGAGACACGATGGCACCAGTGTCCCAGCTCTGTACAGAGACATGAGGTCACACGTGGAGACACGATGGCACCAGTGTCCCGAGCTCTGTACAGAGGACATGAGGTCACACGTGGGGACACAATGGCACCAGTGTCCTGAGCTCTGCACAGAGGACATGGAGTCACGTGTGGAGACATGATGGCACCAGTGTCCCAGCTCTGTACAGAGGACATACGGTCACATGTGGGGACACGATGGCACCAGTGTCCCAGCTCTGCACAGATGACTGAGGTCACACGTGGGGACACGATGGCACCAGTGTCCCAGCTCTGCACAGAGAACATGAGGTCACATGTGGGGACACGATGGCAAGAGTGTCCCGAGCTCTGCACAGATGACTGAGGTCACACGTGGGGACATGATGGCACCAGTGTCCCAGCTCTTTACAGAGGACATATGGTCACGTGTGGGGACACGATGGCACCAGTGTCCCAAGCTCTGCACAGATGATATGAGGTCACACATGGAGACACGAGGGCACCAGTGTCCCAAGCTCTGCACAGAGGACATGGGGTCACATGTGGGGACACGAGGGCACCAGTGTCCCGAGCTCTGCACAGAGGACATGGGGTCACATGTGGGGACATGATGGCACCCACACCCCGGGCTCTGCACAGAGGACATGAGGTCACATGTAGAGACACGATAGTACCAGTGTCCCAGCTCTGCACAGAGGACACACGTCGCATGTGGGGATACAATGCCATACGTGCCCCGTCTGTGATCATTGTCACCTCCCAGGCACAGCCTCACTGAGGACAATGGAGTGGCCTGGGAGGACCATGCAGTCACCTCTGCACAGCCCATGTGGCTGGCAGCTGGAATGTGGGGTAGGTCAGATGAGAGCCACCCTGGGACCCAAATCCCCACAGGCCCCTAGACCCAATCCCCGATCACACAGAACAAGCCAGTAAGCGTGTGTCCCAGATAAGCCAACCGTGCTCTCCGCACTCGGGATGTGGCTGCCCCGCAGGGGTGGGTCTCAGGGGTTGACTTGGGTTGACCAGATGGACTCTGGAGCAGGGCAGCAGCTCCGCTCTGGATGGAGTTCAGGGTTTGGTTGGAAGAAGCTGGAGCCAAGAGGTAACACTGGGAAGGGGGCTCCTGGGAGGGGCCGATGAGAGGGAGAGAAGCGGGAGGACATGTATCGCTGGGGTCCAGGAGCAGGGTCCTCACGGGACGCGGGCAGCCAGGAGCAGGAGGTGGGGCGGCGGCTGAGGGGTGTCTGCTGTGGATGATGGGGGCCCAGGGAGGAAGGAGGGAAATGTGGAGGGAATCGGAGGACAGTGTTGAACCCTGAGCATGGGGTGGAGGCCAGGGAGGGGCAGGAGAGATGGGTCTCATGGGAGGAAAAAGGAAAGGGGAGGGGGAGGTGCGGGGTCTGGACTGTGGGACGTGGGCTGAGGGGCGGGAGCGTAGGGAGGGGACGCAGGGGTGCCTGACCTTCAGCTCCGTCCCTTGACCTGGCCGGGTGACGGGGCTCCAGAACCCAGAACCCACCTCCTGGGTGTGTCTCAGGGTAGCTTTGCAGCAGCAGGAGAGATTTAGGATCAGGTAAAAGGGTAGATTCACAGCGGGGCTTCAAAATAATCAATAAAAACATCCTCAGTGGCATTAACAACAGTACCCAACCCTACGTGGTTGTATTATATCAATATTACTCATGATCGACAGCCGTGATGCGTCCACGCCATCTTCACAGGACTGCCTCATTTGCCCTCACAAGGCGATCGTGTCAATACGACAGTTATCTGCATTTTACAGGTGGGTAAACTGAGGCCTGAGCCGCACGGTTGTGAGTGTGGAATCCAGGCGCCGGCCTGCCCGACCTGGAGCTGAGCTCTTGCCTCTGACTGTTCCCAGGTTGGGGAGTCCTGCCCGCCTCTCCCAGGAAGCTCCAGCGCCCCCTTCCCCGAATCCCAGCCTGCAGAGCTTCTCTTCCAGACGCAGGTGCCACCGTTCGCGATGCTGGGAGCAGAGCCGCCCTGGTCGATGTCGGGAAAACCTCTCCGTCTTGGTCTGTCTGCACGCTCTCAGTCACAAGCAGGAAAACAGCCTCAGCATTAATCCTGGGCAATAAATTGCGGTAGACGCACTGCAGGAAAAATCAGGGCCTGCCCCGTCTCAGCTCTGGGATTGGGGTCCTGAGTGATGGAGCAGACGGAAGCCCCCTCGGGAGTCCAGCGGCCCGGGTCGTTACTCTAGGACTGAAGTCCTCACGGATGAAAAGACTTAATTTTTCACTCAGGTGTGAAACAGACCAGGGCTTTCAGCCTTTCTTCTGCTTCTTGTGCATGACGGATGCCGGTCAAGTGTGCGGCAGACACACTCCTGGGGGCTGATGCGGACTCGACAAGCCCAGAAAGGTTCCACCGGGGAGTGAATAGAGACGGCATCCCCTGAACACCAGGATGGACGGCTCTGCTGTGAAGGACTCACCACCCGGACACGAGGCTCCTCCCCAGCCCCTCCCCTGCCTCCCCTGGTGCTCTTGGCTCTCCCTGTGGGCTGCCCCTCCCCACATTCTGTCCCTTTGGGCCAGGTGGGGCCCTCGCCTTTTTGTACACGTAAATCACGTGATGGGGCCCACATAGTAAACAGACATCCTCCCTAGGACAGCACTCTGTGGGGTATGGGTCACATGACCTCATCAGGGCCAATCAGAGAAAGATCAGGACCACTGCAGAAGCTACTGGGGAAGGCCTGTGCTCTTTCTTAAGCACAGGTGAGCTGGGAGGTGCTGCAGCATTGATGGGGTCACAGCCAGAGGGGATTCCGGGGCTCCCAGGGGACAGCATGTGGGGCCTGAGATGGAAGCAGCACAGGAGGGAAGAGCTGAGAGCCAGAGAGAGAGAGAGCAGGAGAGAGCCGGGGGTGGGGGGGGGTGGTGGAAAGAGAGAGAGAGAGAAGGAGTGAGAGAGAGAGGAGAAAGTTGGGGGGGAGAGAGAGAGCAGGAGAGAGCAGGGGTGAGAGAGACAGAGAGAGAAAGAGAGAGAGAGCAGGAGACAGCAGGGGGAGAAAGAGAGAGAGAGGAGTGGAATTTGTGACACACACAGAGAGAGAGAGAACTTCCTGGAGATGTCTCTAGAGGCCAGAACCAGCTAGAATAATCTAGATTTCTTCACTATGTGAGCCAACACATTCCCGGGCATCTGCTGATTGGCATCAGGGTTTCTGATGCTCTGCAGAGAACTGCTCCCAGCTGTTTGCCCTCTCCTGACTGTGGACAGCCAAGCCAGGCATTTGTCCTGCCAGCTGTGACCCCAGCCCTCCTCTCTGGTGACACAGCGCGTCTGAATGTAGCAAGGGTGAAGTCACCCACCATCAATTACTCTAATGACCTTTTATTTATTAAAAAGTAAAACATTCCCAACCTGTGACGCCTGGGTATTTGGAAAAACATTACTTGTCACACCACAGAAAACCGTGGTGACACAAAGGTGTGCTTCAGCGCCATGGAGAAGAGCAGAGCGAACCTGGCTCTAGTGCTGGGCTCTGGCGCTGCCGTGAGCACGTGCTCACCACACGTCCTTGTCGTCTTCTCCGGGGAGAGCCCTGACTTATCCGAGGGAGCCACATGCCCTTCCATCCTGCTGGTTAGGACATAAATGTCCCTGCTGCACCCGGGGCTGCCTCTGTGGTGACGATGACGCCGAACCTCGGGTGGGGGAGGGAGGCTCAGAAGGGCCTGTGTCCCGAAGCCTGGACCTCCCGGCGCCCTGCCTGTGGGTTAGTTTCTGCATTAGTTGCTGATGTCTGTCCCTGGCTCTTCCCACCAAGAGCCTGAACCTGCACACCTGGGCTCAGTCCCCAAGACATGGGCCGCGCGGCACCTGCCAGGGCTTCTGTGTTGAGATGGTTGCAGTGGACACCAGGAGAGTCGTGGGTGACAGTCGAGAAACTGCCCAAGAACAATCGCTCAATCCCGCTGGTTTAATCATACACTAAAAGCCTAGTCATTGAAAGAGGGTGACATCAGGTGGGGGTTCCCCTCCCCTCCCTGGGAAGGGAGCACGGAGCTCACTTGTGGGTGCTGGATCCTCACAGCCTCCTCTGCTTCTAAAGGACGGGGGAGGCAGGAGAACAGGTGGGGCCCAGACTGGGGCGGGAGGAAGGTGGAGCTGACCCCATGGCCTCCAGGGGTCGGGGTGGGGAAGAGGTGGGGCCTAGGCTAGGGGAGGAGGAAGGTGGAGCTACCCGATGGCCTCCAGGGGTGATGGGCAGGTGTCTCTGGGATACCCCTTCCCCGAGGCAGCCACTGGACTAACCCGAGGAGAGGGGAGGGGAGCGGAGGGGAGGGGAGAGGAGAAGAGAGGAGAGAAGAGAAGAGAATGCTCTGCCCCAGGAGGCGACGGGGGGTCAGGACAAGATGTGGAGGGAGCCCCAGGAGGGAAGCGCTCAGCCCCAGCGAGGCCGGAGTGTCCTTGTCGTCTGTAACCGAGTTCCTTCTCATCCAGCATGTCTGGGCTGGGGCACCCTTGACAGAACCACATGGGGTGTTGTGTTGTGGTGCTGCGGTCATGGCGTTGTGGTGTGTTGTGTGGTTGATGCTGTGTTGTGATGTCATGGTGTGGTGTGTGGTGGTGTTTTGAGTTATGTTGTTGGTGTGGTGATGTGGTGTGTGGTGAATATTGTTGATGTTGTGTTACGTTGTGGTGTGCTGTGGTGTGTGGTGCAGTTTGGGGTTGTTTTCATGGTGTGATGTGTGGTGTATATGGTTGTAGATGTTCTTGCTGTTGTATTATGTTGTTGTGTTATCTTGATGCACTGGTGCTGATGGTGTGGTGTGTGGTGTTGTTTTGTGTTATGTTGGGGTATGGTGCTGGTATTGTATGGTTGTAGCTGTTGTATTGTGTTGTTATGTTGTTGATGTGCTGTGTCTCTGTCCACACTGGGCAGATGGTCCTGGGGACACTCCTGGAACCCCCTGGCTCCCGGCATTCCCAGCCTCTGCTCTTGGGAACGGTCCAGGCTGGACCTGGTGTGGGACAGAAGCCAAGTCTGTGCCAGTCTTCAGCGGGACCACCCTTAGGGTGAGCACGTTCCCCTGGAGAGCCTCGTCTTTGTCTGTGGATTTCTGGGTGGGGCCATGCCTGGCGCTAGGAGGTGAGCAGGGCCCAGGCCTGGGGGCAGCTCTGCGTCCCCACCACCTTCGTCCCACCCATGGGCTCCAGAGCTTCTCTCCTACATCGATGGGTCAGCGGCCGCCTCCTCGATTTCTGCATCTCCGCTCCAGAGCCCAGTCCTTCAGCCTGCAGACGAGAATAATCAATGCCCAGGTCTTGGAAGAGTTGAAGAGAAAGCCTATTGCATGTCAGAACATGTTAAGTCTCCCTCCAAATGGAGCTGCAATGGGGCACACTCCTGCCCGGGAAGGGCTCCTCCCACCCTTGGGGGTGCTGTCTGACTCTGCCACTCACGTGGGTGAACCCACGCCCAGGGTTGGGACACATTGGGACCTGGGCTGACCCTCAGCGCCCGAGGATGAAGACGGCCGAGACTTCATCCTCGGGAGCTTCTTCCAGCGCCCCTCTGGAAGAAGACGGCAGAGCTGCCCAGGCCCCAGCTCTGCTGAGGGCTGAGGGTGGGCTGCGGCCAGGGCAGGTCCTCAACTGAGCGAGGCGGGGAGCCCCTGAGTCTGGAAACAGCCTTTCAACGTCATCGAGGGCATTGTTGTGTCATCCTCAACATAGATAATGACAATGACACTGGCAGCTGCTTCGCTCCTTCCAGGCACTCTGGAAGCGCCATTTCTAATCCCCTCCCCAGAGCCCACAGGCTGGGACTCTGAGACCTGTTCCTTCTTTACCAAACCTCTCTCTTCCGCAGCGGGAGGCTGGGATGTCGGGCAGCACCCTCCTTGTGGGGCTGACGTCGAGGATGGTGACAACGACACTGAGCTCACTGCGTGGCCAGCAGGGATCTTAGCAGACCCAGCCACCTGGGTGCAAGCAAGCCTGGCTCTCCGTCTCCCTCCCGAGTACCCCAGGAACGCCACCCAGGAACGCCACCCAGGAACGCCACCCAGGAACGCCACCCAGGAACGCTACCCAGGAACGCCACCCAGGAACGCTACCCAGGAACGCTACCCAGCTTTCTGTGCCTGTTTCCTGCTCTGTAGAATGGGAATCACAACAGTGGCACTGTCCCAGTTAGGGCGAGGCTGCTGGAGCCCCCCCAGCACTCAGCTTTGTGACTTAGGTGGGTCTCTCACTCGAGTCTGGCGCAGATGCGTCTGATGGTCAGCAGCTCCCTCCATGCCCAGAGGCCCTGCAGTCAGGCTGCAAAGATCGTGAAATTCTTAATTTTATGTTTGAATTTGTGCTTTGTAAGTGAAGTTCAATGGAGCTTGCCCTGGGGGCTTGGAACCCTGGGTCTCTCAGTTCCCCCTCCCTACTCACTGAACGCTGAGGCCCCAGCCCTGTCCAGCCTCCCCTCATGCAGTGACCAGGCCAGTCGAAGGAGGCCGCATCCCACCTCCATCCCTGGCAGGGGTCTGGGCCGGGCACCAGGAGGGTTGGAGTTCACGTGTGCCATGTGGCAGCAGAGGGTCCATCCGCGCCCCACACTGGTGGGCTGGTGCTGGTCCCTGCATCTCTCTCTCTCTTTTTTTTTTTTTTTTCTTTCTTTTCTGAGACGGAGTTTCGCTCTGTCGCCCAGGCTGGAGTGCAGTGGCGCGATCTCGACTCACGGCAAGCTCCGCCTCCCGGGTTCACGCCATTCTCCTGCCTCAGCCTCCCGTGTAGCTGGGACTACAGGCGCGCGCCACCATGCCCGGCTAATTTTTGTATTTTTAGTAGAGACGGGGTTTCACCGTGTTAGCCAGGATGGTCTCGATCTCCTGACCTTGTGATCCGCCCGTCTCGGCCTCCCAAAGCCTGCATCTCTCTTGAGGACACCTGCCATGTATTCCTGCCTATTAAGTGCCTAGAACTGGGCTAGGTCTCCTGTTGCCTTGTTCCATTTCATACTCACCCTCCAGGGGCACAGATGCACCTGCATGACACGAGGGACGCCTGGGGCTCAATCCCAGGTTTCCCAGACTCTAAAGCCCATGCATCAACCTGCACCAGACACTGCCTCTGAGTCCAGGAGGGTTGAGGGACGAGGACTCCAGACTTCGAGGCTCCAGCAACCCGGGGGACCCCACGGAGCTGTGTCAGTTGCCCCAGACCCCTCTCGTGGTCCTACTGCCCCAGGCCTCAGAAGGGAACGGGTGCCACGGAAACACTGCTGACACCGTTGGTGTGTCCCCTGACTGCCCCTGGAGAGGGCCCGACTGGGATTCAGCACCCAGACTGTGCAGGGAAACATCTCCTCACAGGAAAGGAAATCTCCATTTCTACCAATGGACATTCCATGCAAGTCACCCTGAAAATTCATGGCGGAAGGTCTGTTCCAAAAACCGATTTCCCGCTCTGTAGCTCTGCCTTTGGAGAATCTCACATAAATAAGGAATGAGGTGCAGATGTGGAAGGAAAGAGAGACTCCGTGATCCTAAGAGGAGGGAGCTGGAAGCTGGGAGATGGAGAAAGAGGGCAATAAGAAAATCAGAGGTGCATAGCCCCCAGCCGCTCTCCAAAATCCCATCGTGGTGATGCTGGTTGAGGGGATGGCACTGTCCTCATATGACCTCCAGATTTAAGCACAGAGTCTGTGTCCCTGATGCTGAGGCCACAGGTAATGACTTGTGGGCTCCTCCTATGGGGCAGGACCCACCCCGTGACACCTGCGCCCATTTTCCAGGTACCTGAGGCACGGGAGGCTGAAGGAGACTGAGAGCTAACTCCTTGCACCCCAGCCCTGCTAGACACAGCGTGGCCCCTGCAAACTGTGAAGTGCAGCGCACCCCAGCAGGTGGTGGGAGCACCTTTGCTACCCTCATTGGCTTCTGCTCCCCGTGAGGTGAGGGGCCGACACTCCTTTCTCTAGAGCCCCCTGCAGACCCTGATGGGTCAGGGCCTCCTGCGCTGGGGGCTCTGGGAGCATCTGGGGCTGTCGGAGCCGGTAGAGCCTACAAAAGGCTGAGCCTCCCTCCTCCCCTGCCTTTCATTAGAAAATCCGAACAGCCACATATTTCATTTGAGAAATAAATATTCATTAAAACCACGTAATATGGATGTATGGCTGTATTTGAGGGGAAATTAAAGGAATAAATAACCCATAAGTCTTTGAATGTGTTGTCCTTAGGTAGAAATGTCTCCAGGTTTTCTATGGCCACCTACTGAATTATTTAAGTTAGTTAAGCTTAGATGTTAAGAAATAGTCAAAATGGTCCTAGTTCCAGCATTCTTATTTCTTATAAGATCAAAGGTTTATGCAAAGCGTATGGATTGATTGCTCTAATGAGAGTTCAGTAAAGTTGGGGCAAATAACATTTTTAAGCAAATTTCAGGGAGATTCTGCAAATCTCTAACATGAATCACCAAGGCGCTCAGGGGAACAGATGGCCACCTCATCTTCCCCAGCCTGATGTGGCCCTGGGATGGGAGCAGTCGCTGCAGGTTTGCACCCTTGGAGCACTGGGGAGTTTCACTAAAGTACCAGGAAGAGGAGCTCTGAGCTGAATCCTGGGTTCCCGTGGGGTCAGAGCAGCCTCCGTGGAGGGGGCTCTTGTCTGCAAATTGCAAGTGCAGCCCTGCCTGCCTCACCCCCGACCCCAGGCAGAGACTCCTAAAGGGCAGCACTGGATGGGAGGTGGGGGTGGGTGGAAAATGGCTTTCACCCCCGGGAGAGCTCATTCCTGGGTGTCAAGCTCACAGGCTCCTGGAGGGTTTCCAGGATCAGGCGCCTGAGGGGTCCTGAGCCTCATGTCAGACAGAGCCCGTTCCCCACCCTGATGGAAGTGACTCCCAGCAGGAGAAAGCCTGGCCATAGGCCCACAGAACCCAGACACCCCCTCCTTCTAACTTATGCGTGTCTGGAGGCCTTGGGGTCTCGCCCACACCCCACGGGCTGCAAGCAGCACCTGCCCGTGTCCTCCAGTTACCCCCCAAGGATGCGGCTTCTGGGGGACGCCCTCCTCTGAGGCTCCCCATGAGCAGAAGCCCTGTGTGAAGCTGCTCCTGCTGGCTCCCCTCCCCCATCACTCAAGGCCCCTCTAAGAGGCTGGGAGGGTCCTGGGTGGAAGGGGACAGAGCTCGGTTGAAGAGAAGACCCTGGCCTCTGGGGAGGAGCTCCTCTCCCTTCCCCTCTCCCTCTCCCCACACTGTGGGTGCCCTGAGGAGCTGGTGGTTGTTTCAGGGCTTGTGAAACTTTGGACTGATCCCCTCTGCCCCGGTCCTGGAGCGGATGGTCCTAGGGGCCTTTGTAGCTGTTTCGGGATCGACCAGACCATCCGTGTCTCTGCTCTGAGGCTGTCAGACAGATGGGCAGCAGCACCTTGAGGCTGTGCTGTGGCTCCTGCCTGAGAGTGACCGCGCACGTGCTACTGTGAGCTATGGCGAGAGAGTCCGGCTTGGAGCTGCAGATCACCCCTAAGAACACACCCCAGCTGCCAGCCCCGAAAAGCGAACAAGTGACCACAGGGATCCCAGCCCATTTTCCGTTTGCTGTGGACACGCCTCTCATTGTGGCATCCACATCAGGGAGCTGTCAGGGCAGTGGGACCTGACCGAGGGGCTGGATCAGGGTGCACGGGTGCTCTCACATGCTGGGTGACAGTACACCGAGTGACCTTGCTGGGTGCTCTCACATGCTGGGTGACAGTACACCGAGTGACCTTGCTGGGTGCTCTCTTGGGCTGGGTGACAGTACACCGAGTGACCTTGCTGGGTGCTCTCTTGGGCTGGGTGGCAGTACACCGAGTGACCTTGCTGGGTGCTCTCATGGGCTGGGTGACAGTACACCGAGTGACCTTGCTGGGTGCTCTCTTGGGCTGGGTGACAGTACACCGAGTGACCTTGCTGGGTGCTCTCATGGGCTGGGTGACAGTACACCGAGTGACCTTGCTGGGTGCTCTCTTGGGCTGGGTGACAGTACACCGAGTGACCTTGCTGGGTGCTCTCATGGGCTGGGTGACAGTACACCGAGTGACCTTGCTGGGTGCTCTCTTGGGCTGGGTGACAGTACACCGAGTGACCTTGCTGGGTGCTCTCATGGGCTGGGTGACAGTACACCGAGTGACCTTGCTGAGTGCTCTCTTGGGCTGGGTGACAGTACACCGAGTGACCTTGCTGGGTGCTCTCATGGGCTGGGTGACAGTACACCGAGTGACCTTGCTGTACCCCAAAACCTAAGCACAACCATCAAAGCTACAGCTACAACAGCCACACAAAAATCAGCCAGACAGGTCCTCCGGTTCCTGCCAAGACAGAGCAGTGCCGCCCTCCTGGCTCCTTCCTTTCACGACAAAATATCCTGGGCATCACTCAACAAGTGCGGGAAGACTCTGAAACCTGGGGAAAAGGCAAACCTGGGGCCTCGGACAGAAGGAACCACAGGCCTGGAGTCCTCTGGGCTCCAGCTGCTGCCTCCCTCACGGGCCTCCCCCATCTCCCCCCTGCAGCCGTGGGGCAGAGCAAACCCCCTGGGCCCACTCAAATCAGGTGCCAGGCGACCATTTGGGCAGCTCAGATGGGAACCATTAGAGGTGAAAGGAGGCTCTGCCAAATGTTGTTTGTCTTTTGCATGCTAATCAGCTGTAATTGTTAGATCCACATTTATAATGCAAGCAGAGAAGAGAGTTCTCACCCTGAAGCCTGGAGTCTGCTGCTCCCCAAGGCAGAGCGCCCACTGGGGCTGGGGTTCAGGAAGCCAGTGCTTTGCTATTCCAACTGCAGGGTGTGCTCTGAGGCAGGAGGCCTGCTTTGCGTTCTGGAAACCTCTGAGCTTTTCTACAAAGGAGCTCAATTCCTTTTTCCTGATGTCCCAACTCCTCCTCCTCCTGCAGCTGAAGCTGGAAGTTACAGCAGCAGAGCACAGGCAACAAGCCCTGCGTGACTCAGGACTGGTGTCCCGAGTCCTGGGCTGAGCCGGAGATGACCCCACAGCACAGCAGAGGCTACACTGGTGTCCCGAGTCCCCGGGCTGGACTGGAGGTGACCCCAGAGCAGAGCAGAGGCTACACTGGTGTCCCGAGTCCCGGGCTAGGCTGGAGGTGACCCCACAGCAGAGCAGAGACAACACTGGTGTCCCGAGTCCTGGGCTAGGCTGGAGGTGACCCCACAGCAGAGCAGAGACAACACTGGTGTCCCGAGTCCTGGGCTAGGCTGGAGGTGACCCCACAGCAGAGCAGAGACAACACTGGTGTCCCGAGTCCTGGGCTAGGCTGGAGGTGACCCCGCAGCAGAGCTGGGACAACACTGGTGTCCCAAGTCCCCGGGCTGAGCCAGAGGTGACCCCACAGCAGAGCAGAGGCTACACTGGTGTCCCGAGTCCCAGGCTAGGCTGGAGGTGACCCCGCAGGAGAGCAGAGGCTACACTGGTGTCCTGAGTCCCCAGGCTGAGCTGGAGGTGACCCCACAGCACAGCAGAGACGACACTGGTGTCCTGAGTCCCCAGGCTGAGCTGGAGGTGACCCCACAGCACAGCAGAGACGACACTGGTGTCCTGGAGGTGACCTGCACAGCAGGATGCTGAGGCCCTGGGGAGTCCATGCCCACACTCAGGGCTGTGTCTCCAGTGCCGCTCACCAGGTGATGGGTGCAGGTGCGAGCAAGGATGACACAGCTTCCGCCCTACGGTGGGCCCTGAGTTCATGGGGTGTGGGCAGTGCTAAGGACAGGAGCTGTGGGAACAGAGGCAGCCTCCTGACCACGGATGCTGGCCCTAACTCCCTTCCCCTTGGAAAAGGAGAATATCTTGGGCCCCAAAATCACTCAGGAAAAGTCAAGCTAGGAACTGCTCGGGCAAACCTGCCCCATTCTATTCAAAGCCACTCCTCGGCTCCCTGAGATAGATGCATATCTGATCTGCCTCCTTTGGAAAGGCTAATCAGAAACTCCAAAGAATGTAACCATTTGTGTCTAATCTACCTGTGACCTGGAAGCCCCCTCCCCACTTCGAGTCTTCCCGCCTTTGCTTCCAGTTGTGCCGTCTTTCCAGAAGGAAACAATATACTTCTTACCCATATTGATTAATGTCTCATGTCTCCCTAAAATGTGTAAAACCAACCTGTGCCCGACCACTTTGGGCACATGTCATCAGGACTTCCTGAGGCTGGGTCCTGGGCGCGTCCTCAACCTTGGCAAAATAAACTTTCTAAATTAACTGAGACCTGCTTCAGATTTTCTAGGTTCACACCCCAGACACGGGCAGGTCCCTTCCCATGGGCAGAGGATGCAGCCAAAGGGAGAGCAGAGAGCCCACCAGCCTCCCTCCCAGGGCCCCAGACCAGATCTGCCCCACCTGCCAGCCTTTGGGCTCAGACCCCTGAGGGCAGCTCATGGGGTCCCCAGCTGGGGTCCTCAAGGCCAGGCTGTGGGAAAGAGCTGTAAGCCCTAGCCATGGGCGCTGAAGTTCTGTCCTGGAGAAAGGGGATTTGTTCTCAGCCTCTGGAGAAGAGCACCGCCTTCCCGTTGGTAGAGGCCATCACAGCAGGCTCTCGCCTGGGGTCTGTGTGGACAACTGGGTCTCACTTCACTGTGTTGATTCATGGGCGAGGCTCCTAGAGACAGAGAATCTCAGCTTAGTGAAGACAGAAGTGAGGAGAGCCTCACCAATCACAGCCAAGCCACTGAGGCAGACACAGCCACGCCACGCTGGAGGCCTGGAGGCTGGAGGCTGGGTGGCTGCTTCAGTTTCCTGAGGGAAGAAATTTGGTCTGAAATCGGTTCACAGTCAGGAAGAGTCCTGGACTGAGGTCTGAAGATCTAGGGTTCATTTCTGTCTCCAAAATCTAAACCTAGAATAGAGAACTCAAGTTCAAATAGCCCAGCGACCCTACGTGGATGGCATGTGGCATTTTCATGTCGTTGGTGGGCCACCTGCACCCTGGCATGGTCACAGTGAGGAGACAGATCCTTAGAACCAGGTTAGCAGGTGCCGGAGCAGCTGTAGAAAGAATGGGTGTTGGCTGAGATTCCTCTCGGAAGCTCCTATCAGATCAGCGTTGCTTCAGGATCCTCCCTCAGGAATTGGAACAAAAACCCCTCTGAGGCTGGGACCCACGGCCGACAGTGAGTTGGGGAGCTGGGGTTCTCTGCTCCTCTAGTATCAGATGTTTGCACTCTTCTTCCTCTGGCTGTGGCACGCGACCACTGGGCCAAGCCTCTGTGTGAGTTTCTTTCATCTCCACGCGGTTTCTGCTGTGACCTTTTTCCCCAGCACTGACTTTACAGGAAGTCCGCTTAAATGGGGCCAGCATTTCTGCGTTCAATAATTCAATGCTTGCGCTCACCGCCAGGCCGGTTAATTTAGTAACAGTGGGGAGCACAGGCTGCCTTCCACCCGTAGATCATGTTCCATCATGTTCCGCTTTGACTTCCAGAGCACACGGGTGGGTGAGGACACTGTCCTTCCCAGCGACGGCTGTGACTTTTACGTGGCCATTTAATGCTCCCAGTTAATGTGATGGTGAGAGGAAAATGACCTGTGCTGATAGCAGTCCTGGCTGCCTAAAGGTTCCCAGCATTTTCCTGGTAAAACGCTAGTGCCACTAATACACAGGTGTGTGCAAACAGTGTGCACATCTGTAATACAGTGGACACACAGACCATATTTCAAAAGCTCTCTGGCAGGGATTTGAAATTAAGTGACAAGACATCCCTGTCAAGGACAGGATGAAGCAATGTTCCATGGTTGCTAAGATGCCAAGTTATTTGGACAACAATTTTCCCTTGTCCTAAAGAGCTACTGTTGATTCCAAGGGACGCATCCTCCTTGTAATGACCCAGGTGACAAACTGCTCCTGGGCTCACACTCTTCCGTGCCAGCCCCAGATATCTTCCCAGCTCAGTCCCAGGGAGGAGGTATTGAGGTGTGGCCCTGGTGTGGCCGGGGACATGTTCCCCAGGGGTGGCTTGCAGACCACCTGCCTTCGAAACAGCTTGGCAGGGGGAGGGGAGGGCTTCAGGTGCACATGTTTGTTCATCCCTGTCCAGAGCCGAACGCTGAGGTGGAGGCTGCCTTTCCCAGGGGTGCCCGTGTCCGCCGCTTTGGGAACCTCTGATGCAGGGCAGGCGGCCAGGGTTGGGACCCAACGGGACTCGGGTCTGCCCTGTCCCTGCAGAGTCTTCCCCGTGATGGTGCATTTTTCCCTGGGCTCTGCCCTTGTTACTGTGAGTGGCTGTCAGGAGCGGCTTCATCTCTGGGAGCTCTGCAGATTCAGGCAGCTCTGAGTCCATTTCTAGGGGGGAATGGGAGTGGCGTTGGGCAGAGAGGAGGCGTTGGGAACCCGGGGCAAGGGTGACCCCAGGCCACATGCCCAGGTGTGCAGAGGGGGGCTTTCTGCGTCTGGGAGTCCGTGCGACCTGGGATGAGTCTCCCTCCCTGCAGGGGTGGAAAAGCTTCCCTTTCTCCAGTCCCAATCTCCAACTGTGGCTTCCCTTGACAAACGCAACAGAAAATATTAGTGGCATCTGTGGGCCGCAGCCCGTGTTCTGTTTCCAAGGTCAGAGACCAGGACTAAGAGGCAGCACGTGGAGAACATCCAGAAGCGTCCATCAGTCAGAGTCGCCCTGCCCAGCCCACCCTCCATCCCGGGGGCCAGGGCATAGGGGGTGGGCATGGTGTGATGTGGGGGTGGGTGTGGGTGTGATATGGAGGGTGGGTGTGGAGTGATATGGAGGGTGGATGTGGTGTGATATGGAGGATGGGTGTGGTGTGATAAGAGGTGTGGGTGTGGTGTGATATGGAGGGTGGGTGTGGGTTTGATATGAATCTCCACCTGGGAAGAGCCAGGGCCCGTCAGGTCTCCCCACCTTTGTACCCAGCACAGAGTCATGGGATAAGGCCCTTCTCTCTGGCCTCCTCTCCAACCTGCAGTTCCCTGTCCATCTTGGCCAAGTTCATCTGATTTGCAGATGGGGAGCCTGCCTGGCACGAATCCTATGGTCCCTGGTAAGCACTGTGAACCCGAATACTCGGCTGCATTTTTCGACAGCACCTGTGTTCCCCCAAGGAAAACCCACTTTCCCCTCTCTCTCTGTCTCCTTCTCTCTTTCTCCCTCTCTCCCCAGCTTCCTTTGGGAAATCAAGAGCAAAGCTCCCTCCCAACTCATGGTGTTCCCCGAGCAGAATAGAGGCCGGCTGTGTGCGTTGAAGAAATGAATGAAGTGATTGGGAGCTGAGTGCCGGCGGAGACCGGCCCCCCTGGGCATATGTGAAAACCTGAGGACCCCACTGAACTTTCAAAATCCAAAGAAGAGAATCCTGAGGAAAGATCTGTATCATTTGCTGGGGTGTAAGATGTGCAAGGATATTAACAATTTAACAAACACGTATCAAAGGGAGGTATAAGTACGATTTTCCATGATAATTTTCTATTGGAAGCATGAATGATACATAGACATATATTTTCTTGATCTGGTTTAGTAAAGTATTATTAATATTAGATAACCAAATTCCTACTGTAACCCAGAGGGCTAAATTGTATGAACAATGTTGTCTGATGTCCTGGTTGCCAGGCACTGTGGACAGCCACCCCTACATCCTCCCCACCTCTTCTTCCTGGCCCTCTCCAGGCAGATGGGATGGAAACTCAGAACTTGACTGACATTCCCAGCCTCCTTTGAAGTTCTGAACCACCTCAGGGCTCCTCACCAGAATCAGCTCTCGGGAGCCAGGCTTCTCTAACTCAGAGCCAGTGCAGGCTTCAGGCCCCACATCTCCTGCTCGGCCTCCTCTGGCCTCGGTTGATGAGATGGAAGCTCCCTCCCCTGCCTCCCTGCGCCCAGGCTCACAAACCTGTCACTGGATGTCTTTATTTAGTGAGCTTTCCTGCCCAAGCCTGCTTCCAGGGCAGGATGTATTGATACAAAATCCATCAGGAGGTGTGTCTGGGCATTTAATCAATGAGGCTGCAGGGAGCCCCGCGTGACTCAGAGGGTGCCGGGAGTGAAGGCCAGGCGAGGAGAGCATCCAGAGTGGGCAGAAGGGTGGTTTTTATTTTTGATCCTGTAATGTCAGGCTCCAGCAATTAGTTGTCTATTCCCTGTAATGCTGGCACTGCAGCAGAATTCCACCGCAACCTGGATATTTGCCCAGGTACTCATTTTATAACTCCCATGTTCATTCAATAAATACCCTACCTGTATCCTATGTGCCAGACACAGATCCAGATGCTGAGAAGAGTCAACTAACAGCTCACAGGTCACACTGAGCTTGTGCTCCCTAATGGAATGATGGTGATGATGGTGTTGGTGATGATGATGGTCATGATGGTGATGGTGATGGTTGTGATGGGGATGGTGATGATTGTCATGATGGTAATGATGGTGATGATGATGGGATGATGATGGTGATAATGATGGTAATGAGAGTGATGGTGATGGGATGATGGTGATGATGGTGATGGTGTTGGTGATGGTGATGAGATAATGGTAATGGTGATGGGATGATGGCAGTGCTGCTGATGGTGATGATGATGATGGTGATATGATGATGATGATGGTGATATGATGATGATGATGGTGATGTGATGATGATGATGGTGATGTGGTGATATGGTGGTGATGGTAATGGTGATGGCAGTGATGGTGATAATTAAGGTGATGGTGATGGTGACGATGATAATGGTGGTGATGGTGGTGATGGTGATGATGGTGATAATGGTGATCATGACAGTGTCAGCAGAGGAAGCAGGCACAGTAGTAGCAATCTGAGTAAACATTACACAGCCCTTAATATGCAACAGATGCTATTCTGGGCACCTCCCATATGTCAGGTCACTCAACTGACACGACATCACCTGAGGTAAGTGCTCATGATCTCCATTTGATAAATGAGAAACTGAGGCACAGAGAAGTTAGGTCACCTTCCTAAAAGCACACAGGATGTGCTAGTGCTGGGATTCAGAGCAAGCGCCTCGTCCCATAAGCAGTGGACTCAGAAACAACACCATAAACTAATAGGCAAATACTTTTAGACAGTGACAAGTATCATGAAGACCATCAAGATGGTGATGTGAGTGTGACTTGGTGTGAGGAGGCTGCATTCAATGAGAGGTCAAGGAAGGCCTCTCTGAGTAGACACTCACTGGGGAGGGGAAGCATGAGGGTTGTGAGCAGTGTTCAGACAGGTGTCACAGCAATGCAAAGGCCCTGGGGTGGAGTGAGCTTGGAGCATTCAAGGAACAGCAAGATGGCCAGAGAGGCTGAAGCAAAATAAACAGAGGGGGAGATGGAGCCTGGGCCATGGGGGCCTCACAGTCCATGGGACATGGTGTGGGTTTATTGTGAGTGGGTGGAAGCCCCCGGAGCCCCTGCAGGGAATCACCTCAGTCACTCCATGATGCCTGAGTGTGTGGTGCTGATTCTGGGCTATGGGGCAGGTTGGGGCCTCTGCTGTGTCCTGGGGACAATGGGAGGAATCTGCTCCCAGCAATTATAAACACATCACGAGCAAGACGGCAAGAACCCTCTCTGAGGTAATCATGTTTGGGAAAGGCCCTCCTAACACACCGCATTTCCAGGAGCTAGAATGTCTTGACCTGGCCTAGGACACCACTGTGCAAATCAAGGGACGTGTGTTCATTTGAGTGGATTGCAGCAGCCAGGGTGGGGCCCAGCGTTGGGAATTAGATCCAGGTTGTGCTTCTGTGAGAAGTTCTGTCTCTATACAAGTCAACAGCACCATGGGAGCTCTGGTCACTTCCCAGGTCATCAGGAGACTTTGGGGTGAATTTATAAGTAGAGGCAGCTGAGCCCTTATGAAGTTATCCTAGACATCTTGGAGGCCTGAGTGGGCCACATCTCTGCAGGCAGGACCACCAGGCAGGGGGTGGGCAGCTTTGTTGTCAGGGGCAAGGCTGCAATTAAACATCTCATTGCCCTGGCTCCCGCTCCGGGACTGCCTGCAGGAAAACCAATGATCAGAAATGCAGCTGGTGGGGTGCCCAGACTCCTCAGGGCCCTGCCTTCATCTGATGATGCTGCTGAGCTTTGCACATGAACTGTGCCATCCCAGGAGGCTGTGCTCTCATGAGGAGGTGTGTGACTGTCTTAATGAGATGTCCCTGGCACTGAGCCAACCTAATCTCAGATCCTCAGGGTGAGTTCTCTGAGCTCTGACTGCCATCATCCCCCATGACAGCCTGGCTGAGTCCCAGGGGATGGGTGCTCTGATGCTGAGATCATGTATGGGGCTGTGTGCGTGGAAGTGAGGTAGGAGGTGAGGGCTCCACTCTGGAGGAGATTGAAGACTGGGTGAAACAGAGAAAAGGCCACAGCGCCTCTCCATAAGACACGGCCACTAGTGCCATGACAGTTTACCATTGCCACGACAACACTGTGAACTTACCTCACCTTTCCATGGCAGCAACCCCAAGACCTGGAAGTTACCACCTTTTTCCTGAAATTTCTGTGTAATCCATTCCTTAATTTGCATGTAATTAAGAGGGGGTATGTATAGATATATATGATTGCAGAGCCGCCCCACCGCTCCCCTCAGCTCACTGCCCTGGGCTGAGCCCCACTTTTGGGGCTCTCCTGCCCTGCTTCAGAAGGGGACACCCCAGCATGCACCAGCCCACACCCCGCCTCCTCCGTCCTCTTCCCCACTCACTGGCCTCATTGGGGAATGCTTGGAATTATTCCAGGACAGCTTTGTCCTTTGCCCAGTGCTGTGTCCCCAGGTAAACAGTGGGTACCTGCAGAGAGAGGTCCTCATGGGGACAGAGCCTGCAGTGCCACAGGGCCCATGCCACCTCCCTCCTGGGTACACTTAGAGCCCATTCCCAGCCTCCCTGTGTCAGGTGGGGTCAGGTGACCAAGCTCTGCCCAGAGGGCAGCACTTCCAGGCAGGCCTATGGAGAAGGCCCTGCAATTCTCGCATTTTCTCTTCCTTATGAGCCAGTTAGACAGAGAGGACCCCAGGGGCTCAGAGGACAGTGGAGGGAGTCAACGCAGGAGCCCGGGCCCTGATTGACCGTGGGGGGAGGGGTGATCCTGTGCCCCACTTTGGAATGTCCCGAATGAACTTTCGACTCATACTGGTTGAAGTCCCTGCAGGAGTGGGGTCTGCTGTCAGGGTCTGTCGCCCACCCTGACCAAACAGCCATGAGTCCAGACTCAGTTCCTCTCACTCTGGTCTGAATGTATCAGCTCCCCTGTTCCAGTGGACATGCTCCGGGGGATTCCAATATGGGGACAAAGGAGAGAAGACTGGCCTCCTTGCAGGAGAAAGGCCCGAAGTTAATTCCGGCTGGAATGACCCGTGTCCTCTTTCCTCCTAACTTGAGGATCTCACCCCGCAGTGCACAGGAATTAACTTCGTTTGTGGACACTTGGTTTGATCCTGCCAAACGTCTGTTCTCCATCCCTTTGAGACAGTTCTTACCTTTCCCTTCCCCCACCTTGCCTCCGTCACCTGTGATTTGAAGGAGGCTGATCCATCCTCCACCCCAGCTCCTGTAGCCCAGGCCTGGCCAGCAGCAGCCTTGGCCCTGGACTCAGTGATGGGTTAGAGATGGTCTCACGGCCCCTGCCAGGCCAGGAGGCTGAATTCCAGAACTTTGTGGGAACTGGCAGAAGCAGGGAGCTCTCTCTCCACTGCAGTTGGGAGGCTGGTGGGGTGTCAGCCTGGGATGGCTGAGAGCATGGTACAGAGAAAACTCTGTGAGTAAAGGCAACAGATGAAAGCAAGTTAAAGCTGGAGAGAGCCTGAGAGAGGATGGAAACGACTGCCCTTGAGGTCTGGACAGAGGCTCCCGTTACACGAAAGGGCGCATGAGTTTTATTTGTTTTTTCACCTAAGCCAGCTTCAGTTGGGTTTGTCACTTGCCACAAAAAGGACACTGACAAATGTAGTTTAAGAAGAGAAGCTGGAAGCAGCAAATGCTTCGCAAAACCCAGGAACATTTGCCCTTTCACTTGCTGGATTCCATGCTGTCGCTGGAGCGGGAGCCTCTCCAGTCCTGCCCAGCTGAGTCATCACTGCTGACGCCAGTGGAGGATCTGGCAGGAGCCCTCTGCTCCTCATTTGGGCGCCCTCAGGGACGCACGCCCAGGGGTGTTCTGGGAAATTTAGCAGGGAAGGTAAGGTTGACTTTTTTTTCTTCTTTTAGTATCTTCCTAATGGACCTGTTTATCTCTGCTGTTCATTTGCCACTTCTTTTCTGCAAAGGTAAACTCTCATTCACAGACTCGTTAACCATGCTTGCTATTCTGGGCTTACTCCGTGGGGGTGTCCTGGAGTTCAGGATCATTCACAGGGGTCAGGGGTGCATCAGGGCTAAATGGGGCTATTGACATTAGTTTCCAGGGAGGCTGAAAGACACCCATTGTGACCACCCAGCACTCCAGGAAAAGACTGAGCCCAAAATTCTATCACAAGGGATGGGAGCTGACTGATAGCTGGTCATCTGCGGCCTGTCCTGCAAATGTGGGGTCCACGCGTCCTATCTCCCCACACTGAGTATGGGGCAGATGCAATGCTGTGGGGGCTGCCACCCTGTTACATCACAGTCAAGCATGTGTTCTGAGCTCAGCAGAGAAGGGGCCTGGGTCCAAGCTCAGGCAGGGAGAGCCTGTCTCTCATGGGAGGTGGTTGGCTGGGTGGGGGCTCAGTGTAAAGGTAGACAGACATGTTGGTCCTTAGGATATGATCCTGAACAGAGTGGAGGAGCTGAATCATCTTGTCTCTGGGCCTCCATTGCTCTCCCTGTAAATTACAGGCCCTGGAAAAATCATCTATGCATTCAGCAAATGTCTAGCAGCATCATGCTGGGTACCAGCGTAAAAATGACTCTTTGTTCCCATCTGCATGGATTTTATAGTCTAGGCAGGAAATCCTACATTTAACAAATAATCATAGAAACAAATAAGTCATTACAACTTGTGATAAGTTCTGGGAAGAAAAGAAGACAGGTCGCTCGAGATCATATCAAATGAAGGATGCGATGGAGAAGTGGTGGATGCCCATCCCAGACCTGGAAGTGTGAGCTGAGACCTACAGGGCGAGTAGAAACAAGTCAAGCAAAGAACGGAGGGAGAGAGGCTGTCTCCAGTCACAGGAAGGGTGTGTGCAGAGGCCCCGAAGCTGGAGAAAGCCACGGGGCGGGAGAGGAGAGAGGTGAAAAGACGTTTTCAGAAAAAGGCAGGAAGCTGACCATGAGGAGCTTCTGAGCAGAAGGACACTTGTATGGGGGTGCCGGGGACCTCCCCACTAGCACGTGTGGACAAGGGATAAATAGAAAGAGCAGGCCCTATGGTCTCAGAACTGTCATAAATTGCACTGGAAGTAACTGAGCGCATGCCAGTGTGCGAGAGTGTAATTGGCCTTGAGAACTATGTTTCAACAGCACTGCGGGCTCCACCCCCATCACCCTGCTCAGAAGGCATGGCTGCTCCCAGAGAGAGCCATGACCACCCTTCATGCCCCCTCATAAAGGTCCCTGTGTCCACCTCTCAGGGCAGCCTGGGGCGGCAGGACCCTTGCAGGGTCTGGTCAGCTGGTGAGACTGCCATCCTTCCTTGGGCCTGCTGTCCACGAGGCCTGCAGGCAGCTGAGCGACCCCATCCCTCCATCGGCAGGGACAGCCTGGTCAGGAGCGGTGGGAGCTGGGACCCTTCACTGGGGTCTTGTGCTCCCATGTGACCCCTCCCTCCCCCAGGGGGCCTCAAAGGGGACAGAGGCAACATCACAGCTTGACTGTGTTTTCAAGAAGGTGGGAGGATGTGCTGGCGGCTGGAAGATGAGGGTTTTCTTGAACACAGGCCTGGGATGGGAAGCTCGGGTCTCAGGGGTCATAGTGGCTGCTCTCTGAGCTCCAGGTCCCAGCCCATCTCCTTTCCCTCCTGCTGGCTGCCAGCTCCAGTTTTCACGGGTGTCTGAGTCTGTGCACTTGAGGTGACCATAGGACCCTCAAGGTCGCTTTGCTCTTCTCCTCCACCCGCTTTATGGAGGAAGAGGTCTTGCAGCTGTGGCCCACACTGATCAGTGTAACTTTCACAAACATTTCAACAGAAGACTTTTAAAAGACACAGAGGCGGTTCCCAGGCATCTTCAAAAGATGTTGCCCACATTGTTTTTTCTTATTGCAATGATTCACTGTAGAATGCCTGAAAACAGATATAATTATAGAGGAAATAAAAATTATAACTCCTGCACACACGTATATATGTAAAAGAGAAGATACTACCATAGACATAATGATAATACCAACTTTTTTCTTTTAAAATTACTTTTAATAGTGGTAAAATACACATAACATACAATTCACCATCTTAACATTTTTTAAAACCTTTTAATTGAGGAATGATTAACATACAAAAAGCTGTCCATATTTAATGTGTGGAACTGGATGGGTCTGGAGATGAGTGTACGCTCACGAAACCACTGCCACCACTGATGCCATAAACACACGAAACCACCGCCACGGCCGATGCCATAAACACACAAAACCACCGCCACCACCGATGCCATAAACACACAAAATCACCGCCACCGCCGATGCCATAAACACACAAAACCACCGCCACGGCCGATGCCATAAAAACCCTCTAAAAAGTTCCTCCCACCCTGTGTGTTTATTGTTTTTTTTCTGAGAGTGATAAGAACATTTTACATAAGATCTACCCTCTTAGCACACAACATGACTTGGAGACGAGGCTCCACGCCTGCAGCAGACCTCGGGGCGTATTCGTCTTGTGAGATGGTTTGGATCCATGTCTCTGCCCAAACCTCATGTTGAGCTGTAACCCCAGTGTTGGAAGTGGGGCCTGGGGTGGTGGTGTTTGGGTCAGCGGGGTGGACGTCTTATGGCTTGATGCTGTCTTTGTGATGGTGAGTGAGTTATTGAAAGATCGGGTCTTTTAAAAGCGTGTGGCACTCCCCACCGCCCCCGCTGGCTCCGGTTCTCCCTGTGTGATGTGCCTGCAGCGGCTTCACCTTCTGCCATGAGTAAAAGCTCCTTGAGGCCTCCCCAGAAGCAGAAGCTGCCGTGCTTCCTGTACAGCCTGCAGAACCAGGAGCCAATTCAACCCCTTTTCTTTGAAGTTACCCAGTCTCAGGTGTTTCTTTTAAGCAACGCAAGAAGGGACCAATACATATTGTATGAGCGAAACATGATGCCCTTGAACTCACAGCTCTCCCTCCCACTCCCCCAGCCCCTGGCACCCCCATGCTCCTCTCTGCTTCCACGAGCCTATTTCACATGCCTCATATAAGGGCATTGTGTGACATTGTCCTTCCGTGGCTGGCTCATTTCACCCAGCACAGCATCCTCCACGTTCATCCACGCTGTCTTAAATGGCAGGGCTTCCTTGCTTTTAGGCTGAATAATGCTCTGTTGTGTTGACATTCCACATTTCCAATATCCACTCACCGTCAGTGCCCGCTGGCCTCTCCCGCCTCTTGGCTGTTGTGGTTGTTGCCGTGTCCTCCCGCTGGGCGAGCCCATGCTGGGCGCACGGCCAGCATGCAGGTGGGGGAAGGAGCTGCATGGCCTGGTGGTTCCTCCCGTCCACTCACCCTGCTCTACTGGGTGCCTGTGCTCAGCCCACAGCATCCCAGCTTCAATGTAGACTCAGAAGCTACATCTGAGGCAGTGATGTGGAGTGAGATGCTTAGGGGACATCAAGGGGGCCAGGCAGTGGGGATGAGGAATGGCTCTTCCAGGGATTCCCAGCTGCCCGGCAGTGATGCTTCCCCATCAGTGCCCTCCTGTCCTTGTCCCAGCTCTCCAGGGACCACTGAGTCTGCGCTTGTTCTGCCCCACACCACCCCCAGCTCAGAGCCTGAAGGGTAGAGGGCAGCGCCACCTTCCTAAAGCACTGGGGGGCAGAGGGCCGGATATCAACGTGAGGGTTTGCAGCCCCTGTGACTACCAGCAAAAATCACTTCTCTCAAAGTCACCTGCACACTCCTGGCTACTCACTGCACAGCTCCTTGAGGGGCCTCCAGCCCTCTCCACTACCCCGACACACAGAGGATACACAGGGGTGAGCTGGATGCATTGATGAACTTGGAATGTCGTGGTCCCCAGAGGAGGCTCACAAGGTGCCCAGCAGCAGCTGAAGCAGAGCCTTGAGAAAGGGGCACGCCTGTTCTGACATCACCCCCTCCCTGCTGCAGGGAGAGGTGGCACACTCTCCCACCCACACCGCCTGGGCTCACTGTGTTAGGGTAAGGTGCTGGCAGGGATCATAAGGTTTGATTTCCAGAAGTCATGGGGGCTGGAGACGACCCAGGTCTGGGTCAACTTGGGAGAAATGGGAGGGAGACCTAGGGTTGCCAGATTAGGAAATAAAAAAGGAACGATGTGCAGATAGACGTCCATTTCTGCTAAAATATGCGTGTGTGCAAGGACATAGATATCTATGTATACACAGGTTTGCATTAGCGGTGGCAGTGGGGACCTTTCTATGACATCCGGGTGACATAGGCTGCCTTTACTTTGTGGGTGTCCTCGCCACAGCTGGGCCCCTGGGTGCTTTGCAAGGGACCATCCCCTCTCACGAGCCATCCTACTCCCCAAAGCACCTCCCTGCCCCTCCCGAGTGGCCCGCGTTCATAGGCACTCAGATTTTTTTTCAAGAGGAGCTCATGGTTGCTTATTTCTAATGTTCTATTTTGCTTGGAAAAGTTTGAGCCAGTCTGAATTTTCCTGTAAATTCAGGAAATTGATTAGTCCTGAAAAATGACTTGTTTTTTTTTTGTTGTTGTTATTGTTGTCTGAGACTGCTTCTCTTTGAAGTTTAGTGAAATGAGAAAGTAGCCTGGGGTTGATAAATCTGTATTGATTTTACCCGGAATACCTTACATCTTTTGATTTCAACCCTTCTTAGATTTCAGGAAAGCTCTCTTAATTGTATCTCTGGAATCTTCTCCATTTCACTTTTCTCTTCTCTGCAGAAACAAACTATGCAAACGCCTTACCTCTTTGTGCTTTCTTTTTTTTTTTTTTCTTTTTTTTTTTTTTTTTTGAGAGACAGAGTCTCGTTCTGTCACCCAGGCTGGAGTGCAGTGGCGTGATCTCGACTCACTGCAACCTCTGCCTCCTGGGTTCAAGCAATTCTCCTGCCTCAGCCTCCCAAGTATCTGGGATTACAGGCATGTGCCACCACACTTGGCTAATTTTTGTATTTTTAGTAGAGATGGGGTTTCGCTATGTTGGCCAGGCTGGTCTCGAACTCCTGACCTCAGGTGATCTGCCCGCCTTGGCCTCCCAAAGTGCTGAGATCACAGGCGTGAGCCACCGCGCCTGGCCCTGTTTGTGCTTTCATATGAATTGTTTTCTCTTTAATTCTTCTTGAAATTATTTCTGTTCCATTTATTTTGCAAATGTATCCTGCTTGTTGCTGCTGTTTTCAGCCATGCCCTTTCTCCTTCTTTCTGTGATGATGCCTCCATTTCTGTGATGTCTGACTTTTTTCCTTCCTCCTCTTTCTTGAGCGCCGCCACCTCGGTTTTCTTCACCTCTTGTTGTCTTCTGAGGTCTTCCTCGAGCCTGTGCCTCTGCCACAAGTTCCTGATCCACGGAGGCCACAGGTAACATCCGGTTGTTTGAACCCGTGGAGAACTGCGGGGCACGGTTCTCCTCTGCTTCTCAGCCACGCCGTCCCGCCATGCGTTCTTCACCCACATTTGTCGGTTGCTGCCTCCCTCCCTCCAGCTGTCAGCTGTCCCTCTCTCTTCCTTCTTCTCCCTTCCTCCCTCTCCATGTGTACGGCTTGGACCTTAACCCTCTTTTTCTCTCAAAGACCTGAAATGTGGGGGTCCTAGAGGGCCCCTCTTCAGAGCCACACTTACAGCCAGCCAGTTGCAAAGAGGGCAGGTAGATTCCACACCATCTTCCACAGCCCGCTGCCTGCCACTCTCTGCAGCTCAAATTTCAGGGGCTCCTGCAGCTGAGACATGGACCCTACTTTACGCCAAGCAGAGGGCCGTGGGGTTCCCTCGTGTGACTGTGAGGTTTGCTGGAGACTGCGAGCCTGCCAGTGTGGCCTCTGCCCTGCCTGGTGCCCATCCTGTCTCCGATCCACCTGCACGCCGCATCCTGGATCCTCATCTCCCGCACCCATGGATTTCAGCATCCAGTGTTTCTTGGCGTTCCCTCTCACAGGCCCAGTTCCTCATGGACGTGAGACCTTCCCACCCAGCGTCTCCCCGAACACGGCCGGTAGTGTTCAGCCTTTCACCACTCCTTCTCTGCCACTCGACTTCTTGCCAGCTGGTGTCCAGTTACATTTTGGCAAAGGTGGTCACCGGGCAGACCTGGAGAGAGGGAAGACATGGAAGCCCTCTCTGCCCTCTGCAGTGGCATCGTGAGACGTGGTCTCTGGTGGGCCTGCTGGGTGCATTGTTGGGTGTCAGTGGCCAAAACAGGCCCCGTGGATGGGCGGGGGGCGGTGGGGAAGGACCTGGCCACTGCTCCTTTCCTCATTCCAGAGCAGGCTGCGGCCAGGTCCCTGGGTGAAGGGGCCTTCAGATTGCAGATCTGAACAGAAGGGCTGGTGGATGATGTTTGAAGCCACGGATAATATGCCTGGAAAAGACAAAGGGCCAGGGCAGGGCCTGAATTAGGACTAAGGCAGGGCCTGAATTAGGGCCAGGGCTGAGCCTGAATTAGGGCCAGGGCCGAGCCTGAATTAGGGCCAGGGCTGAGCCTGAATTGCCGAAGAGAAGAGGGGAAATCATGAAAGGAAACGGAGGAGGACCGAACCTGGGGCCGGGGGAATATCCACCTCCATTTCGGGTCTCAGGAAGGGCAAGCCAGAGTCCTTTCTTGGAGGAGTGGTAGGTTGCAGCAACTCAGGCCTAATCCTGCTTTGTACCTAGAATAACAGAAGATCTTCTTCAGAAACCTCAAGCTCCGATGATGCCTTCAGACCCATGAAGATGGAGTGTGAAATTCCATGAATATCGAGTCTATTTTCTGGACCCCAGAGGTGAGCATGGGCTGACAGAGAATGCATCATTCACACATCTCCCAGGACTGTGAGGGTGGGAGATGCACGCGTGTGCCCTCTGATCCCCTGGTGCCCTCACCATGAGGTGTTTTTATGGTTCTGGAAAGCTGTGCGTCTTCCTCTCTGTCGGGCTCATTCTGAAGCACAGTCCCAGCATCCATATGGCAGATGCAGCATCCACGTGGCAGATGCTTCCTGGACACTCTTAACAGCATCCACATGGCAGACGCTTCCTGGACACTCTTAACAGTCACAGGACACTTGGGCTAGTCAGGACACAGAGGACACAGCAGGCTGCAGCTGCAGAGCTTGAAAAGATTTATTTTAAAAGCCCAAGGGGATAAATACAGCATCTCTCACATTACTCCATACTTAAAAATATTTGGATTAATTATATTAAAAATTTGCATTCAAAAGCGTTTATGTAAATAGGAGTTAAAAATTGCAGAGTGGGTAGGCAGAGAGTGTCTCCCCTCAAGCATCTCCAGGGGAGCAGAGCCTCTGAGCTCCACCTGGTCTGGCTGGCACTGCTCGGCTGGCACTCTGATGAGTGATGAGTGTTGAACTGGTGAGTGTCGGACTGGCTGGGTCGAGGGCCCATGCCCCCTGTGAAGCAAAACTTGAGGTAGACCTCACCCCCAATCCCTGGCCTGAGACCGTGGGTGCTTGTCTGAGGAAGGCCAAGAGGCTGTCTTTAGAGGTGGGGTCCGATGCCTGCCACGTGGACTCTTCTCAGATGGTGACCATGCTGGGTCCGCTCGTGTCTCTGTCCCGTCTCCTGTGCTGCTGACTTTGTGCAGAAACCGTAGTTCCTGGGCCCAGACCCTGAGAAGCCATCCTCATGCCCCTCCCAGCCCCAGCACATCTGCCCAGCCTTCACCAGACTCATTCTCCTCCTGCCAGGGAGGCGGCGCCAGCCCACTATTCCTCTTGGACAGGGTGCCTGTCTTACCATGTGGAGATGCCAGGACCAATGAGATAAAGTAGGGGCACAGATTCCCAGAGAACGAAGGTGCCTGAGACACAGCAGTGTGACGCGGGGCAGGGGCTCCACTGGTCAGAGGGGTGCACGGCTTCTGCCTAGACACAGGCAGGTCTTGGATGAAGGGGGCGGAAGACCCAGGCAGGAGTTGGCGGGCAGGTCTGTTCTGCTGGTCACCACCACTCAGCACTCATTCACTTACCTGTGCGCCCATTCATTCCCTCACTCTCCCATGCATGCATTTATTCGTTGATTCAGTCATTCTCCCGCATGTGAATTCACTCACTCATTCATCTGTGCATGCATGCATTCATTCACTCACCCATGCAGGCATTCCCTCCCTCACTCACACACCCGTGCACCCATTCACTCACTGACTGACTAACCCGTGCACCCATTCACTCACTCACTCATTCACTCACTCACGCATGCACCCATTCACTCACTCACTCACCCATGCACCCATTCACTCACTCACTCACCCATACACCCATTCACTCACTCACTCACCCATGCACCCATTCACTCACTCACTCACCCATGCACCCATTCACTCACTCCCTCACCCACCCATGCACCCACTCAGTCACTCACTCACCCACCCATGTACCCATTCACTCACTCACTCACCCACTCATGCACCCATTCACTCACTCACTCACCCATACACCCATTCACTCACTCACTCACCCATGCACCCATTCACTCACTCACTCACCCATGCACCCATTCACTCACTCCCTCACCCACCCATGCACCCACTCAGTCACTCACTCACCCACCCATGTACCCATTCACTCACTCACTCACCCACTCATGCACCCATTCACTCACTCACCCACCCATGCACCCATTCACTCACTCATTCACCCACCCATGCACCCATTCAGTCACTCACTCACCCATCCATGTACCCATTCACTCACTTACTCACCCACTCATGCACCCATTCACTCACTCACCCACCCATGCACCCATTCACTCACTCACTCACTCACTCACCCACTCATGCACCCACCCATTCACTCACTCACCCATGCACCCGTGCACCCTTTCACTCACTCACCCATGAACCCATTCACTCACTCACTCATGCACCCATTCACTCACTCACTCACCCACCCATGCACCCATTCACTCACTCACTCACCCACTCATGCACCCACCCATGCACCCATGCACCCATTCACTCACTCACCCATGCACCCATTCACTCACTCACTCATGCACCCATTCACTCACTCACTCACTCACCCATGCACCCGCGCACCCATTCACTCACTCACCCATGCACCCATTCACTCACTCACTCATGCACCCATTCAGTCACTCACTCACTCACCCACCCATGTGCCCATTCACTCATTCACCAATGTGCCCATTCACTCACCCACTCATGTGCCCATTCACTCACTCACTCACCCACACGTACATTCATTTATTTACTCACCCATGCATCATTTATTCACTCACTCACTCACCTGCGCATGCATTTCTTCATTCACTCAATCAACAAACATTCACTGAGTTTTGGTCATCTTTCAAGCACGTGGTAGGTACTGAGGACACAGAAATGAACAAAACAAGCAGGTTTTCTTGCTTTCCTGGATAATGCGTTCTAGAGGGGAGGGATGGGCAATGAATGAATGAATAAGTAAATGGAGAAGGGCATAAAGGGTTCCCAAGTCACCCTGCTCCTCCCACTGGGATGAAGTAATCCGTCTCCCTCCTTCCGCTTTCCGACTCCCCATCTCATCATCCCCTGCACAAACCGTCCCCAGATGGAGACAGATGGTGTCCCTCCCACAGTGGGACACTTCTGTTCTCTCTCAGTGCTTGGAATAAAATTCCCATCAAGGCCAAGGAGGCCTCTGCCCATGAGCTCCACCCCCCCGCCCGAGCTCCACCCCCCCGCCCAGCTCCCCAGGTCACCACCTGCAGCCTCACAGGGGCTTCTGCCCATGAGCTGCCCCCCTACCCCGCCCAGCTCCCCAGGTCACCACCTGCAGCCTCACAGGGGCTTCTGCCCATGAGCTGCCCCCCCCCCCACCAGCTCCCCAGGTCACCACCTGCAGCCTCACTGGGGCTTCTTCCATTCCTGAATGAGCGCAGGGGCCTCTGCGCTCGCTGCTTCCTGTCTGGACTGTTCTTCCCTGGATTTCTGCGTGTTCCCCCCTCCTTGTTCAGGTCTCTTCTCAAAGACCACTCCCCAGCGAACTCTTCACTCTGTCTCCTCCTCTGTGTCATTGTAACCAGCCACCTCCTGGGGCTGACCGTCAGGTGCAGAACCTTAGAGCTCACCCAGCACAAATACTGCAGCTGGGGAAACTGAGGCCTGGAAAGGGGTTAGAGTGGGTCCAGTGGGGATGAGGACAGGAACTCCAGTTTCCTGGTTGTCCACCCAGCACTCTTTTCTCTAAGCTGCCAGACTCTTGAAAAAGAGGGTCCAGGGTTCTAATGCAATAGGAGCCATCCTGTCTCTATCACACGGAGAGGCATTTTCTTGAGATCTCACTCAATGTGGCTTTTGGGTCCGAGTCATGCACCGCTCCAAACTGCCCCTGACTGCTGCCAGCTTCTCAGAGGTGCTCAGAGCTGTGCAGTCTCTGCAGGACCCTTTTTCAGGAACAAGAACTGTCCAAGGAAGAGCAGCTCTGAGAAGCCCTAGGTCTTGTCTTCTCTCAGAAAAGAGCCTGGGTTTTATGAACATCCAGGTCTGCTCCCCATTCCTTGTGGTCGCCTAGCAAGGATTCTTCCCTGAGATCACCCAGAGATTCTGACGGGGGAACAATAATGGGGTCGCCTGTTTCTTTAAAAGAATTTGTTTTGAGAGAGAGTCTCACTCTGCTGCCCAGGCTGGAGTGCAGTGACCTGATCATGGCTCATGGTAGCCTCACCCTCCCTCGGCTCAGGTCATCCTCCTGCCTCAGCCTCTCAAGTAGCTGGGACTACAGGCGTGCACCACCATGCCCAGCTAATTTATTTCGTATTTTTTGTAGAGATGGGGTTTTGCCATTGTTGCCCAGGCTGGTCTCAAATTCCTGGGCTCAAGCAATCTGCCCACCTTGGTCTCCTAAAGTGCTGGGATTGCAGGCATGAGCCACTGCACCTAGAACAGTTGCCTGTTCTTTTGGGTGAGTTTTCCACCCAGGAACACTAAGTGGAAGTTAAGCTGCAGGAACTTCTCTGCTTCGTGACTTTTGTTCATCATGCATCTGTGTTTGTGACCGCGGCTGGCTTCCCCTTAGCTCAGTCCCTGAAAAACAATGGCAGCAGCGTTTAGCCCGTTATTCGTGGGACACCTGCTTGGGGGTGGGTGTGTTCCTGCTGCTTAAAGCTCAGTTGGTTTTCACCACTGGATTCCAAAGGCCCAGATGAAAATCAACTGAAAATACAGATGGTCCTGCACTTGTGATGGATTAACTTGTGATGCTTTGGCTTCACATTGTGTTTCCCGGGGTGTAACCCCCATCATAAGTCAAGGAGTGTCTGAAAATGGTGCATCCAAAGATGGCTTTCCGTTGGCTCTAGATGCTCTGAGGCCTCTCTAGGTGGGGTCCATGGACTGACAGTTTGATGTCACTTGGTGCTTGCTGGAAGTTCGGACTCCAGGCCTCACACCGGAGCTACCTGATCAGAACCTCAGAACCTGCACTTTAACTGACCCCAGGCGCTTATGCAGCTTGAGAAGCTGCTGTGAAGAGCAAGTGGGATTTATCCCAGGATGCAAGGATGGTTCAAGTGCTCATACCTGCTGTGCCTTGGTGTCTCCCAGGAAACCTGTGCACCTCCAGACTCTGGGTTCACTGAGGCAGGCGGGGAATAGTTAAAGCTCCCCAGAGATCCTAACATGCGGCAGAGCTTAAGAATCACTGATTGGGGAAAACCAGAATGGAAAGCAAGAGGACCCGTCATCCGGCATTGAGTGGCCTTTGTCTCTAACCCTCGAGGGCTGCCCATTGTCATATGATCCAACATGGCTGTTTCCCCCCAAAGGACAACAGGCAGGGCTTGGGAGGGACCCAAAGAGAGAACCTGGCTAGGACTGTCCATGCTAAGGGACATGCTGTTCAAAGATGTCTTAGGATCCTTGGAGCCCCTAACAAACCATTTTTGCTAGCAAAGCTTTTTCCTGTAAAAAGCCAGTTCTGGCCGGGCGCGGTGGCTCACGCCTGTAATCCCAGCACTTTGGGAGGCCGAGGCGGGTGGATCACGAGGTCAGGAGATCGAGACCATCCTGGCTAACAAGGTGAAACCCCGTCTCTACTAAAAATACAAAAAATTAGCCGGGCGCGGTGGCGGGCGCCTGTAGTCCCAGCTACTCGGGAGGCTGAGGCAGGAGAATGGCGTGAACCCGGGAAGCGGAGCTTGCAGTGAGCCGAGATCGCGCCACTGCAGTCCGCAGTCCGGCCTGGGCGACAGAGCGAGACTCCGTCTCAAAAAAAAAAAAAAAAAAAAAAAAAAGCCAGTTCTGTGTGACCTCCTACTGAGGCCTGCTTGAACACCCTGTTGTGACGTGGTGTCAGACTCTCACGCCCTTTGCAAAACAGGACTCCAGCCAGCTCACTGGTCTCTGGTCTCACCTGGAGTGGACATAGTAACCTGACTCCCCCCAGTAAGCCATCCTGCTGTGGAGGTCCAGGGGTGGGTGGATTGATGAGGGTAATGCCAGCTACTGGAACAGATGCAGCCATGTAGATGGCTCAGCAGGCAAGCAGCCATGTGTCCTGGCTTAGCAAAGCCCAGCATGTGAGCTCCTGATGGGGATGTCTCCCCTCCAAGGGCGACTTAGGGCCCCTGTCACTACCTTCTTGTAACTCCGCTGGTTCCAGTGTTTGGGCTCCAAGGTCCCATGGCCACCTGGGTCAGGTAGGTGGAAGGTAAAGAGCAGGGAAGAGGCTCCAGGGAGGTTTCTTTGGGTCTGCCCAGTAGGATGGCTTCACTTCTGCTCCCTTCCCTTGACCTTGATCTCGTCTCTCGACTTCACATAACACCAAGGGGCCCAGCGTGTGGTGTGGCGATGTATCCAGGAAGATGAGAATGCAGGTTTGGCCACAGCAGGCAGAACTTGCCCCCAGGTGTCCACGAAAATGGAGATGGGGCAGGTGAACTCTGTTGTTCTCTCAAGAAGGGGTCGGGGGCCAAGTGCAGTGGTGCCCGCCTGTCATTGCAACAATTTAGGAGGCTGAGGCGGGTGAATCACTTGAGCCCAGGAGTATGACACTAGCCTGGGCAACTTGGCGAAATCCCATTTCTACAAAAGATACAAAAAGAAGTCCCAGCTACTTGGGAGGCTGAGGTGGGAAGAGTGCTTGAGCTTAGGAGGTGGAGGGTGCAATAAGCTGAGATCATGCCCCTGCACTCCTGCCTAGGCTACAGAGAGAGACCTTGTGTAAAATAAATATATATATTTATATGTATATATAGATACAGATATAGATATAGATATAGATACAGACATAGATATAGATATAAAATAAGGGAAGACATGGAGGCCGAGCTCTAGTTAATGGGTCCCTGGGTCCCTGTTCTGGACACAGTGCTGAGGGCTGCCTGCTCAATACAGCACCATTACTCTCCCTTTACTCTTGGATCCAAGACCAGGGATCTGGATCAAGGTTGCCATTCCGCCAAGCTGAGGGCTCCCCTGGGAACCTTTGCAGCAAATGTAGGTTTGAGCCTTGAGGCTCAGAGGCCAACTCCTCAGACTGTAGTGGAGGCAGAAGCTCAGTCACCTCCCAGAGCACTGCAGAGGCCTGCACCTGGTGAGTGGGGGAGGACCCCCAGCCAGGATATCACTGTGGGGGCACATGCCTGGTGTGTTAGGGAATGTCAAGGCTAACTGAGCATGTAGAGTCAGGAGGAAGGGCAAGAGGTGGGCACAGAGAGACGGCAGGGCTTTTGTCAAGACTCCAGGTTCCACCTGGAGTGAGGCAGGAGTCCCTGCAGGTTCTGGGTGGAGAGTGAGAGCTTCTAACTCCTCATTATAGAGTTCCTTCTGCTCTTGTGCAGGCAGTGGGTAGGTGGAGGCTGATGAAATAACCCAGAGGTGGGGTGAATGTGGTTAGATCTGGGGGTTGAAATTCAGGTGGAGGAAAGAGGACAGACACATTGAATGAGACAGAGCCCGCAGGATGCTGACAGGTGGGAGTGGGGAAAAGAGGGCCGGGAGGCTTTGACGGTTTGCACCAGGCAGGCAGGAGGATGCTAAAGGCCTTACCAAGATGGGAAGATGGTGGGGAGCAGGTTGGGAGGGTGGACTGATCTGCCAAGGTGTGTTACATCCGCTGAGCAAGTCCCATGTGTGGGGCACGGTGAGGACCTTACCATGTCAACTCATTTAATCCTCACGATGGCCCATCAATTAGGGTATATCCATCCGGTCTCACACTGCCATAAAGATGCTACCTGAGACTGGGTAATTTATAAAGGAAAGAGGTTAAATTTACTCACAGTTCCACATAGAGGTGGAGGCCTCAGGAAACTTATAATCATAGCAGAAGGGGAAGAGGAAGCAAGGCACATCTTACATGGCGGCAGGAGAGAGAGAGCGAGTAGGGGGAAGTGCCAAACACTTATCAAACAACCAGCGAGAACTCACTCACTCTCATGAGAACAGCATGGGGAAAACTGCCCTCATGATCCAATCACCATCCTCCCTCATCAAATGGGGATTACAGGTCCCTTCCTTGACACATGAGGATTACAATTTGAGATGAGATTTGGGTAGGGGGGACACAGAGCCAAACCATATCATAAGGCTTGCCATTTCACCCTTTTACAGACAAGAAAGGCACAGAGAGGGTAAGCAACTCAATCAAGGTCACACAGCAACAAGGTTTCAGAGTAAAGACATGAGCTCAGGTTTAACTGACCTAAGTCTTTTCATGGCCACATTATCTCATGTCCCTGTGAGAAGGTACCTAGACTACGACATGTGAACTTTACCTTTTCCTTTTTGGATAAATCTGGTTTGTCTGTTGAAACAGACCTGACTTTTTTCTTTTCATTACATAAAACTTTCTTGGACACTCTGGATTTGAAAGAATGAAATTTCCTGTAACACTAGACTCTCATCTCCCTACCCCCAATGATCTAAAGCTGCCAGGGGTCTGCAGCAGATGGAATCTTTGTCCCTAGGGGAGTGTGTAGATCCTGGGGTTTTCAGAGGCAGCTGCATTACCTGCATCCTCCACATGCAGGAAAGTAAAGAGCTGTACCCACCTGGGCTTTGTCCACGCTCCATGGCAGGGGGTGGCTACCAAGGTTGCCCCTGCAGGTGTGCATGAATTCTCTGGCCAGAGGGCTTGGGAAGACACACCACTCAAGTCTGGGATGGAGCTGAGGACAGGCAGGAGGAAGGGCCACCTAGATCTTGGTCACCTCTCCCCCAGCTGCGTTCCAACCTCCAGAGAAAGCAGAGAGTCACAGCCTGGATAGGAAGGGGCACTGCCCAAATCACCAGGGTATGGGCTTTCAGAGCAGATGAGGTGAAGACAGCATCACCTCAGCCCCCCAGAGACACAGGGGGAACAGGTCTGGTGGGAGACCTGGTTCCTTAAGACCACTCAGGCAGGGGCAGGGCCTAGACCCCTACCCAGCACACTGGGCTCCCCAGACATGTAGCAGTGGGATGCCTGCTGAAGGAGATAGAGCATGGGCAAATCAGAAACCAGGTCTGGAAAAAAAGTGATTTATGTTTTAATGTATCTGAAAAGTGCAGGCTTGGCTAGATCAATGGGCTCTACCTGACCTCCCCAGAATATATTCTCTCCTCTCTCTCTATCACTCACACACACACACACACACACACACACACACACACACACACACACACACACACACCCTGTGCTCACCCCTGAGCCAGGTGCCAGGTACTGTGGTCGCATGTGTGTGATGTATGGGCCTGGCCTGGGCTATGTGCCCCAGGTAGGATGATAGTTGAGGAGGGCTGGTTCCCAAAGGTCAGAGATGTCTCACCAGAGCAAGGACAGCTTTCTGTCAGATGGCACCCCCACCACCATTCTCTAGAGCTCCACACCCTTTCCTGAGAGTGAGGGTGATGCTGGGAAATGGCTCCATTCTCAGCCTGAGCTTCCCTACGCCTCTCACTGTCTACAGTCCCCAGTAGCCAGAGGCAGGGCACAGACAAATGAGAAGCAAATCAGATCCAGGAGACAGGTGCAGTGCCTGGGATGAAGTAACACGACCTCTGGAGTCACGCAGGTAAAACCCACCACCCACTTCTTCCGGGAATCACAGCTGGAAATCCCTCCAGGACAAAAGAGCAAATTGGACTTGAGTCCCTAGAATTCACAGGCAGGACCCAAGAACAGGGCAGTCCGGGACCCTGACTCCCACTGGGGCTGAGCCCTCCTCTCCACATAGGAGGCCAGGTGTATCACTGAGTGGGGTCTCAGCCGGGGATCCAGCCCTGCAGGCTGTCCTGTTCCCTTGGTCCCGTTCCCACGGTCTCGGTCCCACGATCCAGTTCCCATGGTCCTGTTCCCATGGTCTTGTTCCCACGGTCCTGTTCCCATGGTCCCGCCCAGGGCTTGGGCCCCTACACAGGCTCTAGGGCACTTGGGGAATGAGAAGCTACACTGTTTCCTTGTGGGTATCAGGAAGGGGCGGCACCTCTGTGACCTCCCAGTTCCCAGGAACTCAGCCAGCCAGGACAGGTAGTGAGGGAGCCAACAGCAAGCTTCCCCACCTTGTGGTGCCAGGCTTGCCCCTCTGCACTAACGGCCTCTGATTGTCATGTTGGTTTCCTGGCAGGGCCAATCACAGTCCCGAGCCCCTGAACTCAATAGTGGTTGGTTCACAACGTGCACGTGACCTGTGTGGGTCCAATCAGAGTCCTAAGACTGGTGTGGGTGGTCCCAGAACGAGCTCCTTTATTGCTAGATCTGAGTCCTTCGGTGTGGGCTGGAGGTGGAGTGGCCACCTGCAGGGAAGACCCCGCCCCTAGATAAGCTAGTGAAGGGACTGTCCTAATATAAACTAACACAGGGGCTGGAATTATGTAAAAGAACACAGGCGCTGTCATCACATAAACGAATCAAGGGACAATGAGCCCGGAGATGGACCAGGAAAACTGGATGTGGACATTTTCAGCCTCTCAGTCCTGCTCATTCTGGCTGGTGAAAGGAGTCGGGAAGGCTCCTGCATGCTCTAATCCGGGTTGAATGGGTATTCCCTCTCTTGCCCCTGAGAGGCCCTGGTGGATGCATTCCAGAGGCACCCGGCACTGCCTCCGTCTCCCTCCGGTTTTACCCACCACCCAAGCCTGGGCGAGCTGTCAGTCAGAAGAAAGTGTAGTGGGGATATGAACCTGGGATTTGGGACTCTAGGGACATGGTCTGGTTGGCCCCGTTTCCTCACAGTGAGATGCCAGTGTGTGCAGCTCTAACGTCAGTCCTGAGCCCAGCTCAGCTTTGGGTTCTTTGATGAATTCAGACCAAACGGCATGTTGCACAGAAGGCCGGGTGTGTCAGGCAGGAGAAGCCTCCTTCCTAACACGGAGATCTCAGGTGCGAGAGAACCGGAGCCTGGGCAGCATTGCCGACCCTGCATGGGGCTGTGAGACGGGATCGATCCCGGGTTGTCTCGGGAGAACACGACTAGTCTCTTAGAGGAACTGCCAAGAGGACTGGGCCAGGATGCCCAGGTCTTGATAGGCTAAGACGCCACCTGAGAACGGTTAATAATCCCTTCTGGACAGAGTTGCAACCCTCCCCTGAGAGCCAGGGCTGCCTGCCGTGCACTCCTGGCATCTCTCCAGCTTTCCTCCGGAAGCTGCCTCCACTGTCTCCTCTCCAGTTTGCAGCAGCACTTCTCCAGAGGCTCAGGCACCAAGCCCTGCAGCTTCAAGAGCCTCATGTCCAGGCTGGCCCATGCTCAAAGGGCTAAGACTGAACGCTATCCCATCAGCTGACTCACGTGCAGGGCCTGGGGTGGCCTCATGTCTAGAGACCCACCATGGTGAATGAGGGGGAGTCAACCAGGGGAGCATCCAGCATGTGGGCCTGGCTGATGCCACAGTTCCTGGCCCAGCTCCTGGGGAATGATTCTAAGAAATGTGGGGGCCTGGCTTGGGTTCATGGTTGGAGACTCAGTCTCGCAAATAACTGAGAAAAGGGGATAATTAACATCTAGGGATTTCCCAGGAGATTCAGCCTGGGTAGTCTCGAGTCAGCCTGGTTAATGGTTGGAGAATCAGTGTGGTCCATGAAGAAGAATAAATCTTTATACAGGGTGACTCAGCCTGATTAACGTTGAGAGACTCAAGCTCTTATTTCCCAGAGGGAGAAGGGAAAGCAAATACTCTAGTTTGTTCTTAAAAGGTGAAAAGGTGATTGTTAAATGCCTGCTTTAAAGTCCCCCATAGTGAGTGAGAGTCTGAGCTTGAATAGGCGCCTTGGTTCAGGTCCACTGTGAAGGACCCTTCACCTGACTTCTCCTGGGTCCATTCATTCTCCACATCAGCACACACTAGACACCTCACCACTTCCTGGATTTTAATTGCCAATTGAGCTGCTCTGAGATCCACAGACTTCCATACTAAAACTAGGAGAGACCAGCACTTGTTAAACTTATGCAACAAAATATGAACTACAGTTAGAAACAGCCCTTGGCAAAGCTCAGTTCAAGAGGATGTTTTGGAACTATAAGTGCAATTACTCAACGTGAAGCCCTCCAGGGATGGTCAGCTGCTCATCTTGGTGAGATTATGAAATAAGGACTTCTCGTGGTCAAGGTCCTCCCAGGGGGAAGTTGCTGGAGGATGGGAGTGGAGCTGGAAGGCTCACAGAGATGAGTTGGGACACTGACTTTCTGAAGTCTCAGCCCCTAATTATCTTAGAGGGCACATGGCTTCCTGATGGTGTGGAAACAGTCGCTAGCATCTATCAATCATCCACCCAATTATTCACCCATCCACATGTCTGTACATTCATCATCCATTCATTCACCTATCCACCAATCTACCCATTTATTTATTCATTCACCCACCCACATACTCATCCATTTGTCATTCACACATCTATCTACTCATTCATGCATCCATCAATTTGTCATTCATCCATCACCCATCCACCCATCTACTCATTTACTTATTTATCCATTTCCTCTTCTATCCATTTACTTACCCATCCGTCCATCCATCCATCCATTCATCATCTATCCATCATCAACTCGTCTGTCCCTTCATTCAAACAACATGAATTGAATGTCTGCTCAGTCTCAGGCACTGCTGGGCAGCTGGTTTTATAAAAGACCATGAAAAGAGGGGTTGTGCCACCAAGGGCCTTCATACTCTATCACAGGTAATCTTGGGCAAGATCATAAGATGCTTTAACAAAGAAACTGCCTAAGGGTAGGTAGCAGATGATGAAACCAGGGCAGCATCTATCTAACATTGATGGAGCCTCCACAGTGCTTTCTCGCCTTCTCATCTAGCCATGCAACAAGCATCACTTAGCTTCACCAGCCCCTATACTTGATTTAGTAACTGGTTTGAGAAACTTACTGTCTTTGGGGAGTTACTTACAGAACAGGAGTTTTGGAGTCAAATAAGAGAAATGCAACTCAGAAATGCTAAGACCAATGGGAACATTTACTGACTCAAGGAATCCAAGAAGGGTTGTTTTGCACAAGTTACTCTTTGACTGCCCCTCTGCATCGATTCCGTGCCCTTCTCTGACCTCACTGTGCCCACAGGCTGACCTCTATAAATGGCACCAGTGGGGCTCCCTGCCCTCTGGATTCTGTTGGATTTGACTGATGAGAGTCCCCAGGAGAAGCCTAAGATGGGAGAAGACAGAAGTTGGAGCAGGTATTGCCCCTGCCTGACTGATGTTTAGCAGTGAAGTTTTTCCCCAAATAAGATCTCAGATCCTGCCAGGTGACCCCTCTCCCAGAGTTACAACCCTCCCTGCATTCCAGAAACAAAGCCCCACACCTGTGCCCTGGGGCTTGTGGTGGATAACAGTTTCCCTGCTTATCCAGTTCGTGGGATGCAGGTTCCCCACCCCTACTTGGACCTCTGTAAATAGCCTCTGCTTTGAACTCTCTGCAGGGAGCCCTGTGGGTCTGCTCTTGGACTCAGGTTGTGCAGCCAAAGAGCAGGTCAGATGTGCAGGTGAGCGTCAGAGCAGCCGGCCCTGGGTGGTCCAGCCCCACCTCCTCTGCCTTCTAATGAGATTGTCTTAACTCTTTGTCATGGTAGATCAGCCTTCTCCATATGCCAGAAAACATGCGGTCTCTTCCTCCTCTTGGCTTCATGTCAGTTCCAGTTTGAAAAGTCCCAGAAAGGCCAATCTGGGGTGAGGTGACCACCCATAGACCAATCAGTGGTGGCTATGGGGGCGGAGTCATGTATGAGCACAGTATCTTCCTGGAACCAGACAGTTGGATGGGAGGAACGTCTCCCAGGAGAAGAGAAGGTGCATTTCCACACACGGTGGGGGGTGCTGGAATGATGAGAAGTGAAGCCCCTATGTGGATTCCATTACCTGTGGCCATTGTGATATGTCATCAAACCGACAGCACTTATCAAAATTTGAAAAACTGCCCATTCCGTTTTTAACCCAGGAGCCCAGATGCCCATGGCAGCAACAGCCCCAGTACTGAAAGGTGCCCTGAGCCCAGATCTAAGAGGTAGAGGGGGCTTGTTTTAGGGCTGTCAGACCCCCAGGCACTGCAGGTAAACCCAGGACAGCCACCCCCTGAGAGGGTGACCCAGCCTTGGATCTGTCCTCGAAGATCAATAATCCCGAAGCCCTGCCCTTGACCCCTGGGGCTCTGCACCCCACGCGCTGCTGGAGGACTCAGGCCATCAGTCTGGATTTCCCACCCTGCATGCACAGCAGTCCCAGGCTCAGCTCCCCATGAAGGACACGGGTCACTCACAGCGTTGGTAACAGAACTGAGACCGCCCACCCCACTCCATGCCTTTGACATCCTCTGGCAATTTTAAAGAGGTTGGAAGCTGCAGTTTCTCTCCTCACTTTGAATCTAGGGTGATTACTTGGTTGCCGGCACTCCTGAAATATTTGACTGAGAGGTACCTGGGGTTTGGCTTCTAAATCACTGCCACGGGGTTGGACACGTGTGTGTGTGTGTGTGTGTGTGTGTGTGTCTGGGTCCTGCGGGAGCTATTTAAGGAGGCTGTTTTGCTGCTGATGGGGTTGGATGCGCGCGTGTGTGTGTGTGTGTGTATGTGTGTGTGTGTGTGTGTGTGTGTGTGTGTGTCCGGGTCCTGTGGGAGCTACTTAAGGAGGCTGCTTTGCTGCTGATGGACAGACTCAGATGTCAGTGTCTGAAAAGCATGGACTCACATTCTGAACGCTGAAGGGGGGATGCCTTGGTGCTGAGAGTCATGGTTGCATCCGGGACTGTGTCTGGGTCTTCTTTCTGACAGGCAGATGGACCGTTGCTCCTGGAAATGGAAGGCAATGTGCAGGCCATTTCACAGGGAAAATATCTCATCAAAAACAAGAGATTGGTTCCCCACAGCGCCCCGCTTCAACTTCTGTGAGCACAGAAGTGGGAAGGACTCACATTTAGATGCCTGAGGCTGGCTCATGAGTAGAGAGAAAGTCTGGTTAATGACCAGGGCGAGCTGAGGAATATCAGAGGCCTGAGTCTGGCTGAAGCTGGGAGCCTCGGATACAGGTGACCCAGTCCAGGAGATAGCTGAGGCTGAAGCTGATTAATGTCAGTTCAGGGACCCTGCAGGGTGATTTCGGAGAAGCCACTTGACCGACCTCGGGAGATGCAGCCCAATTATTGGTTGGAGACTCAGCCCCATCAGTAGAAGTGATGAACATGATAATGCCAGTGACGCAGGCTGTGTAAAGTCTGGAGAACCAGAGGGTTGGGTCAGGAAGGAGGGACAGGTGAGGATCAGCCTAGAAGAGCACACAGAGCTGGGAGAGGAGCCCGCTGCAAATGTCCCTGGGATGTAGCCTCAGCCCGGGTCAGAGCAACGCTGGAGCTGCCGCCAACCCTCCTGCCCCCAAGTGAGGGCTCCTTCCCTCTGCTTGAGTCCACATGCTTCTCCCCTCAGCACACCCCTGACACCTCCACAAGTCCCAGGTGCTGGCTGCTGGTGGAGAGTTCTGAGGCCTCAGAGATGCGAGCTCTCGGGATGGGGACAGCAGCCCGGGTTCAGCTGACAGAGGAAGTGAGGAGCAGAGCCCAGCCCAGGCGTGTCTGAGAATGGCAGGGGCAGTCACCGATGGGACAGCCTCCGTGGGCTGCTGGGGCGGGACTCGGGGAATGGGTGAGCAGGGGCCTTGGAACCCTAGGTGGGATTCATGGTGCTGGTGTGGCTGTGAGCTCTGAGGGCCATAGATGAGGGTTAGCTGGGCCTCTGATACTGCAGCCCCAGCATGGTTCTGTGGGAGGGTTCCCTGGCTTCTTTCAGACATGGTGGCAGTCACTGGCATTCATTCATTCATTCAATGTCCTGGCCAAGGGCCAGGCATGGCCTCCATGGAAAGGTGTGGGGAAAAAGACTGAACCTTTTTCTCCCAAACACTTCTATGTGTCCCACACAGAAAAGCTTGGAGAGGTCACATGATGCGGTTCCCATATAAGGGCCTGAAGAGAAGATCACGTGACCTACCATGGCGAGGGTCTACATCAGCGTGGCCTATGGCCAGACGGTGGGGACTCTGCTGTGGACGTCACTATCATCTAAGAAACCAATGTCCCTGAGCCCTGGCTGTCCACCAGGGCCTGTGCTCAGGCACAGTCTCTTTGAGAAGCTTCTGGTCCAGCAGAAAGAGTCATGGAACTAGGACCCCAGCATTCAAGCAACAGTGGATCCCTCACCCTGGGCCCCTGCAGCACCAGGGACTGGAGGCACAGAGGGCAGGCGCTGGCAATGGGAGGAGGCTCTGGAGCACCCGTCTCCAGCCTCCCGGAGTCCTGTGTGGGCAGCGGCTGCCGCTTTCTGAAGGTGCCCTCAGCCACACTTGGGCCTCCTCCTGGGAAGGGAGGGTCCTGTGATGGACATGGGAGGTTCCTGTCCTGCCCTCTGAGGGCAGGGCCTGGACCATGGAGCGGGGGTGACTCTGCAGCCTCCATCCCTGACCGAGGAACCTGCAGGGAGAGAGATGGGCAGTCCTAGAAGAGACCTGGAGTCCTCTGAGCAGGGCACAGGCAGCTGTGCCACGCTGGGCTGGAGCACCAGAGCCAGGAAACCAACTGACCTGGGAGGGCAGGCTCCTCATGTGGCCGCCAGCTGGCCCCGAACCTTCCCGAATGCGCTGCTGTGGTCACCTGCATTCCCTTCCTGAGGTCCGGGTCTGCAAACATGCGGGCCCTCGCAGAGCAGCTGCTGCAAGCGCCGGCATTCCTCATGGAGAGAAGGATTCCTTTGATCTCACCCTTCCTGTCAAAGGGGCTCCAGCGTGAAGGAGGGTCTACGGGAAAGCCTGCGCCGTGTTGGGAAGCCCAGGGTCACATGGGTTACGTAACTTGGTGCTCTAACACTGGACCGCAGGGGACCCGTAAGACACTCCATGCCTTGTCACAGTGGCTGCAGAATCACCAGGTCACCCCAGGGCTCACTCCACCCCTGGAAGCCTGACTTCTGTGGCAGCAACAGCTGACATACGACCAGCCCATGTCCTGCAGATCCAAGGGGGAGGGGCCTTGTTTTGGTGCCTTCTAACACCCTACTCACTGCAGAGAGCCAGGAAACCACCCCTGAGCTCTTCTGCCCTGGCTGGAGGTCCCTGAGCCCCTATCTGGGCCTCTATGGAGCCCCACACCCTGGATAGCTCAGGTGGTCCAGTGCAAAGCCCCTCCATCCCAGACCCCAGCAGCGCAGGCTCCGCCCCTTGGGGAACCACAGAGCACCTCCGGGTTCACGTGAGACGACTTGCTGCTGCCACTCCTCTGACATCTCCCAACCTTTCCAGAGGAAAGACCAGACTGGCTGGCTGCAATTTCCCCCTCCCTTCACATCAGAGAGTGATGTATTAGGTGGGCGGCGCTGCTGAAACGTGCAATTAGAGACAGACCTGGGCGCTTAATTTCTGGATCATCGCCCGGATTTGGGCACAGGTGCCTGTGTGTGTCTGGGCCTCCTGGCTCCCTTTCAAGGGCTGCCTCCCGAGCACAGACTGGGGCGTCTGCCTGCAGACGCACCGACACAGGTTCAGAGAGCTGCAGAGGAAGCCTCAGCACTGGAAACATGGTCGTGCTCCCGCGCTGTATCTCGGAGATAATTCACCCTTCATCTGACACTCGGGTGGACAATTGTCTTCAGAAAGGAAAGACAAGTCAGTGGTTATTGTGCAGGAAAATTGTGCACCAAAAGAGAGAGAAAGATTGGTCCTCACACAGCTGGCGGTATTGTCTTCTGTGCATACAGATATGGGGAGTGTTCCTGTTTAACGTCTCAGTAAGACAAGAGTCAGATGGGCTGTGCGTTCCAATTCTCCTTTCAGATGGCAGTTTTCCTGTGTGGAGTCTGGGCCTTGTGTGCACATGGAGCAGCGGTACTGCCCATGCCTGCTGCCTGGAGCTCCACGGGCAGAGGGACAGGGCACCCTGCCTGCCCCAAGGCGAGCTTCCTGGGTGGTACTGGAGACCAGGGAAGGAAATAGCTGTTAGCGAGATTGCTGTGTTTGAATTCACATTGCAAAGGGAAGACAGTTGACACATGGATCTTATGAAATGCATTAAATGACTTGTCGTCATGACAAATAACAAGAGTGATAACTGCTAAAGAGAGTCCAATAGCACAAAAGCAACTTAAAAATATCATTAGGCATTATCGGCAGGCTCTTCTGGCTGAGGTAGCATAAATGTTTTAAGAAGCAGTTTCCACATCCTTCCCACAGGGAGCTGGCTGTTGTCTTTTTCAATTTTTAAATTTGTATTATCTAATTATTTCTAGGAAAACAAGTCTCATGAACTTAAAGTTCCAGCTTGTTTGAAATCCCCTCTTTTTCTCTCCCTAACCTTGTGGGTGATCACCCGACCCAGCTGAGATTTCCCTCGAGTTCTGCTTTGCTCATCTCTAATTATTTACAGTTAGAAATGGGAAGGGCCCTCAAGGCTTTGAGACTCCCGCTGGACACAGCCTTGGGACAGTGACTGCTGCCCCCAGTGTGCTTTCCTCCTTTTTTGTTCTGTGGCAATAGAGTCCCCAGGATTTAGCAGGACACACGAACTCCCAGAATAAAGACTACAATTCCCATGCTCCCTTGCAGCAAGGCGTGGTCACATGACCATGTTTTGGCCAATGGGATGAGAGAGGAAATGGTGCATAGCACTTCCAGGTCATGCCCCTAAAGCCTGCCCTCTTCTTTCTCTCCACTTGCCCCTGAAGGAGAGTGGATGCCTGAAGCCATCTTGGATCACAGTAGGGAAGGGGCAGCCAGGGCTACTGGAGCACCCATGTTGGAAGATTGGGGCCTTTACATCCTGGGGTCAACACAGGGCCCTGGACAATTTATTCCTGGAGTGTGGATAACAGGAAATCCCCATTTCATTTAAGCCACTCTTATATGGGGGTCTCTTTTCCCACAGCTGAACCTTCCTGACCATGCACTTCCTGTCACACATGGAGCCATGGACTCCCCTCCCCTGTTGCTCAGCCCAGATTCCTGCCTCCTCAGGGACATGGGGTTGTTAGGTCCTCAGTAGTGTGCATTCCTTAATTCATTCTAACCACGTTCCGCTCACTGACTATGTGCCAGGTTTTGTGCTTCATGGTGGGGCTACAGCCATGGACAAGTGTTGAAAGTAAAAAGTTCATCTTCAAAGTTTCCCTTCTTGTTAAAGAACAAATCATAAGTGTTAGAAATAATAGTTTCTTTTAAAAACTAAACTAGTTTTTAAATAGTTTTACATAATAGTTTCTTTAAAGCCTTCTTGCTTTTTCTTAATAACTCTTTGTTAAGCCCTACCCTAGGTAGCTGTTAGACATATGGGAATAAGTACATTCTATGTCCTTTTACTTTAACAAAGATATCTGTGCTGGACATGCTCACAGTCTATGCCCCTTCCCTATTTAGAAATATTATTACTTCTCTAAGTCTTTTTGTAAGCAATTTCCTCTTTTCCTTTGTTCTCTGTTGCCTTTACCTATTCAAGAAAGTTTTAAATTATTAGCCAGTCAGATTTAGTTTAGATTGTGCAGTCTGGCTCCAGCCAATGGAGATAGGACACAGTAGCAGGGACAAGCTGCATAAGGGATGAAAATTGCTTCCCTCCTTTGTTCAGGTGTGCCTTCGCCATTGTTCCATCTGCGAGGAGCACTGTTTCTGCAGAAAGTAAAATTGTCTTGCTGAGAAAAACTTTTTTGTCTGAATGCTGATTTTTCCTTGAGGTACTGAGGAACAAGCATTCTATTTCTAAATAAACATTTTACTTATAACAACAAAGCCCCTGGAGTCTGGAGTGGAGGTGTCTGCTGGCTCTCGGCAGCCTGCAGCCTGTACTGGGGAAAGGGTGTGTAGCCCCCAGCTGGGGTGCTTGAAGTGACTCCTGCAGCTCCTCCCTGCCACTGTCTCTCAATCCCTGAACTCCAGTCTTCTGCCCCTCCCTAGGACAGCACAGGAAGAACCTCCTCAACATCCAGACTACTGCAGAGTATTTAAAGAGGATTTAGGATGGATCAACAGACTAGAAATGTCTCCCCATCAGAATGATGTAAGATACTGGAAAATTGCAAAATCTTACTTGCACAGGCAGGAGAGTTTCTCCTCAACCCCTGTTTCTACCCCAGGCTCAAATTAAATTGTTAATCAGACTTTTATACATATGAGATATGTTTTATAAAATATTAGTCCCAATTAAAACACCTACATCAGATAACTCACAGTAAGATAAGTGAAGACGTTCATCTGCCAGCCATCTTTGTGTCTTAAGTGAACCCAATATAAATAACAAGCTTCAGCACAGAAAGCGTTAGGCATGTATATTAGTTATCTCCAGGCAAAGACTTGGGAAATATGAAGGAAGCCGCACTGATGAGCCCAGATAGTGAATTGCTGCATCGTCTGCTCTTCTCCCCATATCACGTCACCATGAATTGAGTTTTTTTCACTCACATCATCACATTTATGTTTAAAACGGTGCACAGTGCAGAGTGGGCCCTGGAGGACTGGTTCTTGAATAGGTAAGTTTTCCCATCTTGAGACACTGGCTCATGCTTCAGCTCTGATGCTGTGGAATCATGTGACTGGGACAAAGGATGCCACTTCTCTCAACCTTAGTATTTCTATTTATAAAATTAAGGGGAAAATGTGAAGAATAAGAAACTTCCAGGGTGTGGCAGAGTCTACTGGTTATACCTCAATGACCATTCCTTGCATCTTCCATTGTCTAAAATATTTAGCTAAGTACATGACTATTTAGAACACAAACTACGTTCTCCAGTGTTCTGTTTAGCTATGTGTGGTGAAGCAATGAATTTCTTTTTATTTTATTTATTTTTTTTTTTGAGACGGAGTCTCGCTCTGTTGCCCAGGCTGGAGTGCAGTGGCGGGATCTCGGCTCACTGCAAGCTCCGCCTCCCGGGTTCACGCCATTCTCCTGCCTCAGCCTCCCAAGTAGCTGGGACTACAGGCGCCCGCCACTACGCCCGGCTAATTTTTGTATTTTTAGTAGAGACGGGGTTTCACCGTTTTTAGCCGGGATGGTCTCGATCTCCTGACCTCGTGATCCGCTCGCCTCGGCCTCCCAAAGTGCTGGGATTACAGGCGTGAGCCACCGCGCCCGGCCTGAATTTCTGACTAATAGGTCATGAAAAAAAAACAGCACCCTTAACAAAAAGGGTTATGTGTGGTTTCCACTGAGGTTGTAAAATGCTATAAAAAAACATAATTCCTACACTAACAACAAGGAAAACCCAGGTAATCTACAAAATCATACTGGATTTCCTTAAAGCCATTAGATAGCTGGGGTATCACGGTGCCTCCAAGGAGAGATGGGGAGGGAGCAACTGGCTTAACTTGGACAGGGAGTGGGGACAACACAAAGCTTCTATAAGTGCTGTTAAGAACATTACTTCCAAAATGTTTAGCAAGTTTCTACAGGCTCTATATGTGTGTTCTATCTGGTGAGTATAGAATCCTAGTGGGCACAGGTACATGGGCAGCGTGCAGCCATTTTCAGAGGTTTCCCCATGGAGCTTGCTATATACTCGAAATATTGGAGCCAGGATGAGAGTGGAGAAAGCTTCCTTCTGTGGCATCAGCCTGGGTAAAGGGTACAGTTGTCACTGTAGAAAATGGATAGAGCCTTCCTAGATCTTTCTCTCCAGTCTCACCAAGGAGCAAAAATCTTAAACAACTGAGGGCATTGGGGATGGGACAACAAATCATGCTGCCTCCAGGCCATAGACAGAGACCCACTGTGACTAGACAAAGGGAAGAGAGAAACACCCTCCCCGGGGACAGCCAAAAATACCCTAGGCCCAGATTGTAAGAGATGCTTTCTGTTGAGGGAGGGCTGGAAACTCCCACACAAGAAACACCAAAACGATAAGATAGAGTTTGAATGCCGCTGGAGGGGGAGCAGAAGCACTAGGTGAGCCTTTCCCTTGAGTCTCAGTGACACGCAGCCTACCTAATACTTATGCTGACCCAGGAAAACAGAGAATGCCCCAGCCCTCATCATGAGGTTAGCAGGCATTGACAAGACAAAACAGAACCCATGGGAGAGGGCTAAGCTGGTATAGAGAGACCCTGTCTGAGGCTCAATCTCATAAATACAGCCTACAGCAGAGCGTGAAGCAAGAGCATTGAGAAAAATTTTCCAGTGACTCAATCCCTACTGTAGACACAGGTAACACTAGCAGAATTTGAAGCTTTGTGGTACACTGAGAGTAACCACAGAACAGAGACATTTAAACGCAGCTCACTGTCTAGAATCATTTACCTCCCATCCCAAATAAAGGCCTAGTTAAAGAAGAGGCATATGCCCAATTCAGGTACAAGTACCGTTACCTCAATTTCTATTGTCTATGCCATGTCTTAACTTTTTTTTTTTTTTTAATGAGACAGAGTCTCACTCTGTCACCTGGACTGGACTGCAATGGCATGATCTCAGCTCACTGCAGCCTCTGCCTCCCGGGCTCAAACAATTCTCCCACCTCAGTCTTCCAAGTAGCTGGGACCACAGGTGCACACCACCATGCCCAGCTAGTTTTTTGTGTTTTTGGTGGTGACACAGTTTTGCTGTGTTGCCCAGGCCGGTCTCGAACTCCTGAGCTCAACCAATAAGCCGGCTTCAGCCTCCCAAAGTGCTGGGATTACAGGCATGAGCCACTGTGCCTGGTCCGCATATCTAACTTCCAACCAAAGATGACAAAACACAAGAAAAGGCAAGGAAAAAAATCCAACGTCAAGAGACAACATGATAAACCCATACTCAGATATCACACACAATGAAACTGTCAGTCAGTGAATGTCAAATAATTTTGATTAATATATTAAAGGCTTCAATGGAAAATTGAAGAATATGAATGAATATAGCAAATTTCAGCAGAGAGATCGAAAGGACCACAGAGGATGAAATGATGAAATGCTCATGCAAGAGAAAAATCTCAACAAAGGAGCTACAGAATGCTTTCCCCAGACTGTCTGTCTGACACCAGGTAAGGAGAGTTGACACACAGGTAAGGAAAGAATAAGTAATCATGGAGATAGGTCAGTAGACCTGTCTCCATGGGAAACAACTAAAACTGAAAGAGGGGGGACAAATTTTTAAATCTTCATTTCTCCAAGTAAGTTCTCAGCACAGCACACTCTACAATGAGAGATGTTCTGTCCTATTTTGGACTGTGCTAGAGAGAACTGAGGATTAGATTTAAGGTAATTAGGGATGGACCAGGAAGGAGAAACACCCCATGGTGAAAAGTGGGGGTGTGTCTTTGATCCAAATGCTGGCTTTGCCACTTGCTAGCTGCAGGCATCGGGCCTTGTTTTCTTTGTCTGAAAAAGGAAAAAGATCATAGCATAAATCTCACTTGGATGTTGTGAGAATTAAAAGACAGATCACAATTGTCCTTAATACAGTTTTTGGCACCTAGTAGATGCCCAAGACATGGTGGCTATTATTTTTCAGCAGGGATTTCTCCTGTCTTTCTCCTTTTGTTTCAGATTTGACAACACTTTGTAAATAACCAGGAGCCACAGTAGAAATATTCTAGGGAATGGGAATCACTGTCTCCTGAGGTAACAAAGAAATATAGAAAGCCAACAAAATGTTTAGAATTATAATCATGATAATAATGATAGCTAGCATTTATTGAGTACTTGCTGTGTTCCAGCCAGGCTTGGTACTAACCTCTGTATATTTAGTAACTCATCCATTGGCTCTATGTGACATGTCCTACAATCAGTCCAAGAGTAGGAAACTGACGGTGACAGAGATGAAAAGACTTTTTTTTTTTTTTTTGAGATGGATTCTTTGTCACCCAGGCTGGGGTACAGTGGCATGATCTTGGCTCACTGCAACCTCTGCTTCCCGGGTTCAAGCAATTCTTCTGCCTCAGCCTCCCCAGTAGCTGGGCTTATAAGCACTTGCCACCATGCCTGGCTAATTTCTGTATTTTTAGTACAGAGGAGATTTCACCATGGTGGCCAGGCTGGTCTCGAACTCCTGACCTCAGGTGATCTGCCTGGCTCAGCCTCCCAAAGTGCTGGGATTATAGGTGTGAGCCTCCAGGCCTGATGGAAAGATTTTATCAAGGCCACACATCCGGTGAAAGGAGAGCCAGGGCTCCACCCCTGCTGCCTGACTCCAGGCTCTGCCCAGCTACCCAGGAAGTGATAACCTCTCCTAGGGAAATGCAAGTTGACTTAAAGAGCCATCCAGGGAGGCTGAGGTGGAAGAGCACAAACAGCACGGTGGAGCTACAGTAGGTGCAGACTCGCAGGACCCACAGTGGGGCTGAAACAGAAGAGAAGAGAGACAACGTGTCCTCCACTATTGACAATGGTAAGGAACGCCTCAAGGTGACATGTCTTTCTATGACAGCCTTCCTTGAAAGAAGAAATTCCTGTCTAGAAAACGTAATAAAAAGAGGATTAAAGGTAAGTTGAGGGAAATGTTGCATTTTGATATTTACCAATAAACAAGCTTTCATGGGGCTGACACAGCAACAAGGCTCAGGATTATACACGCAGGCAGTTTATGAGTGCCTCTTCCCATTCAGAATCCTCAAAAGTGTGTAATTCAAATTCAGTGACTTAACGGATGGTGAATAAATATAGACCTGGAACTCAGCGCCCAGTGGAAGCCTGCTAAGAACTGGAGAGATGCAAATGAAATTGTTTTGCTTTTCATCACCCGTTGTGACTTCTTTTTTTGTTTGTTTGTTTGTTTTAGACAGAGTCTCACTCTGTCACCCAGGCTGGAGTACAGTGGCCTGATCTTGGCTCACTGCAACCTCCACCTCCCGGGCTCAAGCGATTCTCCGGCCTCAGCCTCCTGAGTAGCTGGGATTTACAGGCATGTGCCACTGCGCCCGGCTAATTTTTGTATTTTTAGTAGAGACAGGGTTTCATCATGTTTCCCAGGCTGGTCTTGAACTCCTGACCTCAGGTGATCCATCCACCTCAACCTCCCAAAGTGCTGGGATTACAGGCGTGAGCCACCGTGCCCGGCCTCCTGTTGTGACTTCTGACATATGGTATCCTACACCTGACATGCTTGGCGAGGATTACTTCCTGAGGAAAACAGGTCTTCCATTTGGGTGTGAGCCCGGGGACACTTCAGGACCCTGTGACCCCTCAGCCTCCCAAGAGAGGAACTGAGCTTGGGGGCTGGGGGTGTCAGCAAAAACAAACATGCTGTTCTCGTGGGAAGCTTTGGTGGACCAAGCACAATCATCAGACCCATCTCCAGAACCATCCTTGAGGCTCATGTCTTCTTGCTGCTTTTCCACTGGAATTCAAACTTTTAAAGCACAGGAATAAATTGTGGACAGAGAATTCCTTTTTTATAAGTACTGAGAGCATAACAAGGCACATCTTCCGGAGATGTAACAGTGCGTAGCCGCAGCAGCTCTATGGGCAGAGAGCCCTCAGACCCTGCAGCAAAGGACACTGTGCTCTGCCTGGATTCCTCAGCACCTGGGTGAGCTGCCCGCCCTTGGTCTCCCCCCATAGTGGGCCTTACACCAGTGCCCATCCCTCTCCAGGCACAGACCTTGTGGGAGGGACGCCCGGACATCCCAGCTAGCATCGGTGTCGGGGACAGTCCTGGTGGTCCTCAGTGAGGAGCCCAGAGGGGCAGAAGGTCATGAGAGAGAAAGAGAAGAGCAGCAGGATGGGGTGGCGGATATGGGGTGCTGGGGACCGGGTGAATTCTCAGATCATCCACTGACACAGCCATGCATCACAGGGCCATGGATGCCTCCGTCCATGCTGCCATTTCCACTGGCCTTTCCCACAGGGGAGCCCGGGGGCCCGTGTGACCGTGAGAGGGGGTTGTGTCTGGTGGGTTGAGCTCAGAGCACGCTGGGGAAGCTGCACCCTCGTCTTCTTTCACCTGCAGCCAGGACATTTTCTGAGGCCTCTGAGGCTGCTGGCCAGGCCAGGGAGGTTTCTGCAGAGCAGGGCAGAGAGCGCCTGGCTCCGGTGAGAAAGGGGCTGTCAGGCCAGGCGCAGTGGCTTACACCTGTAATCCCAGCACTTTGGGAAGCCAAGACAGGTGGATCACCTGAGGTTGGGAGTTCCCGACCAGCCTGACCAACATGGAGAAACCCCCATCTCTACTAAAAATACAAAATTAGCCGGGTGTGGTGGTGTATGCCTATAATCCCAGCTACTCTGGAGGCTGAGGGAGAAGAATCGCTTGAACCTGGGAGGCAAAAGTTGCAGTGAGTCGAGATCACGCCATTGCACCCCAGCCTAGGCAACAAGAGTGAAAGTCCATCTCAAAAAAAAAAAAAAAAAAGAAAACACAAAAAGAAAGGAGCTGTCAGGCAGGTGGCCAGGCCAGGGAGGTTTCTGCAGAGCAGGGCAGAGAGCCCCTGGCTCGGGTGAGAAAGGGGCTGTCAGGCAGGTGGCCAGGCCAGGGAGGTTTCTGCAGAGCAGGGCAGAGAGCCCCTGGCTCGGGTGAGAAAGGGGCTGTCAGGCAGGTGGCCAGCAGCCCTGAGCCTGGAGATGGGGATTCAGGAGCCCACCTGCTGCTCGGCTCAGAGCTGAGAGGAGAAACAGCCCAGAGGAACAGCGGCCTCCCCCATCCCAGCTCACGCAGAAATGCATTGGAATGTCAGGAAATTGTGTGTATTTGATGTATTTTACCTGTTGCCTAGAGAGCCCACACAGTGACGCAGGTGCCTGTTTACATTGGCTGATTGCCCGGACTTTGGAAATGCAATTATCCCCCACCACCCCCTCAGCCACTTTCTCCAGCGGACTAGGAGGGGCTGAGTGGTGCAGCCTCTGTGAAATGCTTGGCCCAGGAGAAAGCAATTCCAACGGGGCTGTGACAGCTGAGGGGGAAGGTGTGGCTGCGCAGAGCCCATCAGGGCTTGTTACTGGAAGGAGAGGGAACAAATGCCAGGCAGGCAAAATGACCCAGGACCGGCGACCACAGGCCCCTGTGGCTTCAGCAAATGCAGCTGCTTCCATTTGGCTGCAGACAGAAGCTGGATGCACGTCTGTGACCAGAAATGGACCTGCCCCTTGGTGTCCATGACAACAGCCCCTCAAAAGCAGTTCTGAACTAATCCTACCTGGCCCAGGTGTGGCTGCGGTGAGACGTGCATGGCATGCGGGTGCCCCACGCTGGGACAATCCCTTTGTTGAATCACAGAAGATGAATTAAGACAACATGCTTGGAGGTGCCCTGGGGACACAGAGGAATTAAGGATGAAAATCGCCAAAGCCAGGCTGGAGAAATTAATTTCAGTTGTGAGCACACGGTCCAGGAGGACTTATTAAAGCTGAATGGAAATTAAATCCTGACATTCCAGGAGGGCACTAAAGCACCTAATGAGAAAGAGGGGACACACACAGCCAGGCAGCACTAACATGAGCTGCAGGTAACCAGGTGCAGGGCGGTGTGGCCTGGGTCCTAGACCGGTGGACAGCCATGCCGGACAACTTCTCCTGGCTGACTAAAGTCCCAGCCATGCCCAATCTGTACCACCTGTCCTGACTCACGTCTCACCGCTTAACAAACCACCCAAAAAATGCTGTCACTTCAAACAAAATCAGTAATCCATCATTTCTCACAATTCTGTGGTCAGGATCTTGGGCAGGGCCCAGCTGGGTGGCTCTTCTGCTGTGGCGTTGCCTGGGTTCACTTCCTCAGTTGCATCCTGCTGGTGGCTCGGCTGAGCTGGAAGATTCTGGAAGGATTTTACATGCCTGCCAACATTGTTTTCAGGATGATTAAAAATAGCCTGTCTAATCCATCATCAAGGCCTCAACAGTTACCATGGAGACCACTTTATTACCAAGAGGAGAATTCAGGGGAAGCATCTGTCAAATGAGCGAAGGCTGTCAGGCGTTGACTTCTCCTCCATCTGAGAGATGGCTCTGATCCTCAGGGCTGGGCTGTCTTTTCATGAAGTGGGAGCGGCCACACCTTGGTGATGGATCAGGATCACCCTGCGCCTGAACCTGAGGCTTTAATTAAACTTCTCAAATCTCCACCCTGTGCCACCCTCTGCCCTTCACTCTCCTTGGGCTCAGCTGGAAGGAAGCAAGATTTGAGACACTGAAAAATACAGTGTTTGATTTGCTAATTCCCAAGAAAAGGGAGTTGAGAGAAATTTATGTTCAGGGCTTTAGGAAGCCTGGGTGTTGGCTCCGTCCTAATGCCTGAAACTCACTGCACCCCTGAGGGAGCAGCAGGTTTCCTCCTGCGAATGACTGCGATCTCTCAACTAAACTCCACCCAGGAAACCTGTGTTCACGTGAGGCAGGCGAGAGAATAATGGCTCAGAGACCCAGCAGAAGCCCCTGCTGACCTTGGGGTGTCCTCTAGCACCTGACAGAGGACACACCTGGAGGACCACGTGGCACTGCCGGCCCAGACTTAAAACATGGAATTAATCCCCAATAGGTAAAAAGTGGGAGATTTCCATGAATTCACCAGTTCACACATCATTTATTGCACCCTAGCTGAGCTGGGCACTGCTGTGGGTGCTGGGGATAGACGCTCGGGGAACAGAGACCCTGCCTGCGTGCAGACCCCCTTCGTGGGCCCACGTGCAAGCCGGATCCCTGAACGGATCCAACAGCCTGGGCAGCTGGCACGGGGCTCTCCTTGCTGCAGCATCTGTGGGTGAAGCCGCTGCTCCCTTTCCTGTGGGGACTCTCCGCGCCACAGTCCCCACCACGCCCTATCACTGCCACGCTGGGGCTGATGCCACTTACTGTTTGTCACCACATTGGGTGACGCTTCCTCAGAATGGACCAACAGGGAAAGGGAAGAGCTTTTGTTTTGTTTTGTTTTGTTTTTAATGCTTACCAAAAATAGGAAAACAGAAGACAGACCATGGGGACTGAGTGTTTCCAGAACCCCTGGACGAACATTTCCATACGGTTGTGGAAAATTCGCGGTTGAAAGTCCAAACTCCAAGAGCGGGTTGGCCTGGGCTCTCCCTCAGCCTCATCCTGGCTGGAGGATCAAGCAGCTTCCTGTGTCTCGGACCCTCAGGTTCCTCGTCTGTGAAGTGGGGATGAGAACAGCACCTGCCACTTCTGGCTCTTTTTTAAAACCAATTTTAATAGAGATGGGGCCTCACTATGTTGCCCAGGCTGGTCTCAAACTCCTGGGCTCAAGCAATCCACCCATCTCGGCCTCCCAAAGTGCTGGGATTACAGGGGTGAGCCACCGCATCCGGCCCCTTTTCTGGCTCTTACGAGGGTTGAGTGAGCCTGTACACCTGAAGAATATAGATTGTTAAGTTTCTGCCTCATCATTATCATTTTAACATGCAAATAAAATCCCATCCTGGCCCCCGGTGGTGTTTGATTTTTCAACCCCTGTGAGTGGGCATCAGACTCAGAGCTTTGGGCAGACGAGGCCTTAGCTAGTTGTGAATAACATCATTTTGTCTTCATTTCACGTTCAAGCCACCTTCTGCTTATGGTAAGTGAGAATGATTTTCTGCTTATGGTGGTGAAATATGTTTCCTCTTTAGAGGAATTTAGTGAAGTGAAAGTGAGATGATTTAAAGAAAAACGTGGAATAAGTAATGTGTATGGAACATGGAAGGTGGGAAGTGAAGACTGGAGTTTGAGGAGCCAAGAACGAGTCCAATTTCCTCATTTTATGAGTGAGGAAACTGAGGCCTGGAGAAGGGACAGGACTCACCCAGGGCCACAGAGTGAGGCTAAGGCAGAGGCAAGACCGGAATCCAGGTTGCTGTCCCCAGACTCAAAGTGTGTGGCTGGTCACTGCTGATGGCTCACCCACCAGGGACAGGAGGAGGAGGAGGTGAGGAGGAGGAGGAGGGGAGGAGGAGGAGGAAGAGCAAGAGGAAGAGGAGGAGGGGAGGAAGAGGGGAGGATGAGGAGAAGAGGAGGAAGAGGAGGAGGAGAAGGAGGAAGAGGAAGAGGAGGAAGAAGAGCAACAGGAAGAGGAGGCGGAGGGGAGGAGGAGGAGGGGAGGAGGAGGAGCCGTGTGACATCTGTGGGTAATGAGGCCCCGGCATGGCCTCGTCCTCTGGGGAAAGCCCGTGGGATCCTCTCGGGGCCCATTCACCTCTGCTGGGCCCATGAAGAGGGGTCTGCACGTGGGCTGGGTCTTTGTTTCCCGAGTGGCTGTCACACAACAATGGCAGGTTTTAGTAGCTGCATCAGAGCCTGTGTGCCCTGAAAAGATGTTTGCAGGCCTCACGGGCTCTGGGTCTTGACGGAAGATGTTTGCTGGCCCAGCTCTTCCCTGTGGGGCCCTGGCGTCACCTGTGTCCTTGCTCCCCCATCCTGAACGGTGGCCGCTGGGCAAAGGCCACACCAGAGCCGGCTTTTCCCCATCGCAGATCAGCTGACGGGGCTTCTGTGGGCCTACTCCTGGCTCCCTGTTTCATCCCAGTGGTCTGTCTGTCTGTTCTTGCACTGATACCACTCTGTCGCGATTACTGTCGTTTTAAGATAAGGCTTGAAGTTAGGTATGTGGGTTCTCCAACTCTGTTCTTCCTCACGGTGTTGGCTGTTCGAGGACTTTCGCCTTTCCATAGAACGTCAGACTCAGTTGACATAATCTGCAGAATGCCTTCCTGGGCTTGGCTGGGATTGCAGTGAGTCACCTCTTGGTTTTAATATCCAAAATTCATAGAATGTGCAGATGTCTCCTTGAAAAAATGGCTGATTACATAAGAATGAATCCAACTCCCATTAACAAATCTTAATATACGTGTAAAAAAACAATATCCAGGAACAAATCAAGTGACTTCCGAATATGCCTGTGGTGATCACGTAGACCTGTGTTGAAAAGTGCACCAGATGCCAGCAGGGGCTGAGGGTCGCTCACCCGCACTGACGCGAGCTGCTGGGCAGGGGGCTCCATCCGCGCACAGGTGGCGGTCAGCTGACAACCCTGTTGATCATGTATTTGCCCATCAAGAAGGGACCCTGTCAGTATTGTGCACCCTGACATGATAGCTGGATCTTCATATGTAAGCATTTTCCTGTGCTTTAACTGTTTTAGGGGATTGAGCAGAAATTTTAGGACGAAGTGTTGTAATTTTTTCCATTTGAAATAATGAAAAATGTGTCCTTGGGTGGTGGTTTCATGCACCGATTCTGACTTTTTGCAACAGGATCCTGGTGATGAGAGAAAGCTCCCTGTCCTCTTACTGGTTCTGATGGGTCAGACATGGACTCCGGGAATGGAGGGGCAGGGTTAGTTCCTCCTAAACCACGGGAACTGCAGTGTCAGCGGATCTGACTGATTACCCAAAAGAACACGGGGGTTCGTTTAGCAAGAGGATGGGAAATGGATACTGAAAAGCAAAATAACAGATTTTAGAAAAAAGTTGTCTATCCAAGAGCTAAATATGTGACACATCAATGTGTTCAATGTCCTTACATATTATACATAAGACATCTGTGTACAGATAGGAAGGCAGGACAGGTCTGAGCACCTCCCGCCACCTCTCCCCTCCCGGCTCAGGAGAGCTGCTGATGGCTGCAGCCAGCCCGGCCCCCCGCCCTCACCTGCCCCTCAGTGATAAGAGGCCCCAGGCTTCCTCCCCCTCCAACTGTTTCCTGTCCTCTGGCTGCCTCTTCCCGGCCCATAAACATGCCCGGGGCACATCAATGTTGAAAAGGGCCATTTCTCTGCTGTCCTCATCCCTGAGCTACAGGATACACCTTGTTTCCCACCCACAGAGAATCTTCTAGGGAAATTAGTGCACAGGATAAGCTTTCAAAAGATTATCGGGAGTGTTTTCAGCCCAGTGTTTCCTGTGACCGTGTGGCCCGCCCCTCCAGAGTGATCTGTGTCCTGGGGCTCAGGGCAGACACGGGTCCTCCCTGCCCACAGTCCCCGCCTCCTCCTGATGGAGCAGGCCCATCTGCTGGGAGCACTACCCACGGGGGGGCATACTTAGAGTAACAATCATTCCTGTTTATCTGAAATTCAAATCTGCCTGGAAATTTATTTGCTGGAGGGATCAGCTGTGTTTCCAGGGGCACTTTGCTCCCTTGGTGCCTGTGAGGGGGTTTCTCCTTCCAGAAGAAGTCTCTGTAACCAGCGCTCCCACTTTCCAGGGTCTCCTCACAGCTCAGGGTCTGGGTGGTCCCTGTGGCCTGCAGGGCGGGCTGTTCTCTGTCCCTCCAGCAGGGACAGCGGCTGCAGGTGGGTCTGCAGGGAGGCCGGGTCCCACCAGGTGGAGGCCAGAGCTGGGTCATTCAGTTCTCTCTGCTCTTGTCCTGACACCCTGATGTCAGCTCGGGAAAGAGGGGCCCCTTTGCCTTGGCCACTCCTTGGGGCACAGGCCTCCCTCCCCACCCCACCCCAGCAGTGGAGGCCAGAGCTGCAGGGACACCTGCTTCCCTCACAGGCTGGCCTCACAGCCTAGCCCTGAGAATGTTGATTTGCCTTGTTGGCTGAAAGTGTGTCCAGAATTTGTGGGTTCTTGGTCTCACTGACTTCAAGAATGAAGCCATGGACCCTCACAGTGAGTGTTACAGCTCTTAAGGTGGCGTGTCTGGAGTCTGTCCCTTCTGATGTTCGGATGTGTTCGGAGTTTCTTCCTTCTGGTGGGTTCGTGGTCTCACTGGCTCAGGAGTGAAGCTGCAGACCTTCGCGGTGAGTGTTACAGCTCTTAAGGCAGTGCGTCTGGAGTTGTTCATTCTTCCCAGTGGGCTCGTGGTCTCGCTGGCTCAGGAGTGAAGCTGCAGACCTTCGTGGTGAGTGTTACAGCTCATAAAAGCAGCGTGGACCCACAGAGTGAGCAGCAGCAAGATTTATTGCAAAGAGCGAAAAAACAAAGCTTCCACAGTGTGGAAGGGGACCCGAGAGGGTTGCCACTGCTGGCTCGGGCAGCCTGCTTTTATTCCCTTATCTGGCCCCACCCTGCTTTTATTCTCTTATCTACCATCCTGCTGATTGGTAGAGCCGAGTGGCCTGTTTTAACAGGGCGCTGATTGGTGCATTTACAATCCCTGAGCTAGACATAAAGGTTCTCCACATCCCCACTAGATTAACTAGATACAGAGTGTTGACAGAAAGATTCTCCAAGGCCCCCACCAGAGTAGCTAGATGCAGTGTCGATTGGTGTATTTACAATCCCTGAGCTAGACACAGGGGGCTGATTGGTGTGTTTACAAACCTTGAGCTAGATACAGAGTGCCGATTGGCATATTTACAATCCCTGAGCTAGACATAAAGGTTCTCCACGTCCTCACCAGAGTAGCTAGATACAGAGTGCTGACTGGCATATTTACAATCCCTGAGCTAGACATAAAGGTTCTCCAAGGCCCCACCAGAGCAGCTAGATACAGTGTGGATTGGTGCACTCACAAACCCTGAGCTAGACACAGGGGGCTGATTGGTGTGTTTACAAACCTTGAGCTAGATACAGAGTGCCAATTGGTGTATTTACAATCCCTGAGCTAGACATAAAGGTTCTCCAATGCCCCACCAGACTCCGGAGCCCAGCTGGCTTCACCCAGTGGATCCCGCACCGGGGCTGCAGGTGGAGCTGCCTGCCAGTCCCGCGCCATGCGCTCGCACTCCTCAGCCCTTGGGTGGTCGATGGGACTGGGCGCCGTGGAGCAGGGGGTGGTGCTCGTCGGGGAGGCTCGGGCCGCACAGGAGCCCATGGAGGGGGTGGGAGGCTCAGGCATGGCGGGCTGCAGGTCCCGAGCCCTGCCCCGAGGGGAGGCAGCTAAGGCCCGGCGAGAAATCGAGCGCAGCGCTGGTGGGCTGGCACTGCTGGGGGACCCAGTACACCCTCCGCAGCCACTGGCCCGGGTGCTAAGTCCCTCATTGCCCGGGGCCAGCAGGGCCGGCCGGCTGCTCCGAGTGCGGGGCCCACCAAGTCCACCCTCACCCGGAACTCCAGCTGGCCCGCAAGCGCCACACGCAGCACCGGTTCCCACTCCCGCCTCTCCCCCCACACCTCCCTGCAAGCTGAGGGAGTGGGCTCCGGCCTTGGCCAGCCCAGAAAGGGGCTCCCACAGTGCAGCGGTGGGCTGAAGGACTCCTCAAGTGCTGCCAAAGTGGGAGCCCAGGCAGAGGAGGCGTGGAGAGCGAGCAAGGGCTGTGAGGACTGCCAGCATGCTGTCACCCCTCAAAAGTGCAGAATGGCCTGGTGTATTAGTCTGTTTTCATACTGCTAATAAAGTCATACCTGAGGCTGGGAAGAAAAGGAGGTTTAATTTGACTTTCAGTCCACATGACTGGGGAGGTCTCACAATCATGGCGGAGGGCGAAAGCCACTTCTTCCACAGTGGCGGCAAGAGAGAATCAGGAAGAAACAAAAGCAGAAACCCCTGATAAACCCATCAGATCTCATGAGACTTATTCACTATCATGAGAATAGCACAGGAAAGACTGGCCCCCATGATTCAATTACCTCCACGGAGTCCCTCTCACAACATGTGGGAATTCTGCGAGATACGGTTTAAGTTGAGATTTGGGTGGGGACACAGACAAACCATATCACCTGGGTTTGATCTTGGCACTGAGGGTCTCTGTGAGCTTGAACTCCTCTCCCCAGGAGGGGATGGGCATGGCTGGTGCATTTTACGGCCATGGCAGGCTGATGGAACCAATTTAACAGCTGGCTCATAAAAACCCTCAGATGTGAGAGTCGGCTCCCACAGGCTGCTGTGGGACAGATACAGCTCCCTGATAACCTTCTAGGACCTGCCTGAGCTGGGGGGAGGAGAGGAATCCCGACCCCAGGGGCCTGGACACCAGGGGGACTCCACTCAGATCCTCTGGCCCTGAGCATTCCCAGGACCCCCTCTTGGGCTTCTGTGTTCTTCTCTCTCCAGGGCTGGCTCCTGACACTCCTCTTTGGACAACTGTCCTTAGGCCACTGAGCCCAACCGGCCCCACTGCAGTGAGCTGGAGTGGCCTGGGGGCCAGCCATGCTGAAGCTGCCTCCTCCCAGCTTGTGGGATATGATTTTGGTGTTTACAGTTTTCAGGAATTATATAAACCAGGTATGACACAGGCTGAACGTCAGTCATAGTGAAATTATTCACATCCCAGGAAGCTGGCAGGGGCTGTGCTGCTGCTGCCCCTGGGAGCGAGTTGTTCCACACTCAGCAGCTCGCTGGCTCTCATCCTCCCCACCTAGCGAGGCCTTGACCAGTGACAGGGGTGTGGGAGCCTCCAACAGGGTGGCTGAGGCTGGGTTCACGCTCCAGGGCGCCCCTGCAGGACCACAAGGAAGCCATTGCAGTCAGGAGACCTGGTGCTCACAGCTTTGCTTGCCCTGACCCCATCCCTGTCCCGGCTCCCTCCCGGCCCTCCCTTCATGCACCACCTGTTCCTGAGTCCTCATCCCAGGATCTGCTTCTGGGGACCAGGCCTGATAGGCTCCAAAGCTCTGCTCTTAACCAGCACCGCAGCTGGAGGAAAAGCAGGAGGCATTTGGCTGTTGATGATCATGACATTTTCATTATACTGTGTGGTTTGGGTTTATTTTACCCAAGGAGCACAGTCCACAGAAAATAGAACATTTCAGGAATACCAACCAAGCTAAGTAACATGTTCACATGATATTTATTAAAACTGTGATGAAACCGGCTCCACAAACCATTGATAGAAGATGGGCTGTGTAAAACCGGTACTGGGAAAACGGGTTGTCTGTGTGGAGGAAAGTAAGACTGAATCGCTAACCAATACTGCAAACAAAGATGGAGTCTAGATGGATTAAAAACCTGAATATGAAAAGAGAGAAAATACGAAAACATATAGAGTCTTTGGGAACTTGTGCCTGGGAACAATTTTTTAAACACATTTGGAAAGCATAAACCATAGAAAAATGATTAGTTTTGTCACATCAAAACAAAGGATGCCTGCTTAATGAAGAAGACCATGAACAAAATCATTAGACGACTGGCAAAATGGGAAAAGAGATTTGCAAAGTTTAAAACTGGAACGTGATCAGTGTGTCAAATATACAATGTAACTTTGTAAATCAACAAGGAAACAAGGAGAAATCCCAAAGAATGGACAGAGCGATGTGAGCAGGCAACACCCAGGAGAGGAAATCCCAACAGGCCAAGATGCCACACCCAGGCTGTCTCCTGTCACTCCTGGCGGTGATTAGGAAGCTGGCGGCTCCCAGCCTGGGCAGGGACGCAGGGATGTCCTGCAGGTGGGGGTGGACGGAGGGCCCTGGACCCAGCGGTCCCACCTCAAGTAGACACCCAGGGAGGTGCTGACCCAGGCCCACAGATGACCTCTGAGGCCCACAGATGACCTCTGAGCCTGTCTGTGGGGGCCGGGAGGGGCACAGGACCTGGGTGGGTGTCCCTGGGAGAACAGAGAGGAAAATGGGGTGGGCGCACACGGAGAACCATGCAGCAATGAGACAGCATGAGCTGGTGCACACGGAGCGATATGAGAGCATCTTTAAAACATGATTATTTGTAAAAGTTTACAAATACACAGAATGAAATTAATCACATGAGACCATTGACGTTCATGCCCGGAAACAGCAACGGGCACTCTCCAAGAACACGTCCCAATAAAAAGATCGTCATTACACACGGCTCAGTGATTTCCTAACGGCAGGGAGGGGAATGGGAGGAGGAATGGGAAGGAACGAAAATACATCATAAAGCCTGAAGCCTGAGGGAATCCACGCGCAGAGAGATGAGATGTGATGTGTCACACACTGTGCAGTGGGGTTCATTCACTCCTGACTCTTGAGGGCCAGTCATGAAGTGGGGGAAGAGATGGACGCAGTGAGGTACGGGCTGTGAGACCCGTGGAGACCTCAAAGGCTGGGTGTCAGGATGTGTGTGTCCTCCCTCCCGTTACAGGACAGTGTGACCACACCCCCTGCCTGGCTCTGCCCCTCCAGCCTGGCCCCGCCCACGCCTGACCCAGCCCCCTCCAATGTGGCCCCGCCCCTATGGCCTGACCACACCCCGACCACACGTCTCCACCTTGGCCCCACCCCTGTGGTTTGACCTTGCCCCTCCATCCTGGCTTCCCCCAGTGCTTGACAGCACTCCATGGTTAGACCATGCCCTTCACCCTGGCCCCACCCTTCTGTCTGGCTCCTCCCCTCACCCTGGCCCCACCCCTATCTCCACACCCATGGCTTGGCCACCCCTGTCCATCCTATCCCCACCCCCTCTTTCTAGCCATTTCCTTCTCTGATCCCTCACCTCTACCCTGGCCCTGCCTTTACGGTGTAACCACACCTCTCCACCCTGACCAGCCCCTGTGGCTTGACCCCACCCCTCCATCCTGGCCCCACCCCCCATGACTTGACCACACCTTGACCACACCTCTCGTTCCCGCAGATCGAGCCCGCCCCTCCCCTACAGCTTGACCACACCCTGACCACACCCCCACCGTGGCCCCGCCCCTGTGGTTTGACCCCGCCCCTCCAACCTGGCCATGCCTCCTGTTTCACACCTGGCCCCACTGCTTCAGCACAGCACACCTGCAGAGGGCAGGAATGATCCCAAGGTGGGTGTAATGAGCTTTAATCTGTTGGAGTCAAGCCCAGCGCTTTGGAAACCCCTGGTTCTGCTCAGGCCTGAACCTGAGCAAGGCCCCTTCTCTAATCCAAACCCTGACTCCATCGGGTGGTGGGCGGCCTGCACTGGCTCTGGGCCCGGGACAGCTGTGCTCTGTCTATCCCCCTTCCCCAGCTGTCCTGTGTCTGCGCACCTGTGTCAGCACCTGAGGAAGGCAGCGCACTTGGTCTGTGGGGAGGAGCCTGTAGGGATGGGGTCCCCCATAGCTCCCCTGCCGCCCACATCCAGCCTGCCCAGTCTCCCCACCGGGAGCTCCCCTGAGTACCAAGACAGTGACACTCTGTGCACGAGGACCCCGCTGTGCAAACTGAGAATAATGAAGGCATTGAAGCCAGGCCAGCGGTGCCAGCAACTTCGTACCGCATTTCTCATGTTATTTCAATGTTGCCTCAGTCAGGAAGATTTTCTAGAGCCAGGATAACGGGGCGGCCATCGGTAGACGCGGCCTTGAGAGGAGACTTCTGGTCCGCGTATTTGAGGTCCCTGGACCGGAGGCCACTTCCCTTCTCCAGGCACCAGGGCTGGCGGTGGCCGAGGGAGCCACGTGCCTTTCTGGCGTCGGTTTCTCCTTCTGTACAACGGGCCTCGTGGAGCGCCCCTCCTAGGGCTCTGGGTTTATTTTCTAACTTTCATGGCTGCGTCCACGTTTATCCGTCCCCACTGCCACCGCCACCGCCACCACCACCGCCACCTCTTCCCAGGAGAACCGCAGTCCCCCAGCCCTGCTGCCTCTCACCGCCACCGGGCCATTCTCTGCAGGGGGCCAGAGTCACCTTTTGCTACGTTCACTGAATGGTCACTTGCTCCCCGAAAATCCCCTCTGTGGCTGTGCGTTAGCCCCAGCCCGAACCACAGAATGCAGCCAGAAGGGAGGCCTGGCCCCGCCACCCCACAGGAGAGCGGGAAACACAGAGCCGGGGCGAGGACTGGTAGGGGGCCTGGAAAGAGGGGACAAGGAAGAGGGCCAAGGTTGGAGGATGCAGGGAGGAGGGGTCAGAGAGGAGCAGGGAAGATAGGCAGGGAGGAGGATGCAGGCTGAAGGGCGCAGGGAGGAGGAGCAGGGAGGAGAGGCCTCATGAGCCGGGGGCTCAGGGAAGCGCGGTAACCTCCCCCAGGCTGGGGCAAGGGGAGGGAAAGTGGGCAGGGCTCAGGAGTCCCCTCAACTGCTGGACCAGGGAGACACCCACCTCCCACCCAGCAAGGTCCATCTTGGCTGGGGACAGACAGTAGGGCAGAGGCGCCACCAGGGTTGGGACCACATGGAGGCACTGCGGTGGGAGCTGGGGGCTGGGGAGTGCCCTCCTCTCAGGCTCCTCCCACGTCGGGTTCCTACCCACTCCTGTTGTCAGAACCTGGCCATCTTCTGCCCAGGAGCCTCAGGCTATCTCTACAGGGCAGAGCAGGGGTGGTGTGGCTGAGTCGGCAGGATACACACACACACTCACATACTAAAACACACATGCTCATGCACACGCACACACACATGCACACGCACACACTCATGCACACATACTCACATCTTACAGAACGCACACACACTCACACACCCATTTATGTACTTACACTCACATGCACTCACACACTCACATTCAGCACTGAGGCAGACAGGGCTTGGCAGGCTGACAATAGAAAAACGAAATTCTACCAAGATATTGAAAGAGGTTATTCTGAGCCAGTATGCGTGCCCGCAGCCCAGGAAACACAGCCTGGGCAGTTCCTGAGAGTGCCCCAGGGGCTGGTTACGGCTGATTTCATGCATTGCAGAGAGACAGGGCCTGCAGACACAATCACGAATCCATGCAGGGAAGGGATACGTCGGCTCAGCCCGCAAAGGCGGGACCACGGGAGGCCGGGGCTTACCAGTCACCGGTGGGTTTCCGGGATCTTTTTAGCTCACAGCTGGCTGAGAGAGCCAAGCTTTGTCTAAAGTCTTGGAGTCAGGAGAAGGGGTGCTGGGGTTAAGAGAACGGGTCTGCTGTCTGTCACCTGAGCCGTACCACAGTCAGGCTGGAAGGTGAGCCCCATTATACCAGGTTAATAGAAAAGCCCATTTCATGAGATTTTATGGTTTGTAGGGTGTGACTCCCCAGGACTCTTTGAAAGGAATCTGGGCAAGAGATGAAAAGGTCAGAGTTCAGTCCTCAGGGGACTGACCCTTGAGCCTGGGATCCATCTCCCTCCACCTTCCCCCAGCCCTGCTGAACCTCATTAATCCCAGGACACCGTGGCCTCCCCATGGGCCCTGACCCCTCTGCCCTCTGCCAGCGAGGCTCCCTCTATGTCCTGGCGGGTCCTGCTCACCCTGCCCCTCTCTGCCCAGCCCCTCCCCAGGGGGCGTGTCCCCACCCACGTCCCCCAGGCCTCGGCCCCTCCTGCACCCACTCGGCACTGCAGGACTGGTTGGTGTCCAGTTCAACTCTGTCCCTGACACAGGACCCTGTGCTCAGACTGCCCAGCCCTGCCTCACACACGGTAGGTGCTCATTAATTGACTGTGGAGGGGTAGTGGCCTAGAGAGGAATCTGGGTGTGGCCAGGTGGTCTCAGCATCTCCATCTCACCCTGGAGGGCTTCCTGCAGGAGGGTGCACTGGCCCCACAGAGAGCGCCTGTCCTAAGAAAATAATAGAAGGAGGGCTCTGCTTCCGGGCTCCAGCAAGTGCTTAGGAGCCTGATCTGGGGCCACCTGCAGGTCTGTCCACACTGGAGATGGCACAGCTCTGTGCCAGCCGCGCAGGGGACTGTGTGCTGAGCCAAGGGAGCCAGCACTTCTCTCTTGAAAAGCTGAGGCTGTAGGAAAAGGGGGGCTGCAGGCCAAAAGCCTCTGCGACACTCAGCACATAGTGGGGAAGGGGGGCGTCCCTAGGGTACCAGGAGGGAGAACCATGGCCCAGGAGTCACTGCCAACCCCATCCGGCCCTACCTGGCTGTCCACCAGGCCCCTGGCTCTTCCCCAGACCCAAGCTGCCCTGGGCCATTCTCCCAGGTCCCTGCCCCTGCCCTGGGCCAGGCCACCGTCCCTGATCGCTGGGCCAACAGCAAGGGCCCTGCCTGTGCAGGTGCCAGATGTGATCCCATCGCATGGCAGGGCTGAATTCAGCCACAACTCTTAGAAAGGAACAGAGAAGCCTGCACAGAACGCAGTGGGGACTGAGATGCGGCAGCGATCCTGCCACCCTGGAGGGAGGGAGGGAGGGCACTGCCAGAATTCTCACTTCACACCTCTATGTTCATCCTGAGATAGGAACGGATCCCTTGTTTATGGGGCAGACCCACACACCATATGTGGACTCTGTCCTAACGCCGGCACAGAGGGCAAACTGCTTGGTCAAAATCGCCCTTAGAAATCACCCCAAAACACAGTGCCCAATGGTTCTGCAAAATATATACAGAACAGACGCAAACATATTCAGGATGCAGAACACAGACTGAAATGAACAGCGGATAATAAATGGCGTATGTGTTAAATCTAACTGGGCATATTCGATTTGAACTATTTCTCTCATTTTGTCTTGCAAAATGCATATCTTGGAATTCCTATAACTCACATGTGGATATGGTGAGAATCCAAAGTTGCTGAATCATGGAATAGCCAGTCAGAGCCCAGGCTCCCTGAACAGCACTGGGCAGCCACCACCTCACAGGTGCAGAGTCTCACGTCAGCAGAACCAGAAAATCAATTACCCGCGCCACGGCTCCACAGTGAGGGCCGCTGTGAGCTGAGGGGCCTCTTGGGCCAGGCCCTGCTCTGAGCACCTTCCAGGCAGGACTCACTCAGCCCAGCACCCCAGGAGGTGAGCTGGCTGCTGCCCTCATTTTATGGAGGAAGAAACAGAGACATTAAGGAACCTGTCGCAGGGAGCACAGGAGTGAGAGGGGAGTGGGGTGGGGCCTGTGTGATTTTGATTCCTGCTCTGAACTGGCCACACTTGTGTTCAGTCCCCCATGAGGTCACCTGTGCCTGATTCCTCTTGGTAGCCTCAGTGACACACAATTCGTGAGGGAATGAATGAATAAATGAAAGAACAAACCAACAGGTGTGGGTCACTGTCCCCAAGTGATGCTCTTTGAGCCAAGCTCAACCTTCTCGGCCCGGGTGGTCAGGGGAACGTTCACTGCTCAAAGAGTCCCCTCCACTCTGCCAAACACCCCCTGTGCCTACAGAAGCCACGCCCAGGAGCCCCTCTTAAGGTTCACAGTAGCTGAGTTTCCCCAGGTCACTGACTCCCAGGCGGCACTGGGCCCATCTTAGGCTATGGTGGGACTGAGGCTGGTGGGACCAGGACCTGAGGGCACTGGGACAGCCCGGGAAGCCAGGTCTTGGTGGGTGGAGAGGCCACCACCCCAGGCTCTGCTCGGAGGCCCCTCAGCCTCCCTGGCTGTGTCCAGCAGGCTGACCCTCGGGGTCCGGGCTCCGAGTCCACTAGCTCCTGCCTGGGTTTGGCCAACAAAGGGCACAGGCAGGAGCAGGAGGAAAGAAGGAGGGGGCACAGGGTGGGCCCCATGCCCTGAGGTTTCCTGCTGCATCCTCCATGGCCCAGAGTCCCCGGGACAGCCCTCTGCATCACTGCCTCCCACTGACCTGGGCAGGGCCCTATATGCCCCCTCCTTGCCCCCCAGCCCCAAGGCTGTGGCTGTGGTCACTCTCTGGGTGGCCCCAGGCCCTGCACCTAAATCTGCAGTGAATTCCCCCTGTGCTCTCCTGCCTCCCATCGAGTCACCCTCAGCCTCCCAAGGAAGTCGGAGCCCAGTGGGGCCAAGGGGGCTGGCTGGGGTGGGGCTCCCCGTGGTCACCGGCTGTTCTAAACCATGGCCCTGTGGCAGCCTCGCAAGACAGAGGAGGATGTGGGGACAGAGGGCAGGACGTGTCTGAGGCCACATGGTTTGGGGCCCGTGAGGAGAGAGGCCTCTCCCCTTGGTTTCACCTGGTTCTTCCACCTGGGAGGGGTGCAGCTTTCTTCCTGCTCCCACCTGGGCCCCACAGGCCACAAGCTCCTGGGGCGGCCTGTGGTCTTCCTCTTTCTCCCTGTGTGGGGCCCGGGGGCTTTAATGCTGTTAAGCTGCCCTGAAGCATTTGTCCTGGGCTGCGGAGGCCAAGGACAGGGCCTGACGGGGTGAAATGCAGTTTCCTCCCAGGTCTGGGCATCCCCTGGTCTCCCTTTCAGATTTAACTGTCATTTCGGAATTCCAGTTTTCAACACAGATCTGCCCTCACCTCGGGGCGGCCACTCCTCCCAGTGGAGAAGCAGGTTCACTAATTACCAATGCCAGACAGCCCCCCCGCTGCCTGGGGGTCATCGCTGTGCCAAAGCCCGGAAGCCAGGTCCACCTGCTACCCCCGCATCCTGGGCTGCTGTTTAAGGCCACCATGCCTCGGTCACCTATTTGTCTGCAAATTTATTACTCACAGGCAGCAAGAAACAACAGAAGGCTGGGTCCGTAGTGAGCCCATCCCCCAGGCTCAGCCAAGCTGCCAGGGTGGATGGAGGCTGGACTGTGCCCTGCTTCAGCACAGCTGAGGGACCCTGCAAGGCGGCCCACCCTGGGCTACATGCCTTGGGGGACGCGTGACCAGAGGGTGAAGCTTTGAAGGGCAGCCGGCGTGCAGCAGAGAGAGGAACAAAGCCCTCACTGTCCCAGGAAGCTCTTCCCTAACTCAAGGTGCTGCATTCCCCAGAGGCACAGGGGCAAGTCCTGGGCGTGGTTTCAGGCAGTTCCTCTCTAGCTGAGGGTGCTGCGTTCCTGCACATTCTACAACTACTCTTGAGAACTACGAGTGAGAAAGGGGAGAGAACCGAGTCGGTCCAGGCCACCCACAGAACTGTCCCGCACCGGGACCCAGGGCAGTTGGCTGTGGGTGGGGCTCCTGCTCGCAAGGATAGGAGCTTTCCCTGCAAAGGTCAGTTAGCAGGGAGGTGAACTTCCTCCAGGCCCCCGTGGGAGTGAAAGAGGGAACTGTCCCTCCATCCGAGGTCCAGGGGCCAGAAGCGCTCACGGAGGACTTCGGTGCCTCTCAGGGGCCTGGTCCTATTATGATGTGAGAGCTGGAGGCCTCAGAACCAGGAGAAAGAAAAGAAACACGTGATTCATTTAACAAAAATCAGATTAACGCACTAGGAAGTCTCAGGACCCAAGGAAAAAGTGAACCTCGGCTTTCTTCTTGCTAAAATTTCAAGTTCAGCTATTACGTTCTCAGATAATTTGTCATAAAAACTGGATATTTTAGGTCAGAAGCCTATTGAAACTTGTCCTTACCGTTCAAAAAAAAGACAAATCAGTGTTAGGGTAAAGAAATGCTGGGTTTCATGTCCTGAGTTAGATCATTTTTAAACAAACCTGGGAGCCGGGGAGTGTAATTATAGTAATCCATGAACTAAAGTTTCAGAGTCTGTTAGGGAAATAAATGTTTTCTTACAGCAGTTGTAAAAATAAATCCAGTTAGCACAGCGCAGCAGGATTGATGATTGGCTGCTCATGGTTATGTATGAATAAACTATTGTCAGCCTCAGAAAAGACATCGGAGAAAAATATCCCCACATACGTTGAATTTATTTGGGGATAGAAAAAGAGGATGAGAATCCCAAATGCACTGTGGCAAGTAACAGGTGCCTCCAGTGAGGTAGGGTAAGAAAAAGCTTTCATTGGCACAGGGGAGAAGTTCGCCTGAGCTGCTCTGACACAGTTCACTGGTTCCAGGGACCCACAGCCAGAATGCTGTCGGTTTCTTGAAGGAGGTGTTGTCACTGGGAAGTGGTCTTTTGAGAGCATCTGATCAGAATCACTGCAGTCCTCAAGAATGTCTGGTGATAGATAACCCTGGCCGTAGAAATGCGTGTACGTGTGAGCCACGCAAGCCCCGCCAGGCCGGAGATGCGCGACGGACGCAGAGGGCCTTCTTGTGGGGCTTCAGAAAGTCCTTGGAAACAGCTCTGATCTCAGACACGCAGCAGCGTCCTCCCCTCCCCCAGGCCTCCTGACCCTGTTTCCTCTGGGTCTGACAAGAGTGACTTCATCCTGGTGTCTGTCACTTTCATACTACCGATAGTGTCAACTCAATTCCAGGATCCAGAAACATAAATCGGGCTGCAGTTAAACAGATCAACAAAAGCAAACACGCACAGCCTCCTGCGGTGCCACGGTTCTCACGGCGACTTTCTCCCGGTGTAGACCGCTGTGTGTGGCTGCCTGGGGAATCCGGGGTCGTGACTTAAGACAGAGGGCAGAACACTCTGGACAGTTCTGATGTCTAAATGGTGTTGGCCGCCCCTCCTGTGCCGTGCTGGGTCCCAGCGAGGGGAAGATGGAGAGGGAGGACCCTGTCCAGAGTCCCACCGTGCGACGTTGGAACTGCAGGAAAAGGAGGGTCTGAGCAAGTCCCCACCGCCCCACCACTGCTCCCCTCCACGGGGCTGGGCCACCTGCCTGAGGCCCCATCCTGTCCCCACCCACGTCCTGTCAGAACCCACAGGCTGGGGTGCTCAGAGACCCGGAGCATCCGGGAGGGATGGAAAGCTCTCAGGACAGACGTCCAGGAAAATGTCACTTCTCTTAATGGCTCTCCTTTCCGGGGCTTCCTTAATTAGGATAACGAGGCTCTGCATGCTTCCCTGCCTGCCAAGCACAGCGGTTGAAATTTTATATTAGAAACATTAATTTCCTCTCATAGTAGAATTATTTTTTAATTTTACTTTGAAGTGTGGTCTCTGCATGAAATACAAGCCTAATTAGATCATGGTGGTAATGTATTCAAACCATAAGAATGAGAAGTGATTTGAAACTCTCTCTTGTTCCCACACCCTTTATAATTCAGCAGTAAACAGTGTATTTATGGGAGTGGGTGAACAGTTACCGGGTGCACCACCATTGCCAGACATTTATCAGGGACCCTGGGGCTCTGCAGGAGCCAAGAAACCCAGGACATTCCGAAGCTCCTGCTTCAGGGGTGAGCACAGCTGGGGAGGTGGGACAGGATCCAATATCAGAGAGGAGCTGGGGTCTTGCTGAGCACAGGGGTGTCTGGGGAGAGCAGCTGGGGGCTCATCAGAGCAGACAGAAACTCTGGGGACGGGTCTCCAGTCGTGGGTGCCGCGGGCACCAGGATGTTACCAAAGGCTTTGATGGAAGTAGCGTTTCCTAAACATCGGCCCACCTAAGTGGTGGGAGGGGTGCAGCGGGCACAGCCTCAGAACCTGGCTCTCCACGGCCCCCTCATTTCTCTCCGAATTTTCCCAGGCTGAGAAGACTGAAGTTGGGGTGTGAGGGACAGAGAAGGGTACCAACCAGGACTCCATTTGTCAGGGACAGAACCCACTTCAAACTGGCTTACAAATGAAAGGGGGCTGGGTGCGGTGGCACACACCTGTAATCCCAGCACTTTGGGAGGCCCAGGTGGGCAGATCACGAGGTTAGGAGTTCAAGACCAGCCTGGTCAACATAATGAAACCCCATTTCTACTAAAAAAAATTAGCCGGGCATGGTGACACATGCCTGTAATCCCAGCTACTCGGGAGGCTGAGGCAGGAGAATCGCTTGAACCTGGGAGGCAGAGGTTGCAGTGAGCCGAGATCACGCCAGTGCACTCCAGCCTCAGTGACAGAAAGGGGATTTATTGGTTCATGTAACTCAGAGGTGCAAGGGTAGCTACCTTCAGGTGTGGCTGGATCCAGGGGCTCCTGTGATGCAGCTGGGACCTCCCCCTGCCCTCAGCTCTGCCTCCCTCCATGATGGCTCCATGGTCAGCCAGGCTCCCCTTGGCATCTTCATCTGCGTCCAACAGGGGTGGGCTCCTCCAAGGCAAAGCAAAGGCCATTACTGGAGAGGGGGAGGCAGCTGGTGCAGAAACCAGTGCCCCTGGTGGATGGGAGGGTGGGGCTTTTCCTGAGATGGAAAAGGCAGACTGAGGGGCACAGGCTGCTGTGGCCCAGACTAAAGCCATCACCATCTGGTCTGCCTGGTCTGTGGGGACCCTCCTGGGCCTCAGCGCCCCCTCTGCAGCGGAGCCCACCCACCAGGGCCCACTGATCCCCATTCCCAGGGGTGCGGGGCTCCTCTGCTGGAAGAGGGTTCTGGGCCAGTTTGTCTCTGGGGCACTGAGGAGGGCAGGTGCTGCTCCACCAACCCCGCTTCCCCGCGGAGATGCCCTGGAGCTCAGCTCAGGTGAGTTTCCGCCCCACGAATGAGGGGTCAGGTTCTCCATGGAGACGGCGCTGGGGGATGCTGTGCAGCCGCTGAAGCGGAGGCCTGGGAGGGTTGTTTTATTGTCATGAAGAACCATTTACAAAACACCATGCAGTGAGAAAGTCAGGGTTAAGAAGAACTTGGGGCTGGGCGCAGTGGCTCACGCCTGTAATCCCAGCACTTTGGGAGGCCGAGGCGGGCCGATCACAAGGTCAGGAGATTGAGACCATCCTGGCTAACACGGTGAAATCCCGTCTCTACTAAAAATATAAAAAATTAGCCAGGTGTGGTGGCAGGCGCCTGTAGTCCCAGCTACTCGGGAGGCTGAGGCAGGAGAATGGCGTGAACCCGGGAGGTGGAGGTTGCAGTGAGCTGAGATCGCGCCACTGCACTGCAGCCTGGGCGACAGAGCAGGACTCCGTCTCAAAAAAAAAAAAAAAAAAAAAAGAATAACCTGGACGTAGTGGTTACATTTTTTGTTAACAAAGAAAAACATATCACTTGTCTGTATTTGTGTAACTTGGGAAAGATTTGGCCATAGAGAAGGACATTTTTCCTTTTATTTAATACTTGTACAGTGTACAGTATTACACTGTACAGTGTACATTCTCTAAATTTCCTCCAATGATGAGTTGTGCTTAGAACAGGAAAATGTCGGGAAAGTTAATTTAAAAAGGAAAAATTGTAGGGCAGGTGGCCCCTCTCTGTGGGAGCAGGGCTTTTTCCGGAGATGTCAGAGGGGCCGCGTTGGGCTGGGGGCCTTGACCCAGGGGGCTGGGACTGGGGAGGCCTCTCTAGGTGAGGCATCTCAGGGCAGGAACAGAACTGACCAAGGTTCCTGAAGGAGAAATCAGGCGCCTGGGATACCCAGGGAATTAGGCATCAGAAGACAGCCAGGGAGGGACAGTTTCTGTGCAGGAGGCAGCCAAGCCCAGGAGAGGAGCCCGCACCGCCCCGCACTGGCCACCCACCGCTGCCCTTGCCTCCCTGTCCGAGGAAGAAATGAAAACCTCACTCAGGCCTCTCAGGCGCAGGGACCTCAGAGGTGGGGACTGTTTCCTGCTCCCCCGAGTGCAAACGCTGGGCCTGCCCTGCCCACGCCTGCACCCCCAATGTGTCCAGTTGCTCAATTCTTCTATTTTTTACGCTTTAAAAACTTAAATCATTCACATACCATAGAATTCACCATCTCAAACTGCACAAGTTAGTATTTCTAGTACATTCCTAAGTTTATGCAACAGTCACCACTATCTAATTCCAGAGTATTTTCATCACTACCTGATATGGTTTGGCTGTGCCCCACCCAAATCTCATCTTGATTTGGCTGTGTCCCCACCCAAATCTCATCCCCATAATCCCCACATGTCACGGGAGGGACCCAGTGGGAGGTGATTGAGTCAGGGGGGTGGTTTCCCCCATGTCATTCTCGTGATAATGAGTGAGTCTCTGATGGTTTTATAAGTATCACATTTCCCCTGCTGGTGCTCATTCTCTCTCCTGCAGCCCTGTGAAGAGGTGCATTCCGCCATGATTGTAAGCTTCCTGAGGCCTCCACAGCAATGTGGAACTAAGTCAATTAAACCTCTTTCCTTTATAAATTACCTGGTCTCGGGGATTTCCTTATGGCAATGTGAGAACAGACAAGTACCTGACCCCACCCTCAAAATTATATGCACATTCCAGGTCACTCCCTATTTTCTATCCCTCACCTCCAGCTCCTGGCAACCATGAATCTGCTTTCTGTCTCTGTAGTGCTGGCTGCTCTGGACGTTTTCTATGAGTAGGATCATAAAACACATGGCCATGGTGTGTGCCTTCTTTCTTCTGGCATTATGTTTTTGAGGTGCAGCCGCATGGTGGCCTGTGTCAGTGCTTCATTCTCTCCATGGCTGAGGACACAGGCACATTCCATGGTGTGAACACACCATGCTTTGTTTATTCATTCGTCTTTCAATGGGCATTGGGGTTGTTCCCACTTTTTGGGTACTGTGAATAATGCTGCTATGAACATTCTCATACTAGTTTTGGTGTGAACATATGTCTGCAATTCCCTTGTGTATAAATACCTAGGAGCAGAAGCCGGGTCAGATGGTAGCTCTGTTTAATTTTTTAAGGAACTGCCAAACTGTTTCTACATTGGTTGCACCATGTTACTTTCCCACCAGCAATCTATGAGAAATCCAGTTTCTCCACATCTTCACTGCACTTGTCATTTCTGTTTTGTTTTTTATTATAGCCCTCAGCATGAGTGGAAAGTGGTACTTCCATAATGAGTAGCTGCTGAGTATCTTTTCACGTACTCATTGGTCATTTGTGTATCTTCTTTGGACAAAGGTCTCTTCGAATCCTTTGCCTACTGTTTAATTTGGTTATTTTTCTTTATATTGTTGAGTTCTAAGAATTTTTATATATTCTGGATACTTGTCCCAGATGTATGATTTGCAAATATTTCACTCATTCTCTGGGTTTTCTTCTCGCTTTTTTGATCATGAACTTTAATGCACAAAAGTTTTAAATTTTGATGAAATTCAATTTATGTATTTTTTTTCCTGTGGTTGTATGTGCTTCTGATAGCACATCTAAGAGAGTGCTACCTAATCCAAGACCATGAAAATTTACACTTACTTTTTTTATAAGAGTTTTATACTTTTAGCTCTTACACTTAGGTCTTTGTTGCATTTTGTGTTTGTTTTAGTCTAAATCTCTGACATGAGTAAAGCAGGACTCACCCGATAGCAGGTGCTCTCAGATCCCTGCCCATCCATTTCCGGCCAAAAGAGCCTTCAAGACAGGTCCAGCAGTGCCAGGAAGCTGAGGAGGAGGGTTGTTGTGACCACAAGGTCTGGAGACGGGAGGGCAGGGGTGTGTGTGTGTGTGACTATGTGTGAGTGTGTGTATGTATGTGTGTGTGTGTGTGTGTGTGTGTGTGTGTGTCCCTCTTGCAGCTTCTTAGTGTACCTGCAAATGCCCCCAAGAGCAGTCGGCATGCCTGTCCTGGGCCTGTGGCCCTGATGCCCTCCCATCCATGCCCTGCCCTTCCTGCTCTGCTGTGAATCTGTGGGGTCTGGGGGAGCAGAGGCATAGAACTGGGCTTCCCACACCCCTGGTCAGCTGGCCTCAGGCTGGGTTGAGACAGCGAGAGGCCCTGGTGGGCGATGGGGCCAGGGAGGACCTGGGGTATTTTCCCACCCTTCTCCAGAGACTTCCACATCCTAGAGCGGGGCTAGAAGCTGACGTGGTCCCCACAGCCCAAGTACCCCAGTGCCCTTTCTGCACCCCCTGCAAGGCAGAATGAATGTATTTTCTTAAAGTTATGGTTAATTCCCTCTTGTTTCTGCAAAGCCCCCACACCCACACCTTCTACCACATTACTTTGAACTTGAGTGAGTTTTCCTAGAATTGACTAAATTATGTTTTCTGCATCAGTCAGAATATTGTGGTAAAAGAGAGACTAACTCCAGTTACATAAAAGTAATTGCATTTGGCATGACTGAGCTTATGAATTCTGAAATGCAAGCCCTCCGCAGCCGACACAGGAGGCTGCTGTTGGGATGCCTGTCACAGCGCAATCTGTCCTCATTCAGCCCGGCCTCACCCCCCACCATCCCCTAACCAATGGACACGCAGGGCACTGGGCCCAAGGAGAGCCTGCTCTGAGTGTGAGTCCAGGTAGAAGGCCCCGCTCAGGAACCCAAAGCAAAAAGAGGTCAGCATGGTGCCATGTCTACAGCGTTGCCACTGCTCAGCCCATTGATTAGGGGACAGCTTCCCCCACTCAGCTTCCCATACCCTCCAGTTCTCCCGCAGACCTAGGAATAGAGCCAGGCAGGCTCTGGCCCACGGGCTCGAGTGGTGAGAACTGGGGCTCCTGGTCCACATCCCACGCCATCCCAGCAGCTCAGGGGTTGCTGGCAGAGGCGAGGACACAGGACTGAAGGGGCTGTAGCCACGGTTCAGCCACACGAGCCTGGGGGAGAAAGGCAGCCCCTAGGCATGGCTGTGTTCTCTCCTCTGCAAGAGGACTGGGCTGCCTTTTTCTGCTGGACCGAGGGTCTCCAGCTCAGAGAACCCTGGGACTGCCTTTCCAGTGGGAGTGAGAAGGCAGCTGCCAGCTCCCCCACCCAGCTGCTCACAGGCCCACGGCCCCATCCCACACACCCCTCCCCAGGGAGAGACAGTCACCCTCCCACGTCTGCCCTCCTGCCTCTGCTCTTCACAACACCATTTTTCTCTTCTTTGGGGAAAGTCTGCCCTCATCCTGTGTGTTGGGCCAGGCTTAGCTGTGTCAGCACACAAACACCTAAAACTCAACGACCTCATGAGGAAAACACTCATTTCTCTCCTCACAGGAATGTGGAGTGGTCATGGCAGTTGGGAGGAAGGCTCTGCTCCATGCAATCACTCAAGGACCCAGGCTGGTGGCTGCTCAGCTACCATCAACATATGGTTTCCAGGATCATCTGGGTGTCACCATCCCAGTCAACAGGAAGAAGGGGGCCATGTCAGGTGATCACGGGAAGTTTAGGGCCCAGGCCTGGATGTGATGCACATAGCTTCTGCCCACATTCCCCTCTGCCCACATTCCCCTCTGCCTACATTCCCCTGCATAAAGGTGGTTACCTGACTATGCTCACTGCAAGGCAGATTGAGAAATGGAGTCAGCTCTGGTCCCAGGAGGGAAAATGGACTTGGGGAATAGCCAGCCACGTCTGCCCAACTGTCTTCTCATCAGGGTGCTTCACAAACCTCCCTGAGGTCACCTGTTGGTTTCCAGGTCTCTGTGCCTCTGTGCCACGTGTTCCTATGTCTTCAACAGGAAATAGGAAAATTCAGAAAACTGCTCAGAGATCTCAGGTGCCAAGAACCCCAGGCCTATGTACTTTGTCCTCTGCATGAGTTCAGTGTGGACTTTCCTAGCTGAGAATCTCATTGCTGAGATTTGCCGTTTGGGAGCCACATGGGTGCATTTGAGGGCATGGACTGAATTCTTCATGTTTTTCCTGATAGTTGAGTCTCAGGCTGGCACCCACCAGTGTGGGTAACACTTTGTGGTACAGGAAGTTCAGGACTTGAATCTGCTACTGGGAAATGCAGTCTCCTCCGCGTGGGTGAGGTTTCTGCACAGACTCGGGCATGTGGGTGGAAGGATGTTAAGTGCCCAGAGCTCTCCAGAGACGGAAGCAGCAGAAGTCATCATTCGCAGCACAGGTTTTAAAATTGCATTTCTTCCTCCCAGTGCCCTTGCTCAGGATGAGCGCTGGGTGGAGACGTCTCCTTGGTGGAGTGAGAACCTCCCGGAGGCCTGCTTTCTCTGCTCTCTGACAGAGCGCAGCTGGGCCCGGTCGTTGAAGGGTGATTTTCTGCCCAGCACTGACAGCCCCTCTGGAGGGAGGACTGAGCTGAGACCCTCCAAAGTCATGGTGCCGTGGGTGACAAGGGAAGGCAGGCTCCGGAGGTGCTGCACAAGCTCGAGGCCAGGCGTCTTCTGCGCATTTGTTGAAGTTACAGAGCCCTCGTCATGATCCCGGGGTGGAAAGTGATGCTCCTCCACTCTCCATTTGTGGTTGTTGTGCAGTGACTTGGTAACAGGCGCTGCTGGTGGGGAGTGGAGGGCACTGAGATTGAGGCAGATGGAGATGGGAGCAGGGTCTGCCCGGTTCATTTCCAGCACACATTACTGCTTTTCCAAGAGTAAGTGTTAAATCCTGACAACAAACTCTCCTGAAGACTCATCCCTCAGATTAAAGGCACTGACAAGTTCTGCAGTAAAAGAAAGTCATGCATTCACTTTGCTAATGCACTGCTTGAAAAAAATGGAAAAATTACCGCAGAATACTGTTTTCATGCAATGTCTTCATATTCTATAGAACTAGTGTGTGCAGGAGACACTGTGAAAGAGGCAGCCCTCTAAAATGAAGACAAAACTCCTGAGCCTGGCAATCGACACCTTCAAAAGTTTGATTCCCCTCATTATGGTCAACACCAACACAGTGACTGCATTTGCCACATGCTGTTCCAAAGCTTTGCTACGTTAACTCATTTACTCTTCACCATAAGCAAATGAGGTTTGACAATGATGCTTCTCACTTTCAAGATGAAGATGGTAATACTCGGAGTTCCCAAGATGCACCAAGCGAGGAGAAGGCCCAGGTCTGGGACCCCTATGACAGCTTCTCCAGTAACAAATGGCCCTGAAATCCCAGCAGCAGCACAAAACCTCAGTTCTTTCTCACTCACATTCCACGAGCACAGTGGGCTGGGGCTTGGCTCAGTTCCACGGAGTCACTCGGGACCCCGATGACCTGCACCCTCATGCCCACACTGGACACAGCATGTGGCCCCTTAGTCAGGGAAGCAGGAAATGTGCAGCTGGAGGGGCCCAGGGGGCTTTTCTCCACCTCAGCCAGGTGTCACCAGGTCCCTCCTGCCCTAAGTCCATTGGCCAGGACTAGTCACAAGACTCTGCCCATCAGCAGGGGGGCGGGACATATGTGGACAGAGGGAAGGTCAGGTGGGAGCCACACCTCCACCCATCCCCCTGCTTAGACCACACAGAGGGGTCTTAGAGGGCCTTTAATTTATGATCCTGTTTCTGAGATGAACACGAAGACCTCTCGGACACCAGAGCCCAGAGGACAGAGTGTGTTTGAGCAGCCTTGTGATCGAGATTGTTTCCCACCCAGGGGGCAAACGCACCCAGGAAAGCCCCCATCGAATCCACTGAAAATGGAGAACCCACACCCCAGGGGAAGCTCAGAGCCTGCTCCATGGCTGGCGGCCAAATGCACACGGAGCCTCTGCTCAGTGTTACAAGGAAGGTTTTCACTGCACAGAAAACTCTCTTCTCTGGACTTGAGAAACAACCAAAGCAATGGCTCGTGGTGGATCCTAGCACCGTGAGGCCCAGGAGAGGGGAAGCTTCCAAAACCAGGGAGCAGGGGAGCGGCTGGAGGCGCTCGCATCCGCACCTGCTGCACAGCAAAGTGCCGCACATCTCAGGGGCGGAACGCGGGGCTTCCTTCCCAGGTGACTGCAGTTTGGCCGCGGTGGCTCAGATCTCAGTGGGGCTGGCTCAGGGGTCTGAGGGTCCAACGGGTGTCAGCTCACCTTGCGCCACTCAGATGAACAGTGCAGCAGCGGCAGTGTGGCTGGCTCTGCTCCCGCACCGCGCGTCCTCCCTGGTCCCACAGGCAGCCAGGCATGTCCCCCTGTGCTGATGGCAGAGGCACAGGGAGTGAGCCTCAGTGAGGAGCTCCCTGGAGCCCGGGCAGCGCCTGTCCGCTGACGTTTCACTGGACAACGCAGGTGACATGGCTTTGATTGGAGCAGGATATTCCACACCTGGAGAACGGGGCCAGGAAGAGAAAGAATATTTCAGGAAAATCATCTCATCTCCCCCAGAACACAGTAGGGTGTGGGCCTGGGGCTGCCAGGGCCATGGGCCACCCCTCCCAGCACTCACAGCCGCACGCTTGCGTGTGTCCTCGGCTGGACCTGGAAGGCTCCACCCCCACGGCCCCAGCAGGGAGCATACCCAATGATGCCTGTGCTACTGGATCCGCCACTGCCAAGGCCTCCCAGGGCAACCACAGCACGCGCCCAGCATTTGTGCCCATCCCTTGCCCCACGCTGCAGGGCCTGCCTCCTGGGGACCTCTGAGCCTCTGAGCCCTGTGCTGCTCACAACGCTGAGAACGCTCCTGATCAGGAACGGACCCTACCCGCACGCCCAGGGCCTCACGAGCTCAATCAGGCCATCCCTCGACAACAGCTTCCAGGTGTGCCCTGCCTTCTGAACATAAAAGCTGATGAAAATCCCATCGCCCATTGGGAGTAAACGCCACGTGCATGGCTGCTCAGGAGGAGTCTGTAGGGAGAAAATCTTTCTTCCTTAATCTTCCAATAAGAGACCTATTTTCCCTACTGCAGTCGTGAGACACCCATAAGCAGTGATGCGGTGTTCCTGATGAGTTGTGAATTATCTCCTAAGTGTCTAAAAAGCGCCTCAGCCCACAGCAGCCTGCTGCCTTCAGAGGATGCACTAGATAACGGTCTCCCCAGCTGCTGGCGGGAGTCCTGTTCCGGTGTGGTGAGGAGCCAGGGACGTGGACACGGGAAGCCTGAGGGATTCTGCACCGTCCCCATCCCTTTCTGCTGGCCAGAGCCACTCCCAGGCTCAAGCCCAAAGCCAAGGGCAGAGGGTGGGGGCTCCACAGGGAGGGGTGAAGCCCTGTAGCCATGAGCTGGGTCTATCGCAGCCCCCACAGAGGGCTATTTACAGGTGGTGGTGAGAGAGGAGCTGAGATGTCCCTGAGGGGCGCCTGGGGAGGAACAGGCCCTACAAGGTGACTCCAGGTCAACCTCTTAGGAGGACACCATCTCCCGGGATCCCGGAGGGAGCCACACGTTTCTGAACAGGGCCAGATGGAAAGTAGGAAATATGAGGGGTAGATGAGACTAGAACTGTTTTCAAAGATACAGAAAAAGGAGGGATTAACTCCAGGGACCCTCTCCCTACTAGAATTCCTGAAGGAAATGCATAAAGAAGACAATTTACTGAGAAGCAGTTTGAAATACAGTAAGTTACAGTGAGAAAAGAAAATGATGTATATGGTACAATAGTAAATAATTATTAAATAATAATATCGACAGAGGAAATAAAACCAAACCCAGCTAGAAGACTGTATGTTAACAGCCTGTCAGCCAGAGGGCAATAGTTGAAATTAATAATCATAATTCAGAAAGGAGGCAGAGATGGCTATTAATGAAAGTGTAATGAATTAAACGCACTTGTCAAAAGGTAAGCGACAAGAGATGCAGAATGTCCATCCTAAAAACCAGTAGGGGAAGGAAAAGAATGAAAAAAACTCTGAAGAAGATAAGTCCATGCTGTGCTATATTATCTTAGAAAGCACACACATCTCCATGTTTCTGTGTGTGTTTAACATATCCCTGGAGGTTCATAAAAGACAGGGTTGCCCACGGAGGGAACATGGAGATTCCTGTCTAAGTGGTAATTGTTGAGGAAAAGGACATTTCATTTACATTCACAGCATATTCAGGGTAAAAATAAATTTATTTTTAAAGCCCACCATTTCAAACGAATTAAAAAGCAAGGCTGTAAATTGGAGGAGAACTAAAGGGCGTGCTGGGAGAGCACATGGGCTTAGGAAGGAATTCCCTTGAGACGGGTGCTCTGGGCTGCCTCTTGAGATGGGACGAAGGAGGACGTGGGTGCAGCAGGACCACAGAGCGTGGCACCTGCAATGTCAGAGGGACCTGGGCAGGAACACCCGCCACAGTCGTGTCATCTTGTTTGTGCCCCGGTTCATCCTCCCGGAGCCGGCCCTTCCATCCCCAGGAGCAAACTCCACCCTCCCTATCATAATGGGCTGACCAGGGCCAAATTGGTTTCATGAAAAGGAGACACCTGCAGGCAGAGCCCAGCGGACACTCGGTTGTCTGAAGTTGCCGCACCTGCTTCATTTTGCTTACTGAGCTACTCCTGATGCCCACAGCACTTTCTAACAAGAAATGAGCAGTGAATCCACGGAAACCAATGGGAACGGGATGTGGCAGGCATGATTTATAGTTTAGTTAATTCGAATAAGCAGAGAATCACACCTGCTAAGAGATTCGGAACCACAGCCTCCACGACACACGGCTCCTCTCAGCAGGAGTCCTTCCCAGCAAAGGCTCCCCCAACACACCCCGTTCCACATCACGGAGTGCCAGCCCCGGCCCAGCCCGGCCCATCCTCAGGGAGACGGACTCAGCAGGGCTGCCAGAGCCCAGGCCAGCGCTGCTCCCTCCCTTGCCATCCACAACTCATCTTCACAGCTCGACCCTATGCTCTGGTCACTTTTCAGCCCAGTGACTGTTTCGAAGGTGTCTGGCACAAGTCAGGAGAGTGCTGTGGAGTCAGTGGAGGCTCCCAGCCAATGAGAGCACTCCCTTCAGGTGAGCTCCTTCCCGCACGGGGACTGCAGCATGGCGGGGCCGGCTTCCCCGCATCAGCCCTATCAGCCCTGCATAAGCTCTGAGCTCTGCTGCTCCATGCCCTGCACGGCTGCTCTAGGGACAAGCATGGTGACATCTGGCTTCCGTGCTGGGCAGCCTCTGGTCCATCAGCAGAGTGGGGGATGCACGCATGGCCCTGCCATGGAGACAGAAGTGTGGCTGATCGCACCCCAGGGCATTGGGACTCCCACCTGTCAACAGCAGAAGTGGAGCTGCTCTGTGCACAAGGGAGTTGCCTTTGACCTGATTTTGGCAGTGATGGCTGTGACCAGAGAGGTCAGGCTTTACTGAGTTAGAAAAAAAATGACCCGGGTTGCAAACCATGAGCTGTGTGGCCCTCAGGACCACAGGTGGCTGCAGACCTGGACTGAGAGGCCCCAGAGACCAGCCAGCAGGGCCCCACGTCACCCGAGGACACACAAGTCCAGGCCTGGCTGCTGATCTCCTGCTGGTTACCCCAGCACCACCTCCCTCCCAGAGCCTCATTGTCCCCATCTAGATGAGGAGACAGGGGTCTGGACCCCAGAACTAACCAGGAAGGCCCCAGTGGGATGGTGGGAAATGGGAGTGACCCACCCAAGCCTTCCCGGCGAGACCCCCAAGAGCCGCTGTGGATCTGGGACTGAAGTCCCTGGGCAGGGCAGCTCTGGGCTGGCCGGGGGGAAGAGGCACGTGGTGAGGATAGCGCCCTGGACGCAGGGATCAGGGCCACTTTAGGAACCAGCCAGGGCAACAGAAGCGTGTCCAGGTGATTTGGGCATGAAAAAGAGCATGTCTGGGAAGAACCGAGGGGTCTGTGCAGGGATTTGATTTTTCTGTCCCCACATCCTGCTCTGTGTCCGTGAACCCAAGAACACTGGCTCCCCTCCCTGGAGTCCACCCGGCCTCAGCAGGAGGGAAGCAGGGGGCAGGTAGTGTGGAGACCTGAGCCACACTGACCACCCCCAACATATGTGCCCTCTCCAGGCACCCGAGGAGGGGCAGCTCCCCGCAGACAAGGGCTCTGCCTGGAGTAACAGGGGCTCTACCTGGAGCATCCTTGATTCATCTGAAAACTCGCCAATGGGACCCCACTCAGCAAGGAGGGTGACACTGAGCAGGGACAGGATAGGTGGACGGGGCACCTGCCTGTGTCCCCATTTACACCAATAGGAGCTCACACCACGTGGCCGTTCCCGGGCCAGATACAGCTCCATGGTTGCTGCTGTCAGCACAGGTGTGCAGGGCTCCCATGGGAAGAACCCCGTGGGGCCCCATGACGTGCCTGAGCACGCGGTGTCCAACCAGGCGCTGTGAGAGCGTTCTCCAGTCTCCAAACAATCTTCCGGCAACTGTGTGTGAACGTACATTTTGTTCAGGTGTGAATTCATTGAATACATTTCCACAGTTGGAATCGATGGGGCTAACGACAGAATTGGTTTCGACTTTGCTCAACAGAGGCAGTTTGCACCAAACACCCTGTTAAGACCCCAGGGCAGCCGCCCCGCATAGGAGTTGCAGGGAGCACATGCTTTATGCTGCTTTTCTAAGTAGGTATTTGCCCAAATTGAAGAATAAAGAAATAAAAGAAAAAAAAAGAATTTTCCTGGGACAGCCAGGCATGAAACATCTGGGTAGGTTTAAAATTCTCAACGTTCCAAGCTAGAGGCCATGAAACTCCTTCGGCCTGGGTTACAGCAGAGCCGCATCCCTCCCGACAGGGAACGCCGGTCCCTGTGAGAGCAACCGCGCAACGCCCTTAACCACGAGAGAGTGTTTTGCTTTCTTCTCGGTGCAAGTCGGCTGCTCCTTCCGTCTCCCCAGGGACAGCAATACCCGAGTGAGAGCTGGTGTATCCCCAGGCTGCGCTGATGTCCACACATGGCCCCGGGCAATCCCAACCACGTGGGAGGAAGGCACCCTTATCCCCTTATCCCCAGAAGAGGAGACTGAAGTCCCACAATCCGAACTGGTAGGAGCCCGGACTCACTCTCCACAAGGCCCCTGCTCAGCCCTGGGCCCCGCCTGTCAGGGCACAGCCAGTTTGTGAAGAATTTTAACAGAAAAGCCACAAATCTGATGTGAAGACGCCTACCTGAGAGACGGTGAGCCGAGGGGTGACCCGGGGCAGGGAGCAATGAAGCCCCTGGAGCAGGGCCCAGGGAGCCGGGCGGAGGCGGGTCTGGGAGGTGCATCAGCCTCTGGGAGTCTTAGGAAGCTCCAACGATGACACCGGCCGTCCCTCACCTGAAAATGCACAGGCCGCGTCACGTCGCGGGGAGGAGGGACTGCTTCTGGGGGTGTCCATGCCTCCGAGTGCGCGGAAGAATGGGTCAGCCGCTAAGCAAATGCTGCATTGCAGGCCTGGCCCTGTGTGACTCTGGGGAACATTCTGGCCGCCAGTGCACATCTGAGGCCAGCTCTCCCCTCCAGCTATTTGATCCAGGGCAGAAACTCATCACACCCAAGCCCAGAGGCCCCGAGGAAATCGATGGAAACCAGACTCATTTCCACGGTTCAGGAGCTTGTCACTGCTCCTGACCTGCTGCTGGGTCCTCCTGGGTGCTTCAGGCTGGAGCAAGGAGCACGGGCGGCTCCGGAGGCTCTGGAGGGGGAAGGAGCCACCCAGAGCCCGGGGGAGCAGGAGCAGCGTGAACAGTGACTTGGGGGTTATTTGTTGGGTGCCCTGCAGACTTGGCTCTGTAGGGAAACAAGCCCCAGAGATGCCCAGGTCCTGGTCCGTGACAAACGCGCACTGTGTGTGTAAGTGGGAACCAGCCGGGACGTGCTAGGCTGCCCTGCGGTAACAAACATCCCCGATCCCAGCTGCTCACGAAGGGAAAGGCTCGCCCCCGCTCACGCTCTTCGTCCATTGTCCCTTGGCTGGGCGTCTCGTCCTCGCCATCTGCACTTCCTGCTGCTCAGAGGGAGGGAGAGAGAACGTGACGAATAACTCATGAAGCACTAAAGCTGCTGCCCAGAAGCCACGCCCCTCACTTCCTCTCCAGTTTTATGGACAAAGGCAGTCACATGGCCCAGCCTGATGTCAGTGGTGGGGAAGGTCCTCTGACACGGAGGGGCTGTGAGTGTTTATGAGCAGCCGTGCTGTGGGCTGTGCCAAGCGTTGTCTCTTCCCTCTCCCTGGTGAGCCCACGCCAGTGCATCTCTGCTGAGGGGGCCCTTCCTGCTCTTAGACTTGTCTTTTGGAAAAGGCTCCAGAACTCCTCAGGCAAGACCGTGTGACTTCCCCAAGCCTAAGCCAATCAGGGCATTTATTCCACCAGCCACTGTGATTGGCTGAGGGATGGACATGTGACCCAATCCGACCCAGTGAGATCCAATGAGATGATTGCAGGGAATGCTGGGACGGAGGCAGGTGGCTTCCCAGTGGACCTGAAGCTGAGACAATGTGAGGTCCGGAGGGGCTGCAGCCATTTTACATCCATGAAGGAGGAGCCTGTCAGAGAAAGGAGTCAACGTGAAAGGAGCAAGGAGACAGTGGTGTGGGGAGAGAGGCATCGGGCCCTGATGGCGCCATGGAGCCTGAACCCAGTCTTGCAGGAGCCAGCGGTAGCCCTGGACTGTGCAGGAGCTTGAATCCGAAATCCCCTGGTTAAAGTTGGCTTTTCTGTCACTTGTATCCCAACGAGTTCCAGCTGCTCAGAGCACTTAGGGCCCTGTCTGGCCTTCCTCACGACACAAGACAGGGACAGGGGAAGGGTCCTCTGACACGGGGTGACCTCCTCCCAGGCTCGGGCCATGGACTAGCATGAGACTTCGGAGCTCAACCCTGGATTCTGATGGCCTGGGGTGAAGTCCGGCCTCTCCTCTTGCTCACTGTGCAACTTCTACCTCACTTTACTTATGTTCAATTCAGGAACATAACAGAACACACCTCATAGGGCTGCTGTGAAAATGCAGGGGATTAGACAAGTAAATTCCTGGTGCCTGTAAGGGGTCAAATAATGTCAGCTGGGCTGTCCCTATGTCCCCAATACCCAGCCCAGTGTCTGGAGTGGGAGCGCCTCAGGACATGTGTGACGAGGGTGTGGGATGAGATCACATAAGGGCTGTAAACCCCCTGTGAGGAGGAGGATCCCAGAGGACAAGGGAGCAAGGGTCCCCTGGAAGGTGTAGGTCAGGAGCTGATGATCAAGGAATAGTGGGATGAAGATGGAAAGAGGGAGGTGGGGAACAGAGGATTGTCCCACTGATCAGCCATGAGGACAGGTGGGAGGGGCTGGCCAGAGTCACAGTTGAGGATTCCCTATCACGAAGCAAATGTACAAGGACCACGGTGGCATGATATGGCATGATGTGTTATGACATATCACCCAGTGAGGGAGGGTGGTTGTGAAATATCATGGACTGCATTCATCCCTGTTTGGTAAAAGAAGAAAAGGCATATATTTTCAGAAAAGTAAGACCGAAGGAAAGCTGTACAAATACTACTAGTGAGAATGAATGACCAGACTTTTTCTTCTCTTATTTTAGACAATTATTTGGTATTAATTTCACAATATCTCAACATATTCTCTGTGTAAATCTCCGAACAGTGCCTGTATGTTTAAGAAAGAAACAAGTTAATCAAAACCACAATGAAAAATGACCTCCCTTTCTCAAAGGAATCAAGACATATAGAAAATGATAATCATTTAAAAAAAGGAGGGAAGGGTAACTGTGATAAGGATGAAGATGGTGATGAGGATGAGGAGGATAAAAATTGCAGCCCCGTTACTCACTCACTGTGTCCTTGGGCAACTAACCACACCACTGAGTGCCTCAGTTTCCTCATTTGCATATTGAAGATAAGGCAATCCCCATCTGTTAGGATGATCATTCAGTGTGCAGGTCTTATAAGTAATTCTCCCACAAATGTGGTCAGCACAGAGCAGGTATCATTAATACTGGTTCTTCCTATCAGCACATTGATCAGGGGTGGTTCAGGGTTCACATCCTGGGGCTGGAGTCTCCAAGGGCCCTTACAGAGGCCACTCCTACTCAGGCATCCCAGATTTTATTTTACAGTACAGGAAGTGCCTAAGATAATGAACTGTCGGGCCAGATTGCTGGGTTTGAATCCAGACTATGCCAGTCATTACTTGTATGACATTAGGTGAGCTCCATAACCTCTCTGTGGCCCAATTTCCTTATCATTAAAATAGGGATTATGATGACACCTACCTTCTAGGCTTGGGATAATGATAGAGAAGTAATAGATGAAAATCACCTAGTGCAGTCACTGGGACATGGGGAGCACCATATTTCGTGATGGCTGAGATAATGGTGGCAGTGAAAATGATGACAGTTATGGCAACAGTGATAGTGAAGGTGATGAGGGTGATGATGGTAAAACATATGATAATGAAGAACACAATAACAGTGATAATGAAATGACAAGGATGGGGGTGCTCGTGATGAGTATGGTAAGAAATATGATGATAATGCAGAAGACAATAATGACAGTGATGATGATGATGGTGTTGATGGTGAGGATGATGGTGATGGTGATGATGGTGATGGTGAGAATGGTGATGGTAATGATGGTGAGGATGGTGAGAATGATGGTTATGATGATGGTAATGATGGTGATGATTGATGGTGATGGTGAGGATGATGGTGATGGTGAGGATGATGACGGTGATGGTGATGATGATGGTGATGATGGTGATGGTGAGGATGATGGTGATGGTGATGATTGTGATGGTGAGAATGGTGATGGTAATGATGATGGTGAGGATGGTGGGGATTATGGTTATGATGATGGTAATGATGGTCATGATGATGATTGATGGCGATGGTAAGGATGATGGTGATGGTGAGGATGATGGTGATGGTGATGATGATGATGGTAATGATGATGATAATGATGGTGGTGATGGTGAGGATGGTTATGATGATAGTGATGATAATGGTAATGATGGTGATGGTGATGATGGTGATAGAGATCATAATGGTGATGATAAGGATGGTGATGATGATGGTGCTGGTGATGGTGATAATGATAATGGTGATAGTTATGACAATAGTGATGATGAAACGGATGTTGATGGTAACAAAGGTGATGATGGCAAAGAATATGATGATAATGAAGAAGATGACAATAATGACAATAATTATTACAATGACAATGGTGAATGGTTATGGTGATGATGAGGGTGATGAAGATAATGATGATAATGGTAATAATGATGGACAGCCAGGTGGTGAGAATAAAATGGACTCCTCCTCCTTTGCCTTTCAGACCTTCCTCCTGAACTCCATTTCCATGTATATCCTTTCATTTCCCTGAGGCAAAAGAAAAAAAGGAGCGTGTGCTCAGCACCCACACCCCTATCCATGAACTTAGGCAACCTGCTTACAAGCCAGAGCCAAAATGGTACTGAAGACTTGAAGGGCTGTAGCAAGTGGCACAGGCTTTTGTTAAATCAGACAAGGCTGTAGACATGGGCCCCACCGTTAGGAGTTGAGCCTAGCTCCTGCCTCTGTAGAATGGGGATAATTTTCAGGCCTGTGCCACAGGATTACCTTAAATATGCATCAGAGGATGCATAAAACACACTGAGTCAGCTTCTGGTACACATACACCAGATAAACGGTGCATATGTGGTCTTCCCTCCCCTCCACCAGTAGTTCTTCCATCATTAATGTAGGGAGCCACTGCAGATCCTGGAGCAGGGGCTGTACGTGCTGCATATTGTACATGTATTCCCTTCTCCTCTGCCCTGTAGAAAAGTACCCTTGACTTTTCACCCTCCCAGGACAGGGCAACAGCACCCACTGCCTGCACGACCAGGATCTGGGGGACTGGCTACCCTCTGAGGATAGCTCTTCCCTTCTGAAGCCAGGAATATGTCCCCATTAACCACAGGAAGGGCATTCTCTGCTAAAGGGAGGGAGGGGACTGTTTATAGACTGAGAGTCCATGCTGGTTTATATCATCATAAAATGCTGCAATTATACAAAGCTATAATAATGAAGAAGCTCTTAACCTTATTGTGTTAGAAAATTTTTCCAGCAATCTACTGAGGAGATGCAATAAAATCATACACTCTCTGCCAGTCATGTGACAAACATCACACTAGATAAGAGACATTCTGCCTTCAGGGAAATGGGCACTATTTTTTTTTCTATTTTTAAAAATCAATTTTAATTACACAGAGATGCATGAACACATTCTGAGTCCACCATCTTGGGAAACTAATTTTTGGTTGCGTGCCCGTGTAAGGACACTTTCCCCTCTAAAGCTAACGCATAAGTCCAGAGGCTTTGAGAGCCTCCTCCAATCGAACCACACCTCACAAAACCGCTGTAACCCGTGGCCTCTGTGGCAAATATCTGCTCCCCTGTGCAGTGGTCTTACAAACACACTGATGCATGCACAGAAGCATAAGGCGCATCTGACAACACAACCAAGTTCTATCTCTGACATTTTGGCTGGGATGGCCACCATTTTTCCACCTGACAAGACCTCACTGGTGATGCTCTGGCTGTGATATTGGACCATCATTTTGCCAGAAGTTACCACTGGGGAAACTGGGTAAAAGTTGCAAAAGGTCCTGTATTACTTCTTATGACAGCACATGAATCTACAATTTTTCTCAAAATCAAAGTTTGAATTGAATATATGTGATCTTTCATTGTTTACATACATGTACTTAACTTGCTTGAAACTTATGCTTGGCTCATTGGGCTTGTGTGTGAGGCACAGACAATCAAAACCCTGCATTCCCCTGGCCACAATTATAGGAACATAGATGGATGGGTGACCCAAACCAGACCTTTAGGAGACAAGGAAACTAAATTTTGGAACTCTTGTTTTAAAGAACTTGAGAAATCAAGAACTTCCCCTTCCAGCAGGGTTCCTGAGAGGCTGAGATGCAAGCCTCACAACCTCTAGAAGGTATCTTGACACCACAGTGAGGGATTCTGTCTGAGGATGCAGCCCATATAGAGGAAGCACAGGAAGAGGCAACAGGAGAGAATTATGGAGATCTCCTGGATCCAGCCATGCCTGAAGATAAACTACCCCTGGGTAGTTATTTACATCAATAAGCGATTAGGTGTTTAAGCCAATTCTAGAGATTTCTGCTACTTTGACCTGAAAATAAATTCTCATTCCACTGTTGTAGCTCCATCACCAACATGAAGAAAAGTAGAGCCAAGAGGTGTAAAGAGACAGCCTTCAGAGACCTAAGTTGATCTCCTAGATCCAGCCATGCCTGAAGCTGACATAGCTATGAATAGTTATATGTCAAAAAACTTTCCTTCTTACTCAAGTCAGTTTGAGTTGGGCTTTCTGTCACCTACAATGGAAAAAGTCCCGATTATCCTGCTGTATCACAGTGGTTAACACATAGTCAGCATCAGTGAATACTTGGTGAATAATTGGTACATAATGAACAAAAGTGAACGTTGTGTGACCACCCCAGGATGCACTCTTTCTAAGCACCCATAAGGGGACAGGCAAGGGCTCTGGAATGTTCCAGCAGATCCCATCTGCAGGTGGGAGGCTTAGGACTGGTGACTTCCAGAGGTCTCGCATGAGCAGGAAGTTCATAGAGGGGCTGAGTTTACAGTGGGGACTCCAGACAAGCAGGCAGCAGGAGCAAAGGCGCTGGGGCTGGTGTAGAGGACAGGAAGGAGTCTGGGCACCAGGGCAGATGGTGTGTGAGGATGAGAGGAGGATGAAATGGGTGGGGTAGAGGCCTGAGTGTCCTGGTGAGGGGTACGTCTGCACTAGGGTCCAACCAAGGAAAGAGGGGTCACTGCAGGTGCTTCAGCCAGGAAGAGACAATACAGGGATCTGCATGGAAAGCTGAGAAGGCAAACAAGGGCCTGTGAGGCAAAGATCAGTGACAACCCGTCATTGACCCTGGGATAGAGGAGCCAAGAGAGAGGGTTCAGTCTTCAGCTCAGGGGCCACAGAGGAGACTGGCGGCATGGTGGAGACACGGGCACTGCAGATGCGGCCCAGGCAGAGGGGAACACCCTGGGTCCTTCTTGCCCTCACCCTCCACCACAGCCCCCGACCGCCAATCCAGGCGGAGACCAGCCCTATCAGAGCCTGGGAAATGCAGCCCATGGGGGTGAGCCCAGAGACTCATGGGAAGGGGGATGAAGTGGCCTGAGGACAAGCAGGCCCAGGGCAGCCCCGATGTCCCTCCAGACCAACCCTGAGTCCCAGAGACTTCCAGAAGCCCCTCGTGGTGCTGCTCTGAAAACACCACGCTTCAGGAATGAGACAGTGGCTCTTAGAGAAGCATCATTCCTCATCAGAGCAACAGGAAATGTAGTTCAATAACCAAAACTCAATCTCTTTTAGTCTAGACATAAATAATGAGATTTCATAGAATTCTAATTTCAAGTGTAATATATTACACAATTACTATCCCTCTAATGTGATTTTATTCCTTTGAAATGGATTCGTGGATAGATTTGGCCTGGGTATAAATCTGTGTTTACAGCTGGATCACGGGCACAGGCTGATGTCCCCTGTCTCTATGCCCAGTCCCCTGCTGCTGCACAAATGGCACGTATCACATTGTGCTAACCTGGGTCGCAGCAGGTAGCCTGCCCGCAATGTCCTGTCGAGGGCAAAAGTGCCTCCAGCAAACACACTGCCCATGGTCCTGCACTGGGCTCTAGCAGCCCCAGCTGAAAAGCCATTAGCATTTGAGCCACATGGATCTGCGGCCCTCAGCAAGTGGGCCGAGTGACCCTCCCGGACAGAGGCTGGAACGCCTACATTTCACCTGGCCTGGAGCCATGACACTCATTACAGGACCCATTCTCCAGAACCCCAAGGTCACGGGCTTGTGGATATTCAATTTCACTTTCAAGGTCTAGTGGTGAGTGAGGGACCAAAGTCAGGCAGGCTCGGCTCCTTCTTGCAGATCCAGGGAAATAAGAAAGGGGATGTTCTGGGGTGAAGTCACCCCACCCCTGCTTGTGTGTTTGTGGTTCTGTGCGCCTGTGTAGACGGTTGTTTCTGGGTTTGTGTGTGTGTGCATGTGTGTCTAAGTTTCACCTGCAGGTGTGTGTGTCTGGGTCTTTTCACAGGTTTTGCATGTTTGTCTTGTCAGAGATGTGTTTTCTCTGGATACGTGCTGGCCTCCTGTCTCGTCCATCTGCAGTCCAGCAGCAGGATGGATAAAGGATGAACCCGATCATCTCACTCCCTGGTCACATCCCTCCCATGGCTTCTGCATCATCGGGTTCTTTGCTGTAACCACAGAAGCCCACCCCTCCAGTTGCATTAAGCAGGAGTAGCTCATTACAGATCACGTTTCTCCAACTCCCATTACACACAAATCCCCAGGGGTCTTGATGAAATGCAGGCCCTGACCAGTAGGTCTGGGCTGGGGTCTGAGACTGTGCATTTCCAACGAGACCCAGGGGAAGCGGATTCCTTGGGGCCAGTGTGGACATCAGGAAGCTCCCAACCCTTTGTGGGACAGAGACTCAGTGGCTACAAGTGTCCAGCCCACACCAGGGACTGCTCTGAAGAAGGCCATTCAACCAGACCCCACAGCTCGCCCTGATGACCCCAGGAGGGGACATCAACTTCCTTCCCATTCCCCCTGAATCCACCAGGCCTTTCTAGCTCCTGCGCCCACACATGGACCTGCCCAGCGCCATCTTCTCACCCTCTTCCTGAGCAGAGGCTCAAGGGAGACTTCTGATTGGTTGAGCCTGGGTCACATGATGGGATTCGGGTCACATGAGGGGCCTGACTGCAAGGGATGCTGGGAAATGGAGTCTGGTTTCCTCCTTGGAACTGTGCAAGGCAGCATGAGGGACGTGTGCATGTAGGAAGGGCACTCACAGGGATCATCAGAGGCCACAAAATGCCCACGGCAGCTTCTCCCAGAGCCCGAACTCTGACAAGACTCCAGGCCCCTTCCTGTGCATCTCAGCACATGCCTCCTTCACACCAACCAGGCCCATCCCCAACTCATGTCTGGAATATTCTCCTCACACATCTCCTTCCAGGCCTCAGCCAGAATGTCACCTCCTCAGAGAGCTTTCCTGACCATCCCAGTCATTTCACAACATGATACCCAAATCCAAGGCAGCAGACTGAAAAACCTGCCCAGAAGGTTCCCCAATGCCCTCCCCCTTTCAACATGAGACTCTAAAATGTCTTTCCAAGGCCATCCCAGCCAGACACCATGACCCCAGCGGATCTGGTCCATGGATGCTCCCAGGCATCTCCCAAACACAGACAGGGCTCCTCCCAGAAGGTATATTCTGGAAACGAATCTGAGTCTGCGCTGCTACCTGTGTCTGTGCATGTGGCTTCTTCAAAAGTCTGGATTCTTTGCCAGTGCCCTTCTCTGCCAGCGTGATCAGAGTTCTTGGCCCCAGCATTTAACCAGAATCCACTGTGCATGCTACCACGCTGGACTTCTCCATGCATGACACTTTTAAGGGGCCTGCCCCTCAGCAAACACGGATGCTGGAGGTGATGCAGGTGCCCAGGGTGGGGAGGAAGCCTCAGGACTGGGGTCTGTCTGTCTGCCTTCCTGAAGCAGGATGGACATGTTCTTCCGTGTTTAAATAGCAAATCATTTCCCTACGCTCAAAAAATGAGCCCAGTGATTCAGGGAAGGAAGGAAGATAGGGGCCAGTGGTGCTGGGCATGCTGGGTCTCTCAGCTGCTGCCTATTGTGGGAGGGGCTGTGGTGATGGAAGTGGGTCCATCCCCACAGCCGGCGGCAGGAACAGCAGAATGGCCTTCTAGCGTCTCCTGCATGACTGGAGACCTCTAGCTGGTGTGTCTCCAGGAAGGACGCTGGCTCTGGCAGGATGTATCCAGGGACCTGGAGCCCCTCTGTGTGCAATAAATGGATCAGACTTGAAGAGCACGGACAGTGGGTGGAAGAGATGCCTGCTGGGACTGAGCCGCAGTGGACACCTGGGGTGGTGCTGGATGCTAAGGGACTCCTGGAGGGTCCCCTCATCTGTCCATGCACACACTCACTCCCTCACTAAGTTTGGGTAAAGGGAGACAGGTCTCAGGAACATGGAGGATGGGACGGGCAGGGTTGGGGAAAGAGAAGGGAGTGGACAGAGGGCGAAGTCACAGCATCACCCAGGTGAATTGAAAGTAAGTTTAGAAGCAGGTGAGAGCCATGAAGATGGAAGCCAGGGATAGGGAGGGGGGAAGGTGAAGGCAGAGCTGTTGGGATGATAGAGAAATCAAAGTTCTTAATCCCGGCTCATTCAAACACTTGTGATCCCACTCCCCAGGGAGCTGCGGGCAGTAGTAGTGAGGGTGCCCCCAGGGTAGGCAAGAGATCAGAGGAGTGAACTGGAAGAGGCTGGATCCCTCAGCTCTGCGGCTGAAATGAGGAAATTCTTCCTAACAGGCAAGCCTGGACATCAAAGCATGAAAGAGAAAAATCTTGGTCCCCAAAGTAAGGCTCTGTTTCCTTTCATGCCTAGGATCTTCCCATTAGAGTAGGCTGACCAACTCAAATAAAGTCAGAATCATGGAAACACCTATAATTCTTGAAAATTGTATTTTACCATAAAACGTATAAATGTACACTTTTTTTGCTAATATTTTTAGTGTGGGTTTGATAGCTGGAGATCTGCCCCCTATCTCTTACATCTCTTGCACCCATAATATGTCCAAGAATAAGAGTTTTATTTTACCTTTTTAAAATTTTACATTTTATTGATACATAATAGATGTACATATTTCCAGGGTACCTGTGGTAATTTAATACATTCATACAATTTGTAAGTATAATTGGGATACCCACCACCAATTACATAATGGATATTTGAGTACCAAAATTTACAATTTGAGTACAAAATCCTTCAGACTTCTACTAAATACTTCATAGTTCTTTGATCCCAATGTACTCATAATGGTTTAATTTTTAATGACTCTATTAAATAATTCTAAAACTAGCAATTCAGGTTTTGCAGAAATAACCCATTTTGTCCTTTTATCTCAGTGGGTTATGGTGGTTTGTAAAAGTACCTAAACTCAATAACACATATAACCGGCACAAGCAGATTTCAGATCAGTCAGCATTTCCCCCAGCAGGAGCACACATGTCTGGGGACTGGAGAGGGGCTCAACCTACACGTGGTCCACACCCTCGGGCTGTGGTCAGTGTGTGTAGAGGGAAGAGCAAGTCAATGTGGGGGGTTCACCATGTGGATATAGACCAAAATGCCTTCTACTAAGTTATTATATGGCATAAAATGGGACTCTGGTGCCCACTCATCTAGCTTTTAAAATTTAAATATATATAGCCAACAGAGAGAGAGCAAGAGCAATTTAAAGCCATTTAGGTAATTCCAGTCAAGGAGCTAAACCTTGACTGCAAGGGAGTTGTGGGTTGGAGTCTGCTGTCCCCTCATCAATCTCTCCTGTATGTGAACAGCTCACCATCCTCAGGGTGATCCCAGTGTTTAAAATTACATTTTTCATTCGAGAATCCTACAAACAAGGCATTCATTTCATCTGCTGCTCAACAGAAAAGAAAAACAAAAAACCAGTTATCTCTTACAATGCTGAACAATTCCAGTGATGTCTAAAGGAACTGAACTTAAACTGTACACCCTATACCATGTAGTTATTATTTTTCATACCCACGGTTTATTGTGCTCCACCACACCATGCTGGGTCCTGGGTGTGAATGTCCCAGCTTAGACTGGAACAGACTTGTGTGGGAATCCTGGATCCACCCCTTGCTGGATGTGTGGCCAACTCTGTAAACTCTCTGTGGCCTCAGTTTCTACATGGGTAAAAAGCACATGACAGTGGTACCAGCTTCACGGGGTAAGCATTAAATGAAATACTCCATTAAGACCCCTTAGCAGAAGGACCGTCACACAGCAGGTGCTCAGTAAATGCTACTGTTATTAACATCACATGCACAAGATGGACTTTACATTGAAGGATGCAGAGGTAATATAAACATCCATCAAGCTGTGTTTCAGGGCATTGGCGAATGAAGCACTAGATTAGAAGGCTTTTGATCAAATACATTCACATCTCTCTCGTAAATAGGTCCCTGGACTCAAATAATTCTTTATGTTAAATGTACATATTTGTTCCTAAACCCATATTTCTTATTGCCTCAATCTTAATGCTTAAACCTACATTTTAGAAGAATAACAGGAATTGGAACCACTATTTATTATTTTTCAAGATTAAAATTGATTTTCAGATTTTATGCAATATTGCCTTTTTCACACTGCCTGTGGGTTATTAACATTTAGTCAGAGCTTCCATTTCACATTCTTCATATCTCATTTCTCCTGCTTGCCATCCAGAGGAAGAGAGTCTCCCTGAGTTTTTAGGCAACTCGCTTTAGATTATTTTTAATTTACTCCTGACAGAAAACTGAAATTGCTCAAACTTAAACTTTCCTATTTTCCCTCAGGCTCCTATGTCAGCACCTATGATTTCTTTTTCTCCATTTTTTTTAGCTAAAATTTATGTAACATAAAATTAACCACTTTAAAGTGAACAATTCAATGACACTTAGTGCATTCACATGTTGTGCGACCACCACCTCTCTCTAGTTCCTCAGTAGACTTGTCCCTCAGTATCCACAAGGGATTGGTTCCAGGACCCTCTGCAAATACCCAAATCTATGAATGCTCAAGCAGTTTATATAAAATGGCCTAGTATTTTCATTATTGTGCTGCTATTGTCATAGGATCTTTGGGGTGTCATTTTTCCAGCCTGAAACCTTTGTGGCTGGTGGTGCCTTTGCCTGAGTTTTGCTCAGGCCTGCTGGGCTCATTCTGCCCATTCAGCCCAGCAGGCTGCACTTGGGAGTGCTACCAGCTCAGATCCCATGCCTGCCAAGGGTGCACCAAGTGCAGAGCAGTAAGGGGTGTGTGAGTGAGCATGGGGCCCAGCCACTGTGCACAGCCAGGCAGGCCAGCTGTGGCAGAGTGGGAAGCTCCAGGTGCCAGCACAAGCAGCAGCTTCATTCAAGGCTGCAGCTGGGCCAGGCATATTGCAAGCAGCTTCCACTGTGGGCACCAGGGAACATGGTGGCACCCAGAGGCTTGGAGATGCCAGGAACTGCAGAACCCCAAAAAGGGTATCACAGCCCTGGCTTGGAGAGTCCCTAGGTCTGAGCTCTGTGCTCAGAGTGCAGCCTGCTGGTTGAGTGGGCAGAATGAGCTCAGTGGGCCTGAGCAATAGTCGGGCAAAAGTGCCACCAGCCACAGATCTTCTCTCCTTCTTGTTGCCTGCAACATGACGAGCAGGGAGCATGTTTCAGCCCTGATGGTGTTACAACTCTTTCGATTGTGCCATTCAGCAGGTTCCAAGGTCTTTTCCCATGTCCAGGAAGATTGAGTGATATGGTTTGGCTGTGTCCCCATTCAAATCTCAACTTGAATTGTATCTCCCAGAATTCCCAAGTGTTGTGGGAGGGACCCAGGGGGAGGTACTTGAATCATGGGAGCCAGTCTTTCCTGTGCTATTCTCATGATAGTGAATAAGTCTCATGAGATATGATGGGTTTGTCAGGGATTTCTGCTTTTTCTTCCTCCTCATTTTTCTCTTGCTGCCGCCATGTAAGAAGTGCATTTTGCCTACCTCCATGATTCTGAGGCCTCCCCAGCCATGTGGAACTATAAGTCCAATTAAACCTCCTTTCCTTCCCAGTCTCAGGTAGGTATTTATCAGCAGCATGAAAACAGACTAATACAATGAGGTACGCAGACAACAGGAAGGTGAGCAAGGTGGAAAAGAGCTTCAATGAGCTACAGAACAGCTTTCAGGAGACCCAGAGGGAGTAGCCCTTCTTTCTGCAGGCAGGTCTCCCTGATGAGTGTCCAGCTGTCAGCGGAGAGAAGACCCACGGTGGGTAGCTTCTTTCTGTAGGCAGATCAACTCTCAGTGGTGCCCAGCTATCAGTGGAGAGGAGACCTGGAGTGGATAGCTCCTTTCTGCAGGCAGGTTGTCTTGATGATTTGAGGAGAACCAAAGTGGGTAGGTCCTTCCCACAGCTGGTAGTCTTGATGTCTCTGTGAATCTGGCTGAGTCTAGGGTTTGTATGGGCCTCAGAAGGGAGGAAGTGCGTACTGATTGGTCCATGGACGGCCATGGGCGGGCCCACAAAAAGCATCATAAGTTCTTACTCCAGGCCGCAGACACCACCTGGAACTGATTACACCTGGAATTGGTGGGACTCCACCTGGCCCCCATGCTTCCAGCCATCCCTGGCTTGAAGGTGGGGCTTCACTGGAAACCCACCCCTTTCTGCCTGCCCAGGAGTGTGTCTGCCTCCTGCTGCCATCAATCATATTGTCCACAGTGCCCAGGTTGTTTGTGTCAATGGGCAGCTGTAGGCTCATGCCAAGCCACCCTCAGCACCCCCCTCAGCCTCCCTCCCATGCTCTTCAGCACCCAAAGTCTGGAGGGGGCCAAGGTGGCAGGGTCATGACATCTTAGTGCCACCCTGAGCACATGCACACCCAGTCAGGTTGAGACAGCATGCAGGCTTGGCCTCCACTTTGCTCCAAAATCAGAGCAGCCACCAGGAACAGGGAAAGGCCAGGCAGCAGGAGAAGGCACTTCTGAGCCTGTGGGGGAAGGGGGATTCCCAGGCCCCTGAGGGTGAAGGAAAGCCTGGTCTGCAACCATGGCTGGGCAGCTGCAGCTGTGCCTGGGAGCATGGGGCTCCCACCCCAACAACTGGGAATGGGGTGGGGTTCCCACCTGTTCCTGGCTCCCACTGGCTCCATAGAGCATGCAACCCCAGCTGCACCTCCCCGGCTGCAGCTGGTGTCTTCACAGTGGCTGCTCCAGATAGGCCACCGCTGCCATCACTATCATGTGTACACAAGTATTTCTTAGAATACCTGTGTTCAATTCTTTGGGGTATATACCTGTGAGTGGAATTGCTGGGTCATATGTCCTACAGTTGAAATTTGATCCCAAGTGTTGGAGGTGGGGCTTAATGGAAGGTGTTTTGGCCATGGGAGCAAATTTCTCATGAATATATTAATGCCCTCCCTGAGGAGTGAGTTCTCACTCTGTTGGTTCCCATGAGAGCTGATTATTAAAAAGAGTTTCAGACCTCCCCTTCTGTCTCTTGCTTCCTATCAGTGATCTCTGCATCCCCTTCACCTGGCTCCCCTTCACTTTTCACCATGAGTAGAAGCAGCTTGAGGCCCTCACCAGAAGCCAAGCAGCTGCTGGTGCCATGCTTCTTGTACAGCCTGCAGAACCATGAGCCAAAGAAACCTCTTTTCTTCATAAATTACCCAGCCTCGGGCATTCCATTATAGCAGCACTAAATGGACTAAGATATATGATAATTCTATGTTTAACTTTTTGAGGGACCTCCAACATTTTTATAGGGACTACATCATTCTACATTACCACCAGCAAGGTACAAGGGTTTCAATTTCTCCACATTCTGGCCAACACTTTTTATTTTCAATTTCTTATTTGTTTTTTTGCTTATAGCTATCCTTGCAGGTGTGAACTGGTATCTCATTGTGGTTTCAATATGCATTTTCGTACTGACTAATGATATCAATCATCTTTTCTTCTGCTTGTTGATTTACATATCTTCTTAGGAAAAACATCTATTTGAGTCTTTTGCAATTTTCAATATTATGTTGTTTGTCTTTTGTTGTCAAGTTATGAGTTTTTATATATTCTGTATGTTAGACCTTTATGAGATAAATGATTCACAAATGTGTTCTGCCATTCTGTGGATTGTCTTTTTACTTCCTTGGTAATGTTCATGATGGATGAAATATTTTAATTTCTTATTATTTTACTTATTTTTTAATTGATAGATTACAACTATACATACTTACTGGATACAGTGTGATGTTTTGATACATGTACATATTTTGAAATAACCAAATCAGGGCATATAGCATTCCCATCACCTTATACATTTATCATTTCTTTGTGGTGACAACATTCAAGATCCTCTCCTCCAGATATGTTGAAATATACAATGTAATATTTTTAACTATAAGCACCTTATTGTGTAATAGAACACCGAAGCTTAATCATTTTGCCTAACTGTAACTTTGTGCCTATTGACCTATTTCTCCCTCTACCCTCCCCAGCTTCCGGCAAGCACTATTCTATTCTCTACTTCTATGAGATCAACTTCTTTAGATTCCACATATGTGTGAGATCATGTGGCATTTGTCTTTCTGTGCCTAGCTTATTTCAATTAACATAATGTCCTCCAGGTTCATTCAAATTGCTGCAAATGACAGGATTTCATTGTTTTTATGGCTGAAGAGTATTCCTTCATGTATCTATGTCACATTTTATTTATCTGTTCAATCTGTTGGTGGACACTTAGGTTGATTCCATAGCTTGACATTTGTGACTGGGTTTGCAATAAACATAGGAGCATATATATATCTCTTTGACATAATTATTTTCTTTTGCATATATAGCCAAGTGTGAAATTGCTGGATCATATGGTAGTCCTATTTTTAATTATTTGAGGAACTATATGGTTTTTCATAATGGCTGTACAAATTTACAGTCCCACCAACAGTGTATAAGGGTTCCCCTTTTTCCACATTCACACCAGAATTTGTTGGGGTGAGGAGATATTGCATTGTGGTTTTGATTTGTGTTTCTTTGATGATCAGTGATGTTAAGCATATTTTCGTATATCTGTTTTTCCATTTGTATGTATTTTTTTTAGAAATATCTATTCAGGTATTTTTACCCATGTTTTAATCAGATTATTATTTTGCTATTGAATTATGTGAGTTCCTTATATATTCTGGATATTAACCCCTTGTCAGATGCACAGTTTCCTTCACTTTAAGTCTATTTGTGTCCTTACAGGTGAAGTGAGTCTCTTGTAGACAACATATAGTTGGGCCTTGGTTTTTAATCGATTCAGCCACTGCGTGTCTTCTAATTGGGGGACATAATCCATTTATATTCAAGTTAATTATTGATAGGTAAGAACTTACTATTACCATTTAGATAATTATTTTCTAGTTGTTTTGTAGATTATTTCTTCCATTTTTCCTCTCTTACTCTCTTCTTTTGCGGTTGATTTTCTGTAGTGGTATGTTTTGACTCCTTGCTTTTTATTTTTATGTCTCTATTACAGATTTTTGCACTGTGGTTACCATGAGGCTCACAAAAAACATCCTATAGTTGTAGCAGGTTATTTTAACTGATGACAATTTAAATTTGATGACAAAAAAAGAAAAAAACTCTACCATTTACCTTATTTCTCCTCCTCCCATATTTTGAGTTGTTTTTGTTTGATTGTTTGGTATTAGGTTATTTTTACTTTAGTAGCTGTAGGGGTACAAGTAGTTTTAGGTTACATGGATGAATTGTACAGTGATGAAGTCTGAAATTTTAGTGTACCCATGATATGGTTTGGCTGTGTCCCCACACAAATCTCATCTTGAATTGTAGCTCCCATGATCCCAACATGTTATGGGAAGGACCCAATGGGAGGTAATTGAATCACGGGAGCAATTACCCCCATGCTGCTGTTCTCATGATAGTGAGTGAGTTCTTACAAGATCTGATGGTTTTGTAAGGGTTCTTTTCCTCTCTGCTCATTCTCTCTCCTGCTACCCTGTGAAGAGGTGCCTTCCACCATGATTATAAGTTTCCTGAGGCTTCCCCAGCCAGGCAGAACTGTGAGTCAACTAAACCTCTTTTCTTTATAAATTACCCAGTCTCTGGTGTTTCTCCATAGCAGTATGAGAACAAACTAACACAGTAAACTGGGACCACAGGTAGCCTGATGATGCCATAGAAAAGAAAAACCCATTTGCTGGAGGGGAAATTCAAGCCCACTGCAGAAATCTGCATAAGTAATGAGGAGCCAAATGCTAATCACCAAGACAATGTGGAAATTTTGTCCAGGATATGTCAGAGACTTTTGTGGCAGCCCCTCCCATGACAGGCCCTGAGGCCTAGGATAGAGAAATGGTTTCCTGGGCCAGGTCCAGGGCCCCCCTTTTGTATGCAGCATTGGGACTTGGTGCCCTGTGTCTCAGCCACTCCAGCTGTGGCTAAAAGGGGCCAAGGTACAGCTCAGACCATTGCTTCATAGGGTGCAAGCCCAAAATCTTGGCAGCTTCCACATGGAGTTGGGCCTGCAGGTGCACAGAAGACAAGAACTGAAGTTTGGGAACCTCTGCCTAGATTTCAGAGGATGTATGGAATGCCCAGATGTCCAGGCAGAAGTCTGCTGCAAGGGCAGAGCCCTCATGGAGAACCTCTGCTAGAACAGTGCAGAAGGGAAATGTGGGATCAGAGTGCCCACATTGGGGCACTGCCTAGTGAAGCTGTGAGAAGAGGGCCATTGTCCTCCAGACCGCAGAATGGTAGATCCACTGACAGCTTGTACTGTGTACCTGGAAAAGCTGCAGACACTCAACACCAGCCCATGAAGTCAGCCAGTAGGGGGGCTGTATCCTGCAAAGCCACAGGGGCAGAGCTGCCCAAGGCTGTAAAAGCCCACCTCTTGCATCAGCATGTCTTGGATGTGAGTCATGGAATCAAAGGAGAGAATTTTGGAACTTTAAGGTTTAATGACTGCCCAGTTGGATTCTGGACTTGCATGGGGCCTGTGGCCCCTTTGTTACGGCCAGTTCCTCCCATTTGGAGTGGGTGTATTTGCCCAATGCCTGTATCCCCATTGTATCTAGGAAGTAACTAACTTGGTTTTGATTTTGCAGGCTCATAGGCAGAAGAGACTTGCCTCGTCTCAGATGAGACCTTGGAGTTGGACTTCTGGGTTAATGCTGCAATGAGTTAAGACTTTGGGGGACTGTTGGAAGGGCACTATGGTGTTTTGAAATATGAGGACATGAGATTTGGGAGGGGCCAGGAGCAGAATAATGTGATTTGGTTGTGTCCCCACCCAAATTTCATCTTGAATTGTAGTTCTGATAATCCTCACATGTCATGGGAGGGACCCAGTGGGAGGTAATTGAATCATGAAGATGGTTACCTCATGCTGCTGTTCTCATGATAGTGATTGAGTTCTCATGAGATCTGATGGTTTTATACAGGGGCTTTTCCCTCTTTGCTCATTCTTCTCTCTCCTGCTTCCCTGTGAAGAGGTGCCTTCCACCATGATTGTAAGTTTCCTGAGGACTCCTCAGTCATGCATAACTGTGAGTCAATTAAACCTCTTTCTTTATAAATTAACTCGTCTCAGGTGTTTCTTCATAGCAGCATGAGAATGGACTAATACAACCCATCACCTAAGTAGTATACAATGTACTCAATATGTAGCTTTTTATCACTCACCACCTTCCACACTTTTCCCTTCTGAGTCTCCAATGTCTATTGTAACACTCTGTGGGCCTTTGTGTACCCATAGCTTAGCTTCCACTTATAAGTGAGAACGTGCTGTATTTGGGTTTTCATTCCTAAGTTGTTTCACTTAGAAAAATGGCCTCCAGCTTCATCCAAGTTGCTGCAAAAGACATTATTTCATTTTTTATGGCTGAGTAGTATTCCATGGTGTACCTATACCACATTTTCTTTATTCATTCATCAGTTAATGGGCACATATGTTGATTCCATACATTTACAATTGTGAATTGCACTGTGATAAACGTACATGTACAGGTGCATTTTTTATATAATGACTTCTTTTCCTTTGGGTAGATACCCAGTAGTGAGAAAGGAAAGTAGTGAGCTTGCTGAATCAAATGCTAGGCCAACTTTTAGTTCTTTGAGAAATCTCCATATTGTTTTCCACAGAGGTTGTACTAATTTACATTCCCACCAGCAGTGTAAGCAGTGTATAAGCATTACCTTTTCCCCACATCCACATTAATATCTATTATTTTTTGACTTTTTAATAATGACCATTCGGGCTGGGGTAATGTAGTATCTCACTGTGGTTTTAATTTGCATTTCCCTGATGATTGGTGATGTTGAGCATTTTTGCATATTTGTTGGCCATTTGTATGTCTTCTTTTGAGAGATAGCTATACATGTCCTTTGCCCACTTTTTGATGGGATTTTTTTTCTTGCTAATTTAAGTTCCTTGTAGGTTTCGAGTATTAGTCCTTTGTCAGATGCACAGTTTTCAAATATTTTGTCTTATTCTATGGGTTGTCTGTTTACTCTGATGATTATTTCTTTTGCTGCACAGAAACTTTTTAGTTTAATTAGGTCCCTTTTTTTGTTATTACATTTGCTTTTGATATATTACTTATAAATTCTTTGCCTAAGCCAATGTCCAGAAGAGTTTTTCCTCTAGATTTTTTTATAATTTGGGATATTAGATTTAAGACTTTAATCAATCTCAAGTTGGTTTTTGTGTATGGTGAGAGATACGGATCCAGTTTTATTCTGCTACATATGGCTTTTCAGTCTTCCCAGCCCCATTTATTGAATCAGGTATTCTTTTCTCAATTTATGTTTTTGTATGCTTTGTTAAGGATAAGTTGGTTGTAAGTATTTGGCTTTATTTCTGGGATTTTATTCTTTTCCATCGGTGTATATATCTACTTTTATACCAGCATCATGCTGTTGTGCTTACTGTAGCCTTCCTTGTATAATTTGAAGTCAGGTAATGTAATGCCTCCAGATTTTTTTGTTTTCTTAGGATTTCTTTGGCTATTCAGGCTATTTTTTGGTTCTATATGAATTTTAGAATTTTTTTTCTATTTCAATGAAAAAATAATGTTGACATTTTAATAGGAATTTGAATCAGCAGATTGCTTTGGGCAGTATGGTTATTTTCATGGTATGGATTCTTCCAATCCATAACCATGGGATATATTTCCATTGTTTGTGTCATCTTTGATTTCTTTCAGCAGTGTTTTGTAGTTCTCCTTGTGGAGATATTTCATCTCTTTTGTTAAGTATATTCCTAGATATTTTACTATTTTTTCGCAGCTGTTGTAAAAGAGATAGAGTTCTTGATTTGATTCTCAGCTTGGTCATTGTTGGTGTATAACAGTGCTGTTGATTTGTATACTTTGATTTTGAATAAATAAAAGGAATAAATAAATACTGAATTCATTTATCAAATCTGGGAGTCTTTTGGAAGAGTTTATAGAGAGTTTTCCAGGTATGTAATCATATCATCAGCAAACAGAGATAGCTTGACTTCCTCTTTTCCAATTTGGATACCCTTTATTTCTCTTGCCTGCTTGCTCTAGCTAGGACTTCCATTACTATACTAAACAGAGGTGGTAGAAGTGCGCATCCTTGTCTTGTTCCAATTCTTAGGTGGAGTGCTTTCTACTTTTCCACATTCACTATGATGTTGACTGTGGGTTTGTAACATATAGCTTTTATTATTTTGAAGCATCTTCCTTCTATGCTTAGTTTGTTGATGGCTTTTATCATAAAGGGATGCTGGATTTTATTAAATGCTTTTTCACATTCATTAAGATGATCATATGGCATTTGTTTTAATTCTGTTTATGTGATGAATAACATTTATTCACTTGACTATGTTAAACCATCCCTGAATCCCTGGGATGAAACCCAGTTGATCATGGTGAATTATCTTTTTCATGTGCTGTCAGATTAAGTTTACTAGTATTTTGTTGAAGGTTTTTGCATCTATGTTCATCAGAGATATTGGTCTGTAGTTTTCTTTTTTTGTTATATTATTTCATGGCTTTGGTATCGGGATAATACTGGCTTCATGGAATGAATTAGGGAAGATTCCTTCTCTCAATCTTTTGGAATAGTTTCAGTAGGATTGGTACTAATGTTCCTTTGAATGTATGATAGAATTCAGCTGTGAAGCTGTCCGACCCTGGGCTTTTCCTTGTTGGCATTTTTTTTATTACTGATTTAATCTCACTGCTTGTTATTGGTTTGTTCAGGATTTCTACTTCTTTCTGATGCAAGATAGGAGAGTTGTATGCTTCCAGAAATGTATCCATTTCCTCTAGATAGTCTAGTTTTGTGCATCGAGGTGTTCATATTATTCTCAAATGATCTTTTGTATTTCTGTGTTGTCAGTTGTAATGTCTCTATTTTCATTTCTAACAGGTTATTTGAACCTTCTCTCTTTTTTACTTGGTTAGCATTGTTAATGGTCTATCAATTTTGTTTATCTTTTAAAAGAACTGACTTTTTGTTTCATTGATCTTTTGTATTTGTTGTTTCCATTTCATTTAGTTCTGTTCTGGTCTTTGTTATTTCTTTTTCTTTGCTAGCTTTGGGTTTGGTTTGTTCTTATTTCTCTGGTTCCTTGAGGTGTGATGGTAGGTTGTCAATTTGTGATCTTTCAGACTTTTTGATGTGGCTTTTAACACTATAAACTTTCCTCTTAGCACTGCTTTTGCTATATCCCAGAGGTTTTGATAACTTGTGTCACTGTTATGCATTGCAAAGAATTTTTTAATTTCCATTTTGATTTCATTGTTAACCCAAAAATCATTCAGGAGCAGATTGTTTAATTTTCATGTATTTGTATAGTTTTGAGGGTTCCTTTTGGAATTGATTTATAGTTTTATTCCATTGTGGTCTGAGAATATACTTAATATGATTTTGAATTTTTAAAATTTATTAAGACTTGTTTTGTGGCCTATCATGTGGTCTATCTTGGACATTGTTCCACGTGCTGATGAGAAGAATGTCTTTTCTGCAGCTCTTGGGTAGAATCTTCTGTCACATTCTACTCAAGAATATTCTGTAAATATCTGTTCAGTCAATTTGTTCTAGAGTGCAGTTTAAGTCCAGTGGGGTTTTTTTTCTTTCTGCTTCAGTTATCTGTCTTGTCCTGTCAATGGCATATTAAAGTCCCCTATTATTGTGTTGCTGTCTATCTCTTTCTTTAGATCTAGCAGTAATAGTTTTATGAGTCTGCAAGCTGCAGAGTTAGGTGTATATATATTTAGAAGTGTGATATATTCTTGTTGGATTGATTCTTTTATTATTATATAACGATCTTCGTTTTTTTGTTTTGTTTTACTCTTGTTGCTTTAAAGTCTGTTTTATCTGATGTAAGAATAACTACTGCTCACTCTTGGTTTCCATTTGTTTGGAATATATTTTTCCACCCCTTTACCTTGAGTCTATAAGAATCCTTATGTGTTAAGTGTGTCTCTTTTTTATTATTATACTTTAAGTTCTGGGATACATGTGTAGAAGGTGGAGGTTTGTTACATAGGTATACACATGCCATGGTGGTTTGCTGCACCCATCAACCTGCCATCTACATTAGGTATTTCTCCTAATGCTATCCCTCCCCTACCCTCCCCACTCCCCAACAGGCCCCAGTATGTGATGTTCCCCTCCCTGTGTCCATGTGTTCTCATTGTGCAACTCCCACTTATGAGGAGAACATGTGGTGTTTGGTTTTCTGTTCTTGTGTTACTTTGCTGAGAATGATGGTTTCCAGCTTCCTCGTGCCCCTGCAAAGGACATGAACTCATCCTTTTTTATGGCTGCATAGTATTCCACGGTGTATATGTGTCACATTTTCTTTATCCAGTCTATCATTGATGGGCATTTGGGTTAGTTCCAAGTCTTTGCTATTGTGAACAGTTAAGTGTGTCTCTTGAGGACAGCAGATACTTGGTTTGTAAATTTTTATCCATTCTGCCAATCTGTATCTTTTAAGTGGAGCATTTAGACCATTTACTTTCAATGTTAATAGTGACATGTGCGGTACTGTTCCAGTCATCATGTTGATTGTTACCTAGTTACTTTGTTTTCTTCACTGTGTTATTGTTTTCTTTTCCTTGTGAATTTTATGCTTTCAAGAGGTTCTATTGTGTTGCATCTTGACCCATTGTTTCAAGATTTAGAACTCCTTTTAGCATTTATTTCAGACAAGCATTTGCTTGTCTGAAAAAGACTTTATTTCTCCTTCATTTAAGAAATTTAGTTTTGCTAGATACAAGATTCTTGTTGGACAGCTATTCTGTTTAAGGAGGCTAAAGATAGGACCCCAATCCCTTATGGCTTGTAAGGTTTCTAATGAGAAATCTGATGTTAGTCTGATAGGTTTTTCTTTATAGATGACCTGATGCTTTTGTCTCACTGCTCTAAGAATTCTTTTCTTCACATTGACTTTAGATAGTATGATGACAATATTCCTTGGTGATGTTCTTTTTGCAATGAATCTCCCAGGAGTTCTTTGAGCTTCATGTATTTGGAGATCTAAATCTCTAGAAAGTCCAGGTAAGTTTTTCTCAATAATTCCCTTGAATATGTTTTCCAAACATTTTGCTTTTTCTTCTCCCTCAGGGACACCAGTGATTCTTAGGGGTGGCCTTTTGACATAACCCCATATTTCTTGGAGACCTCATTTATTTAATTCTTTTTTCTTTATTTTTGTCTGATTGGGTTATTTCAAAAGCCTTGTCTTAGAGCTCTGAAATTCTTTCTTCTACTTGGTCTAGTCTATTGTTAAAACTTTCCACTGTATTTTGTAATTTCCTAAATGTGTCTTTCATTTCCAGAAATTCTGATTGGTTTTTCTTTAAAATATCTATCGCTTTAGAAAATGTTTCATTCATATCCTGAATTGATTTTTTAAAATTTCTTTATGTTGGTTTTCACTTTTCTGTTGTATTTCCTTGAGCAACCTAATAATCAAGCTCTTGAATCCTTTCCTGGTATTTCAAAGATTTCATCCTGGTTTGGATCCATTGCTGGATAGCTAGGGTAATCTTTTAGGGGGTGTTATAGAATCCTGCTTTTTCATATTGCCAGAATTATTTTTCTGGTTTCTTATCATTTCGGTAGATTATCTCTTGTAATTATTTTAATATTTTTGATTCAACTGTGTTATTTTTCCTCCCTTGAGGATGTGACTTTAATATTTATAGTTTATTGTAACCTAATTTGGCTCTGGGTGCTTTCAGGGATGAAGACTTCGCATAAGTTCCTTGGTTACAGAGAGTCTTTGTATGATGGCCTTCTCAGATGCTGGTTGTAGTAGCAATCTGCTCAGTGTGTGAGCAGGCTGGGAATGGCAAAGGTCTCATGAAGCTTATCTCATGCCCCACTGGTGTGCACTTTTTAATTTATTTATATTTTCCTCAGTGTTTTTTCACTGGGTTGAACAGTTCAGGCTTCAGGCCAGTAGGAGGTGTCCACAAGTGACAAACAGCTGTGGCTAAAGCAGGTGGGTAAATGCAATACCCAATAGTAGGCAGTACTCCCAGCCTTTACAGAGGAGGCTGGGGGAGCTTCTCTAAAAGAGGCTGGAAGAGAATCCTGCTTCTCCTCTGGGTCTAGCCACCTAGTGAGGCTGCCACACTCCAGGGTAGTGCTGGGGAATGTCTGCAAGGGATCCAATGATGTGACCTGTTGTCAAGTCTCCCAGCAGGCGGTACCAGCACCAGCTCAGTGAGACACATTGAGGTCTTTACAGGGGGAAGGAAAGGAGACACCTCAGCTCCTCTATCAGGTCAAAAGGAAAGTGATTTACCTCCCAGTCATACTCCTGACACAGTGTTCCAGCTATTTGAATCAGACAGGCACTTCTTTTCATCTGCAGGAATGCTGATGTCCTGTGTAGAATGGGATCATGATTCTACCCCTCGTACAAGCCTGAACCTGGAGGACACTTCTCCTGTGGGGATGCAGTGTTCTAGAAAGTCTGTCTACAGGTGCGGTGCACTCATGCCAAACTTCCTTGGGAGAAGCCCCAGTTGTGACTGCAGTGATGGGGATGTGGGAGGAGAAGAAATTTTCTTCTCCAAGACCCTTCACAAGCGCCAGGGCTGCCTGACTGTTGAGGTAGAGCTGCAGACTTTCCTCACTGAGCCCAGCACTACACCTTTAGCTCTGCTGAAAGAAACATCCCACAAGCAGAAAATTCTGGGACTCAAGTCCTGCCACCTGGATTCTTCTGTCCCATGGAATGCTCCTTTCATGTGGTGCACTCCCGTTTCCCCTAGGAGTAGGAGTCCCTGAGTCCCTGCCAGATACTGTGAATCCTGCTTCTCCTCTGGGTATAGCTACCCCAGACCAGTGCTGGGGAATGCCTGCAAGGGATCCAGTGATGTGACCTGTCCTCAAGTCTCCCAGCAGTGGGTACCAGCACCAGCTCTGATGAGGGTGGCAGAGGGGTGATATAGATTCTGTGAGATTTCCTTGGTTACAAATAGCCTTAGTGTGTTGGTTTTCTCAAATGCCAGTTGTAGTCATAATGAACTGGTCACATGGACACTCAGGACCTCCTGTAGCCAGCGTAATACAGGCAATGGTAATAGCGGAAGTCACACATAAGTTTTCTCTTTCCTGGGCATTGTGTTATTCTACCTGCAGAAGTTACAATAGACTGTTGGCTGGCCTCCAGCCAGGAGGTGGTGCTTGCAAAAGAGTGCCAACTGCAGTGGTAGCTAGCAGTGGGATTTGTGCTTGCCTTGTTACCTAGGGGAAGTACTCTGATGTCTCAGGGAATGGGCAAGGACATGGAGCTCCCAAAAGTTTCTGTCCTTTGTGTTAAGCTACCAGAGGGGGTGGAGGAGAAAAGCCAGGTAGGGACTGGGTCAGGAAAGTCCATATTCTGGCTCTTCACATGCAGGCACAAGCAGCAGCCCCAGTGGGGAGTTGAGGGCAGTTCTCTGGCTATTGGGGTAGTGTTCCAGGGAGAAGCACAGCTGTCTCTGCTGCACAGAAAAGTCCACAGGGAGTGAGGAGTTGCAGGTGTCAGTAAGCCTCTAGCTCCCATGCACTTGGCAAGGCAGTTCTCACACCAGCAGTGTCCCACTAGCAGCAGCTAGCTAGGTTCCAGGCAGTCTGTGCTCAGAACTCAAAACTGCCACAGGCCACAAGCCTTCCCCACTGAGGCAGAAACCATGGCTTTCAGGCCACACCACTACCAGTCTTCCCATGAAGCAGGGATATGCAGTTCCTGCCTCTGTGACTACAGCACACATCCCACTCTCCCCTGAGTTCTGGACAAGAGCGGTTAACCCCACTTGATATTATATCATGAATCTCAGCTGGGAGCTTTTCTCAACCTGCGACTGCTGCCTGAGTTAGCTGGCAGATTTCTGTGAGATCCCCTGTGAGGCAGGATCAGAAATGGCATCCCTCTGTCTTCACTGGAGTCTGGGAGTGCGTACAAAGCACATCCTGATGCCACTCCTTCTTATATACTCCCCACCACTCACCAAATTAGTTCCAACACTGGGTAGGATTAAGGCCTTCCCCCACTGCCTAGATTGCCAGGTTTCCCAGTGGGAGCATATATGCTGGAGGCCGTTCCTCCTCCCTCTCACTCTGAAGACTCACAGTTTTCCACCTGGCTCATGGTGTAGGCTTCAGCCCACCAGTTCTTTCAAAGGGTCTGTGATTTCTTTCAGTTTTTTCTTTTTTTTTTTTTTTTTTGAGATGGAGTCTCACTCTGTTGCCCAGGCTGGAGTGCAGTGGCGCCATCTCAGCTCACTGCAAGCTCCACCTCCCGGGTTCACACCATTCTCCTGCCTCAGCCTCCTGAGTAGCTGGGACTACAGGCGCCCAATTTTCTTAAGTTCCTGTAGTGCTTCTTGGAAAAAATTTCACGGCATGAGTGGACACGCTATTTTGTCTTTACAGTGGGAGATGCATACAATGTCTCCAAACTGCCTTCTTAGAAATTTTTTTTTTACTTCTGATGTCATAATTTACATGTTTTATATTGCCTATCTCTTAATAAATTATTGTACTTATTACTATTTTAATAGCTTTGTCTTTTAACCTTCATACTAAAACTATAAATGATTTACACACCACAATTACATTTAGAGTATTCAAAATTTAACTCCCTATTTATTTTCCCAGTGACTTACATACTTTCAGATGTTTTCATGTTACTTATCAGCACTCTTTTCTTTCATCTTGAAGTAATCCCTTTAGCATTTCTTGTAATACAAGTCTGGTGGTGATCAATTTCCTCAGTTTTTTGTGTTTGTTTGTTTTGTCTGGAAAAGTCTTTCTCTCTCCTTCATTTCTTTACTGAATACAGTATTTTTGGTTGGCAGAGGTTTTTTGTTTTTTGTTTTTCCCAGCCCCACCACCAGCACTTTGACTATATCATCTCACTGTCTCCTGGCCTGTAAGGTTTTCCACTGAGAAGTATGCTGTTAAACATATTGAGACTTCCTTATATGTTATTTGCTTCTTTTGTCTTGCTGCTTTCAGGATCCTCTCTTTGTCTTTGATCTTTGATAGTTTGATGATAACATGTCATGAAGCAGTCTTATTTGGATTGAATCTGACTGAATACCTTTGACTTTCCTGTACTTGGGTATTTATATATTTCTCTGTATTTGCAAAGTTTTCTGGTTTTCTGTTATTTCTTTAAATAAACTTTCTACCTCTTTCTCATTGCCTACTCTCTCATACAGTGATGACCCATATATTTGTTCTTTTGTTGTTATCCCATAAATCCCATAAGCGTTCTTCATTCCTTTTCATTATTTTTTCTCCTTTGAGTGTATATTTTTTATTAACCTGTCTTTGAGCTCTCATATTTTGTTCTCCTGCTTGATCAGTTCTGCTGTTACGCTCTCTATTGCATTTTAAAATTTCATTGTATTTTTCAACTCTGGGATTTCTGTTTGATTTTTAAAACTATTTCAATCTCTGCTAAATGTCTCTGATAAATTTCAGAATTACTTCTCTGTATTTGGTTGATACTTTTTGAGCTTCCTTAACCCTTTCCCATTTAGAAAAAAAAAAAAGTGCAGCTCACTGCCAGCACTCACTAAATTTTATGTAAATACGCTCTTTGAAGTTGAGGCAAATCTGATTTTCAATGTGAAAATAAAATATAAAAACTGTTCCTACAGTTATTTCTAAACAGAACTAACATCAGAATCAACTGAATCATCAAAATTGTCTATTTTGAAAAAATCAGATTCATCAAATGAATCTTCAGCCAACAACTGTTTGAGAATGATGTTAACATAATGCATAGGAATGTTACATTTTCTAGGACTTGACATTTTCAGTGATCGAGAATTACTATATTTTGTAAATGGAAATGCCACTACTAAAAACAGAATGCTATAAATAGAATAATGTCTTTTGTTTGCAAAGTCGATATACTAGAGCAACGCAAAAATAATAATAAAAGTGAGCTACTTCGTGGCAAAGTTATCTCGGGGTAAACACTACAGCACAAGCACCACTGGTGAGTATTCTCAGGGGAAATGGGAAAACGGTTACAACAGCTGCTTTGAATTGTTTGTATTCTTCCATCTCCACTTTCTTAGAGTCAGTAACTAGCACCTCATTTTGTGTTTGACAATGTCATGTTTCTCTCATTAATCTTGATCCTTGTGGCCATATATTGATGTCTGTGCATTGATGTTGGTACCCAATCCAGTCTTTATGGTCTGGCTTTTGGAGTTTCCTTCAGCAGGAAGCCTGTCCAGAAATTCCAGGCAGGTTGACTTGGAGAACCTTAAGCCCATGACTGCTTCAAGCATTAAAGCCCTAGTGGTCCCCCAGGACCAGGACTACTGCAGCTGGAACCCTTTAGACACCAAGGCTGAAACAGCACTGGGTCACATTCAAAGCCCATGACCACAGAGACCTGCATAGCACTGAGGCATGCCCAAGACCCATGACTTTTGCATCCTGCCCACCACTGAGGTTTATTCAGTGCCCAAGGCTGCTATGGTCAGCAGGTAGTGATGTGGGCCAGATCTCACACCATCTTCCCAGGGGCATGGGTTTCCCTCTGGCACCAATGCAGTTAACAGGATCTGCCCATTGGTACCAACCTGGTATCAGGGGCTATGAGGTTCTGCCCAGTGCCGAGTTTTATTGTGGCAATCCCAGTACTGAGTTCCAAGACAAAGCCCCATACTTTTCCCAAAAGTGAGTACTCTCTCTGCACTACACTGCAGTGCCTGGAAAAGGGGTGACCTGAGCAATTCCATGGCCGCTGAGGCTGACAAAGTAGGGTTACATCCAAAGCCCACAACTGCCAAGATCAGCACAGCACTGAGGCATGTCTAAGGCCCATAGGTGCTATAGTCTGCCTGCCACTGAGATTTATTCAGAGCCCAAGGCCATTGTAGTCAACCAGCAGTGATATGAGCTAGAACATGAGTACATCTCACTTGGACCAGAGGCCCCTGTTTGGCACCAGATGGTACCAGAATAGGTCAAGAGGTTCCCTCTGTGGGTACTAGCCTAGTGTCAGAGACCAAAGGGTTGTCCTCAGTGCTGGGGTTTACTGAGGCAGGCACATTACTGTGTTGCAAGGTAAAGTCCTGTGCTTACTTCCTTCTCCTTCCCCCAAGTGGACCATGTCTTTCTATGCTGTTCTCCCTGGGGTTGTAGAAGGGGTAACGTGGGTAACGTAAAACTGTCCTTCCTACCCATTTCACTACATGTTTTCTTATTATTATGCTAAAAATGTACTGTGACCTCTCACCTGTTTCCTGAGCTCTTGTGAAGGTTTTCTTTGTGTGTGAACAGTTCTTCAAACTGATGTTTCTGTGGAGGAATTATCCCTGGAGAGTTCTACCCACCATCTTGTTTCATTGCTTCTCAAGATTTTAATTTTTACAAAATTCAATTTATTCTTTTCTTCTTTTTGCTGCTTGTGCTTTTGGTATATTTAAAAATCCATTGCCAAATCCAAGGTTATGAAGATTTGCCACTATGTTTTCTTCTAAAAGCTTCATGTTTTTTCGTCCTTATGTTCAGGCTGCTGGTCCACTGTGAGTTCATTATTGCACATGGTGTGAAATAAGGGTACACGTTTATTTTTCGCATGTGATAATGCAGTTTTCTCAGAACCATTTGTTGCAGAGACTGTGCTTTCTCCACTGAATGGTCCTGACACAGTTGTCAAAACTCATCTTACCTTATATGTGAGGGTTTATTTGGGGTTATTTATTCTATTCCATTAGTCTGTATGTCTGTCTTTATGCTAGTATCACCCTGTTTTGACTTCTGCAACTTTGTAGTAATTTTTGAAATCAGGAAGTGCAAAACCTTCAACTTTGTTCTTTTTCAAGGTGGTTTTGGCTATTTAGGGCCCCTTGAGATTCCATATAAATTTTAGAATGAATTCTCCTATTTCTACAGAAACAAATTGAGATTTTGGTAGAAATTACATTAAATCTGTGGATCGTGTGGGTAGTATTGTCATTTTGACAATATTAAGACTTCCAATCTATGAGCACAGTATGTCATCCCATTTATTCTGGTCTTCTTTAATTTTTTCAGGCAAGTTTTGTGGATTTCAGTGTGTAAGTCTTTCACCTCTTTGGTTAAATTTATTCCTATGTATTTTATTCCTTTAGATGCTATTATGAATGGAACTGTTTTATTAATTTTTTTGATTGTTCTTTACTGGTGTCTACCATCACAACTGTTTTTTGTATGTTGATATTGTATCTTGCAACTTTGCTGAATTCATTTGTTAGCCCTAGTTGTATGTGTGTGTATTTTTTTTGAGATTTTAAAAATATATAGGCTCATGTCATCTGTGAATAGAGATAGTCTGACTTCTTCAATTCCAATCTGAATGCCATTTGTCTCTTCTTGCCTAATTGCTCTGATCATAACCTCCAGTATAATGTTAAACAGCAGTGATGAAAATGAGCTTACCTGTTTTGTTCCTGATCTTAGAAGAAAGTTTTTAGTCTTTTGCTATTATGTATATTGTTTGCTATGGATTTGTCATAAATATGCTTTATTATGTTGAGGATATTCCCTTCTATTCCTAGTTTACTGAGTGTTTTTATGACGAAGGGGTGTTGGATTTTGTCAAATACTTTTCCTGATCATATAGTTTTCATAAATGATCATGTGGTTTTTCTCCCCCGCATTCTATTAACGTGACATATTACATTGACTGATTTTCTTAAGTTGACTCACTCTTGCATTCTTGGGATAAGTCACACTTGGTCGTGTTATGCTATGCTTTTACTATGCTTTTGAATTTGGTTTGCTCATATTTTGTTAAACATTTTTGCCTCTATATTCTAAGGGATATTTGTCTGCAGTTTTCTTCCTTCTGGTATGTTTGTCTAGATTTGGTATCAGGTAATATTGGCCTCATAAAATAAGTTTGGAAGTGTTGCCCTCTGATTTTTTTAGAGGAGTTTGGGAAGAGAGTTGGTGTTAATTCTGCTTTAAATATTTGGTAGAATTTAGTAAAGCTATTTGGTTGTGGGCTTTTCATTATTGGAAGGTTTTTGTTTACTGATTCAATCTCTTTCCTAGTTACAGATCTGTTCAGATTTTCTACTTCTTCTTCAGTCAGTTTTGGTAATTTGTATGTTTCTAAGAAATTATCCATTTTGTCTTGGCTATCTAAATTTTTTGGCATACAATTGTTTAGAGTATTCTCTCGTAATCATTTTCATTTCTGTAACAACAGTAGTAATGGCCCCACATTTATGATTTATTTATGACTGTCTATGACTATTTATGATTTTGGACTTTTTTTAGTCTAGCTAAATTTTTTTTGTTTTGTTTTGAGCTGGAATGTCTCACTCTGTTGCCCAGCCTGGAGTGAAGTGGCATGATCTCGGCTCGCTGCAACCTCCACCTCCTGGGTTCAAGCAATTCTCCTGCCACAGCCTCCCGAATAGCTGGGATTACAGGTGTGTGCCACCAAGCCTGGCTAATTTTTATATTTTTAGTAGAGATGGGGTTTCATCACGTTGGCCAGGCTGGTCTCGAACTCCTGATCTCAAGTGATCCGCCCGCCTTGGCTCCCAAAGTGCTGGGATTATAGTCATGAGCAACTGTGCCTGGCTTGATATTTTTAAAGAACCAACTTTTGGGCCAGGCACAGTGGCTCACGCCTGTAATCCCAGCACTTTGGGAGGCCGAGGCAGGGGGATCACAAGGTCAGGAGTTCAAGACCAGACTGCCCAACATGGTGAAACCCCGTCTCTACCAAAAATACAAAAATTAGCCTGGTGTGGTGGCGCGTGCCTGTAATCCCAGCTACTCAGAAGGCTGAGGCAGGAGAATCACTTGAATCTAGGAGGTCGAGGTTGCAGTGAGCTGAGATTGTGCCACTGCACTCCAGCCTGGGTGACAGAGCAAGACTCCGTCTCAAAAAAAAAAAAAAAAAAAAAAAAAGAACCAACTTTTGATGTTATTAGTTCTATTGTTTTTTTCTATTCTCTATTTTATTTTTCTCTGCCGTAATTTTTATTAATTACTTCCTTCTACTTTTAGGTTTTAGGTTTACATTGCTCTTCTTTTTCTAGTTCCTTAAGGTGTAAAGTTAGATTACTGGTTTGAGATTTTTCTTTTGTAATGTTGATGTTTACTGCTATAGATCTGTGTGTAAGAAGTGCTTTCACCACATTCTATAAGTTTTGGTATGTTGTATTTTTATTTTTATTTGTCTCAAAATATTTGCTAAATTATCTTGTGATTTCTTATTTGGTCCATGGTTGTTTAAGAGCATTGTTTAATTTCCATGTATTTTTGAAATACCAGGCCGGGTGCGGTGGCTCACGCCTGTAATCCCAGCACTTTGGGAGGCCAAGGCAGGTGGGTCACTTGAGGTCAGGAGTTCAAGACTAGCCTGGCCAACATGGTGAAACCCTGTCTCCACTAAAAATACAAAATTAGCAGGGTGTGGTGGCCCACGCCTGTAATCCCAGCTACTCGGGAGGCTGAGGCAGGAGAAGTGATTTAACCCAGGAGGCAGAGGCTGCAGTGAGCCAAGATTGTGCCACTGCACTCCAGCTTGGGTGACAGAGTGAAAATCTGAGAAGAAAGAAGAAAGAAGAAAGGAAGAAGAAGAAGAAAGAAGAAGAAGAAGAGGAGGAGGAGTAGGAGAAGAAAAAGAAAGAAAGAAAGAAAGAAAGAAAGAAAGAAAGAAAGAAAGAAAGAAAGAAAGAAAGAAAGAAGAGGAGGAAGAGGAAGAAGAAGAAACAATTCCAGTTTTTGTTTTTTTGTTTTTTTTTTGAGATGGGGTCTCACTCTGTCACCCAGGCTGGAGTGCGGTGGCACGATCTGGCTCACTGCAAGCTCCGCCTCCCGGGTTCACGCCATTCTCCTGCCTCAGCCTCCTGAGTAGCTGGGACTACAGGCGCCCGCCACCACGCCCAGCTAATTTTTTGTATTTTTAGTAGACACGGGGTTTCACCATGTTAGCCAGGATGGTCTCGATCTCCTGACCTCACGATCCACCCGCCTCGGCCTCCCAAAGTGCTGGGATTACAGGCATGAGCCACTGCGCCCGGCCTACAATTCCAGTTTTTATTCTAATATTGATTTCTAGCTTCATTCCATAGTAGTCAGAGAAGAGACTTCATATAATGTCAATCTTTTTAAACTTGGTGAGGCTTGTTTCGTGACTTAGTATATAGACTATCCCGGAGAATGTTCCATGTGCATTTGTTAGGAATGTGCATTTGGTTGTTGTTCGTCTTCTACTTCTTATTCGTCTCTGTCTATAAGTTGTACCCATTATTGAAAGTGGTCCCTCTTTCTTCTCTTTTTAATACTCACACATATAAGGCATATTTAAATGACCCCCAAAACAATGGAACATCCCTCAAGAAAATCTTTCAGCATCCTTACAGCTGGAGGTATCCCCTTCACCCATTTCCAGGCATATTTCACACTTCCTCTCCTGCCACTCACCATCCAGCCCCTCCTGCTCTCTACAACCCCACATCTCTCAGGATGGATGATACTCTGCAGCCTGCAGGTAAGGGCTGCAGCTTCACCTGACTAACGCTTCTTAGACTCAGGGAGATAGCAGGGGTAGATCCTGCAACAACAGAACACAGCTGAAGTTCATCACATTGGTGAAAAAGTGTAAGTTTTCTGGAAATCTAGAATGTTTAACGTATTAGGAGTGAAGTCAAAATAACCTTCGTGGTATACAGATAGTGCAGATTTCATCCTGCTGCCATCCCACCATCTCTGCTCCCCAAATCTCTGACATGTGAGTTGATTTACAGGACTTGATCTCCCCACTGATGCTCACACCCAGCATCCAGGGGAGGGCCTGGTCCACAATCCACACTCAACAAAGATCAGGTTAAAGAGTGAATGTCAGGGAAGTGTGGAAGGGGGGCCAGGTTCCCAGGGCCATTCAGCCTGCTCCTTGTCATGGACATAGACTTATACCTAGGCTCAACATCATCATAAGAATTCAATGTGGGCTTTTCCCAGGAAGTCATCACCGCCACAGGCCACAGACAACGTTCTAAGATCTATGCCAGAGCTGGTACAGCTGGTGATCAGAAAAGCTGAGAGAAATTGCCCAACTACTCTATAAATAATGGTGTGTGATTCAGACTTGCCAGTGATAGAAAAAAAGAAATGACCCCCTCCCTGAGAACCTTTCAAAAATACCAGAAGATCATAGCAAGCAAAGAGCAGTTTCTTAACAAAATCAATCTTTCAATGTATCATTTCACAGTTAGGACACAAAAAGCACAAACACAACATTCTCAATAGAAAATAAAAACACTTCAGCAGATCACACACTTTCCAATGTGTTTCTTTGCCCCAGCATTTCTAGGAAGTCGTTCTGCTGATCCTCTGCCAAGTCTGCTAAGCAAATGGCAGCGTCAGCACTCTGCTAAGTGGGTAATTCGCTCTCAGGATTCCAGTTCATGGTGGTGGTTATTTGGGGCTGACTCACCCTGTTCTACCTTTCAGGATACTGGTGAGCACTGCCAGCGTTCTCTCCTGGGCAGCTGGACGCATCCTTCTCAGCACATTTGTTTCTATTCTCCATCCTAAGGTCAGCTCTCCCCACCCAATACCTTGCACATACACCCCTGGCCTCAAGTGGAGCTGCCTTCCAGTCTCTGCAAGCTGAAGGGCAGCTTTCCTTTACTTCCAGAACCATAACCACCTATCTTAGATTCCCACTACGGCCCCAACAAATCACCACAAACTTAGTGGCTTAGACAACACAAATATTTTCTTGCAGTTCTGTAAGTCAGAAGTCTGACGTGGACCTCACTGGACTAACATCAAGGTATCCACAGGCTGTGTTCCTTTTTGGAGACCCTAGGGGAGGATAATTTGCTGACACATTCAGGTTGTTGGCAGAATTCATTTCCTTGTAGTTGTAAGACTGAGACCCCTGTTTTCTCTCTGCCTATCGGCTCAGCCTTCCCAACTTCTAGGGGCCATGTGCATGCCTTGGCAGCTTTCTCTACCTTCCAAGCCAGCAACAGGGTGAGGCTCTCTCAAGCTTTGAATTTCTCCTCCTTCTGACTCATCTCTCTGACCCAGCTGGGAAAGTTATCCTATCTTAGGGACTCACATGATGACACTGGGCTCACCTGGACAACCCAGGATGCTCTCCCTATCTCAAGGCCAATACCTTTAGTCACATCTGCAAAGCCCTTTTTCCCATGTGAAGTAACATATTTATACATCCCACAGATTTAAGTATGGACATACTGGGGGGGCGTGATTCTGCTAACCACACCATCTCTGTTCTCCCCACTATTTCCACACACAGATGCTGTCCTGTGATATGTTGAACTGCTTGTCTGTCCATCTCATGTAACATGAAAGTCAAACTTTCTCAAGGTCAAAAACAGTATCACCATTTCCAAAGATCCATTCAGTGAATATGAGTTGATGCAAAGTTGGAATCTTCAGAACACCCTCGGGCACATGGCTACAGGAGAAATGGAGCGGGTGGGCTGGATGAGCTGGTGAGAGCATGCCCCCAGGAGGGAATGTCCACTGCTCAGCCATGGCTGCCATTTGAGAATGGGGCCTGAGGTAATCAGAGTCCTGACTGTTCAGGAAAATCAGAAACCTGGATTACAAACAAAACCTCTCAATTTTAAGCATCAGCCACTAATTCAAATGTTAACACTGATCATGTTAAGTAAACACCTGAGGATCTTGCCCAGCACGTGGTCCTCCAGCGTGACGTCTCTGCCCTGGGAGATTTCTTATTTACCAGGAGCCCAGTGCCTCCTTCACAGGCCTGCAGATTAAATCTGATCTTGGTGACCATCATTTTACCCCCTCCCTCAGAGGATCCGATCCTGGGGCAGAAGGCTTTCCCCTGCCTCCTCTCCAGCTTCACCTGCTGCCCTACCTTCCTCCATCTCCCATTTCCCCCACTTCCAGCAGTTCCCTTTCACCCCACTGTGTGCACTCTTTAAGCCTTGGCCCTGCTGGTTTCCACCCCTGGAATGTCCTCTCCCATTGCCAGCCTGGTGAATCTGCCTTCATGGAGAGCCCCCTCCTCTGTGAAGCCTTCCTCCATTTCTCCAGGGGACTCTGGGCATCTTCCTCTAAGCCAGTATCTTCCCCATAATGGGCTGCCACCGTGCATGATAGATGTTCATGGATTCAACCAAATGTTTACTTACCACCTACTATGTACTAACAGCCTCTCAATCCTGAAAACATGGCAGTGAGCAAGACACACATGGGCTCAGCCCTCATCAAGACAGTGATGCCAGCTATGAAGGGAACCAAATTGGGTGAAACGGTGGAGAGTAGGGTAGGCTTGAAAAAGGAGGTCCCAGAGGGGGTTTCTGGAGAGGTAACTCTCCCACTAGAATGATGGGAAAGAGTTGACACCCAACTGGCTGTGGGAAGAGCTTTCCAAGCAGAAGGAAAAGCAAGTGCAAAGGTCCTGAAGTAAAGAAAAAGGAAGATAATCACAGAGGCAGAGCAGGTTGGGGGTGGAGAAAGTCAAGCATATGACGCTGAGGAAATGAAGACAGAGGAGCGTGTAGGGCTTCACAGACCAAAGTGAGGGGGTTAACTGCTGATGTGGATTCTCCCCACAACCCCCACCTGCTGGGGGACTCATGAGTGCTGAAAGAGAGCACGCCCAAATCACTTGAAGGGTGGACCGCAGGGCTGTGGGGTTTGGGCCCTTTCTCCACCGTGGGACAGACTTACAGCACAGGCGAGTGCTCCCTGCATCTGGACACAGCTGTGGGGCTGTGGTCGCCCCATCTTAGGCCTTGTTTCTAGGAGACGTTCCCACCAGAGAGTGTCTCTCTTCATCTTCCCCAGGTGATTCAGGAGCTCCGGGTGTCATTAGGTTGCATTGCTCATTCCCAGATCGAGCGGAAATCCCAGCCTGGCGTCTCCCACCAGCGCTCACATGCGTATCTACAGCTCATACCTTGGGACGTCTGGGCGTGACGTCAGCTTCCGAGTTCACGAATCAGACAATTAGATTAAAAATTCAAATTCCACTTGGAACTCCCAGACCTCCGAAGCTCGGCGTGTTCTGCACTCAGTGGCCACAGAGCCCGGGTCCTGGCGCGGATGCGCTGGGGCTGAACTCCTACTCCTGACAGCGCCGTCCAGAGAGGTGCGGCCCGCGGCGGGGCTGGGGGAGCTGGGGACCCGCGGGCCCAGAGGAGGCGCAGGACGAGGGGGGCCGAGCCCCACCAGGACCGTCCCGGAGGCCTGAACGCAGTGTCTGGTGAGCCTGAGGAGGTCAAGACCCGGGCCGCGTCCCCGTCTCCTCGTCCCCAGTTCCCAGTGTGGGGCCTCAGGGCACAGACTCCACAGCTGCTGAGGGCCTCGCCCCCTCCTTCCGGGACCTCCCGAGTTTCACTCAGGAGCCCCCACACCCACAGCTAAGACGCTGGGACCGCTACAAGGACTCTTGGTCTATGAAGGGGCCTGTGGCCCAGGTGTGGTTGGAAGCCCCTTACCCTGGCTCTGTGATTGGTGCAGGGCTGGTCACGTGGCCCGAGCAAGTCCAATCGGAGTGAGCATCAGGATTTGTTCCCTGGCCAATGGGAAAGGTTGTTACACTTCCACAGGCTGTGCTCTGGCTTTGTGATTGGTGCAGAGCTGGCTACATGGCCGGAGCAAGTCCAATCAGAGTGTCAGGTGGCTGTGCCCTGGGCCTATGATTGGTACAGACCTGGTCACATGACTCTGCCAGTCCAATCAGAGTGCATGCCAGGACCTGCCCCAGGGCTGGCGGGAGAGCTACGGAGCTGAGAGGAAGCCAGGAAGCAGCTGCAGCCATCTTACTCCTTTGTAGGGGGAGCCTGCCAGGTAGAGGTCCCTGATTGGGGCATTAGCAGGGCCAAAGCCGCTGAAGGCCCAGATATGAGACAGAAAAAAAGATCACTGGAGCCCTGGATCCAGTCGAGCCTGCAGCCAGGTCTGTGCTGCAGCGTTTCCAGGGCCAGGTCCCCTCCCCGCTTTTATTTCCTTGAGCTCATTTGAGCGTTTCTTGGCTTTTGGGCTTCCTAGCCCAAGGAGTCCTCATCCACACAGAGCCGGATCAGAATCCGGAACCCCAGAACCTGGATCACTCCCCTTCCTTGCTGCGCGGTCCTGACCTGGGCCCGTGGCCTCAATTTCCCTGCTGTGAAAACCCGGAGGGCGCGGGCGTTGGGATCGCGAGGGGCCTCAAGGCAGCATGGGGGGGGGGCACCGGGCAGACCCCGCCTGGACGCCAGCCCCGAGCCCTCAGAGCCCGCTGTCCCCGCGTCTGCCCGTGCGGGACAGAGAAACAGGGTCAGGCCGGAGAAGGGCCGCGCCAGCCGGGCAGGAGTCCACAGAGGGGCCGCAGCACTTGCCACCCGGGCAGCAGCGGGGCTCCCCGAGCCAGGCCTCTGGACGACCCCTGGTCGGAGGGGGAGTGGCTCGGGCTCGCTTCCGAGGGTCCTGGCCAGCGGAAGGAGGGGCTCAGGGACGGGCGGGGAGATGCCGTCGCGGTCCCGGTCCTGGTCCCGGTCCCGGTGAGGACAGCGGCCGGCTCTTCCCGTGACCCGGAGGGCCCTGTCGGAAGCAGCTGGAGGACCCGGAGTTCCCCAGAGTTTCCTACCAGCCTTCGTCTCTACCCGCCCCTCGCGCCGCAGTAGAGGGAAGGGTGCGTTCCGCTGGCGGCAGCATATGAGTATCCATGAGCCCCCGTGCCTGGGTGACACTGGCAGTGTCCACATGTAGCACATAGGTAATAATCATGTCAGCAGCCTGCGTGTGTGACACCTATAAGTACAGGTGCAGGTGGCACAAACATGGGTGATGCAGATACACCCAGGCAGCGCCACACACAGCACCATGCAGGTCATACAAGGAAGGAATCCGCAGACTCCTCCCACGAGCAGCGGACAGACGGGAGCATGCGGGAATGGTTTAATACACAGAGCAGCAGGCCCAGGTAATAGGAGGTGGCACACACAGGTTGTTTACAGGCAAACGCACAGAAGTAGCCTGCAGCAGAACGCACACACACGACATATCAGGTAAAATACAAGACTCACGTGGCAACACAAATGACCACCAGCAAACAGATGACAGGCACAAGTGACACAAGATGCTGACACACTTAGGTAACATGAAGGCACCATGGACACAGGAAATACAGACAGTGCATGCCAGCAGCCTGCACGGTCATAACAACACACGCGAGCAGCCTGCACGGTTATAATAACACACGTGAGCAACCATTCACTCCCTGGGTGAGTGAATGTGTAGGTTGCATGTAGATGGCATGCAGTTAATATACACATAATCCATGGAACAGCCCTTAAAGAAATGCAGCCAGGTGGTACACACATAGAGATAACACGCACACAAGATCCACACTCAGCATCAAAGGAGCATATGATCAGGAAACATGCAGGTAACATACTGGAGCATAAGTGTAGCACACAGGTCACATATGCAGAGATAACCTCCAGATAGCAGCACATGAGAAACACTCAGATACCACACTCACTGGGAACACAGTAGTACATAGATCACTGGGAAGGAGCACATGTGTCACACCCAGGTGACACGCAGAGGCTTACACATGTAGGACCTGCAACACACATTGGCAGCCCGTAAGTCACAATTCACATGGGACCAGACAGGTAAGGCACAGGTTACTCATACAAGTAACAGATACCACCCACAGGATGCACATCCATAGATGCAGACACGGGCAGCACACAGGTAACACATACATGGCTGATTCTGACACCAGGCTCAGAAGTAAGATTGGAGAAGGTCCAGATATGGACCCAATATTACTTCTATCCTGAATGCCAGATGCTCTGGGAAATGCAACCTGTTTGGAAACCAGGGCAGAAGGTAGAGAAGGATAATGGGCCTGACTTCCTTGCTTGGTCCTAAGAAAGAGATGGCTGCGTTAGTGCATTAGGCTGACGCCTCCTTGCTACAGCACTTCACAATTCTAACTCCTCATCTTAAGATCATCCACAGAAAAGAACATCACGATGTTTAAATAAGGTAATTCACAGGAGTTCATTTCCTTTTTCAGCATCACTGGTGCAGTAAATACTTTGCAGTGAAGCCTTCATTTCTTAGATTAAAAAAAAAGAGCTTATGCAGACACTACTTTTTGAGTCGCTTCATAGATCTCCCCGGTTGTGTCCTACTGCCAAGACCTGTCCAAGCACCCCTCCCCTTATTGGAAGCGGGTTTTTACTGAGATGTTAAAACTGCTGGGCTGAGACTGGAGAGACCCCCCCAGATCCTAGGAGGCCTCAGGCAACTCTGGGAATCACAGTGGAGCTGGTGTTAGGTGACACTTGAGTTTACTGCACCCATTCCTAATACTTCAAAGAAAGTGGAGGCCAAGGACCCCTGGGAATTTCATAATGAGACAGTGGAAAGTGATGCTGCACCTGGACATTCCATCCTGAGAGCAGTTTCAAATCCTTACCCTTCAAGCGACTTGGACATACTCTCTTTCAGCACTCATAAGTCCCCCAGCACTGCCAAGTTGGGCCGAGGGAGGAAGCTGTACCTGGGAGGTGGTGTTATCCACCAAGTCCCCTAGGGGAACCCCTACTAGGGTGGGGTGAGGATGCAGTTTCACAGATGTTTGCCTGTGAGGCAGCTGTGATCTAAGCTCACTTTCATCTCTCCTTCATATGGCATGTACAAGGCATCAGAACAGGGCAGAAGTCTCAAGTTCAGATGGATATACGTTAAATTTCAAAATGTTTCTGTCTTTTCATGTTTGGCTTGATGGAGATACATATGGAGGTTCTGGCATGTGTATGTAGGCATTTACTATTTATGTAACCCTGGCCAAGTTCTTTATCTATAAAATAGGGATAATTGGACTTACCTCCTCACATGATTGTAAGGATAAATGAGTAAATATAGGATCCCCATCCTTTCATTGAACCCATTTTATCTGAATTGCCCTGAGTCCAGGTCTGCTGCAAGACCTGGACCTGCAGGGACTATGACTTGTCCCTGGCAGAGATTGTGTCCTTTGGGTGCAGCACAGCCTTGGACTCAGGCTACTTGGGAAATGAAAGGCCCTTCTGCAAACCCCCTGTCACAACTCAGCTGTGATAGGACTGGCACCCCTCACCCTTTGCACCCAGGCTCCAGATGCCCCCATTGATGTCCACCATGGGATGGACTTGGGAGCTGGACATTTTTATTACAGCATCTCTACCCAAACTTACCCCAAGCTCCCCTCCCAGAATGTCACCTGTCCCCAGTGCACTCAGTGGAGCATAGAGAAGGGAGGCTCTGTGTGAATTAAAAATGCATCAAGGCTGTCAAAAGACATCAAACTCGAATTCAGTTTTCAAGAACAAAATGCATTTCATGGTACAGCATTGCAATTACTTTGCATTATAAACACCCAGACCCTTTCAGACCTGTCTCCATCTCCTCATTTCTTATGCAAGATCTTAATGCAGAGTGATACCCACCTTAGTTGTAATTAAAAGCTCATAATGCACAAATGTATTTAAAAGGAAAAAGGACACAGATTCTCTGAGGATAATTATGTGATTGATAATAGCTCATTTTCTAAGTCTCGTGATATGTAAAACTCACCCCATGTGTCCACCAGGGGCCCTGATGGAGCTTTGTCACATGTCATTCAGCATGCATTTTCTGATTTTCTATCATGAGCCAGTCTCTGTGTGTTACTGATGGCATAAAACTTTGCAAGACAGAGAGAGCCCCTGCCTTCAAGGAGATTTCAGTCTAGAGAGGAACACAAAGAAGGACTGAGAAATCCTACCAACAAAGTTAAAACTAATAGTCATTAGAAGGAAAAATACAGGAGTCTATGAGAACATAAAGCAGAGAAATTCAGGAGAGAAGTCCTGAGGAAGCAACATTTGAGCTGAGATTTTTGAACCAGGCAGCTGAGTGAGATTACAAAGCCTGGTGTTTCCCTGAAGGTCACACAGATTGTCAGTGGTGAAAACAGTGCCTGTGGATATTCAGATCTGACAGTCTGTCTCCCAAGACTGTGCCCAACCACCTTATTGGAATAGCTTACAGCCTCCCTCGCCTTTGGGAAAGGGAGAGGGTGGGCTCCTTATCCTTAGTGCCACCTATCGGCCCTTAAGAGCTGTGATCAAATCCCTCTTGATGCCCCAGTTAAGAGCTCTGCAGGGGATATAGACATGTTTGGAAAAGGCAGATACCACCAGAGAAAGACCATGGCTTATCAGGAAACCAGAAGTTTCTCTAGAAACGCTATCCTGATGCTTTTGTCTCAGTGAGTTTGGAGACACAAACCTAAGGACCATTACATTGCCTCAAATTATTTTCTGCCTCTTTCAAATAGAATCCCTCTCCCTCACCCGCTACCCACTCTACCCCTGCAATGAGGAACCTTGACAGGAGTAAGGGCTCAGTCCCAGTCCTGTGCATTCTGCTGCCATGGGGATCACACTGACTTTGACAATGTTGTCGGAAAGAATGTGAACAAATAGTGGTGATCAATAACCCAACCTCCAGGGATGGGGAACACATAGCCCTGAGATCATGCCCCACATGGGTGATAGGCCTGTATGTTTGTGTGGCCACTGGGTGGTCACCCAGCTCTCCAGGTTCACCCTCTCTCGTGCATGTAGGAGCTTGTCTTCATCCATTTTGTACTGCTAAAACAGAATACCACAGACTGGGTAATTTATAAAGAACAGAAATTTACTTCTCGTAGTTCTAAAGGCTGGAAAGTCCAAGATCAAGGTGCTGGCATCTTGTAAGGTCCTTCTTGCTGCATCCTAACATGGCAGAAGGCATCACATGGTGGAAGGACAAAGAGAGGGTGAGAGAGAGCAAAAGGGGACCAAACTCCCCCTTTTATAATGAACCCATTCCTGCAATAATGGCATTATCACTCATTCTCCCCTTGGGGCCTAATCACCTCTCACTACACCCCACCTTTCAGCACTGTTGCTTTTGGGATTAAGTTTCCAACATGCTTTTTGAGGGACACATTCAAACCACAGCAGAGCCATTGACTCTTGTCCCCTCTCTAGGACCATCCAAGCGCTTAGGTTGAACGTATCAGGAATTCTACCCCCAGCTGGAAAGCATCTGTGGGGAATATTTTTACATATTTAACCTTTGACAATCATAGTGCCCATCAAGTATATCCCCTACAGGGGAGGGCACAAGACCCCAGGAGCCCCCATCAGAATTTCTGACCAGGGGTTTCAGACCAGAGCTATGGGCCTCTCTGCAATGGTGTTGGCTGGCTAGGCCAGGAAATGCCAAGCTCTGTAGGTTGATTCTCACAGAAAAAAATTGGTCTGAGAGTCACATTGACATAGAGAAGAGGAAGGAAGAAGGCCTGGTGAGTTTGTGGGTCCCTTCCCATTGAGGCCCCATAGCTTAATGGCACCCCTGCCTCCAACAAGTTTTGGTGAAGTTCCTGTGTCGGGAATCCCCAAGACCACCCTCAGGTTTAATAATTCACTAGAAGGACTCACAGGACTCAGAAAAGCTGTTATACTCTTAGTTATGATTTACTTTCATGAAAGGATACAGATAAAATCAGCAAAAAGGAAAAGTGCATAGGTCAGAGTCCTGGAGAAGCCAGATTCAAACTTCCAGGTGTCTTGTTCCAGTTAACTCAGATGGACAGCACTTAATTCTCCCAGCAACAATGTGTGACAACACACATGAAGTACTGCCACCCCGGGAAGCTCCCCCAAGCCTTGGTGTGTAGAGCTTTTGCTAACAAGGCCCAGTGCAAAATGAAAATGCAGGGCCCCTCACTCAAAAATGAATGAAAAAATGCATTTTCTTCAAAAATGAGTAAATGTTAGTAACAACAGAGCATTAAAGCAAGCATGGATCTCTTCAAAATGCAGGGCCCTGAGTGTATGCCCATGAAGCTGGCCCCGCCCTCATGAACACAGCCGTTTAGGAGTGGATGTTGTTGGAAACAGCATGTGCAAAGGCCCCGAGGCAGGAGCCTGCCTGGAGGGTGAGGAACTATGCATTCAAACAGTGTGTGCAGAACAGAATAAATGCAGAGAAAAAGAGAGCTGAGGCCAAGAGAAAATGGGAACCAGACCACATGGCCCTGTAGGCCATTCCCAGGAGGCAGGCTCTACTATGAGACGCAGGCCAGCTGCTGGAGCATTGGGAGTAGAGGGGTACCATGGGCCTAGCTAGCAGGGCCCCACTTCACCAAGGCATGATTTACTTACAGTAAAATTCACCTATTTGAATGTACCTTTGATGAACTGTAGCCACTGTAGACAGTCCCCATTCCCATGTGCTCTCCCTCCTGCAGACCAGTTGTTCCCTCAGACGCTCCCCCTCTCCAGAGTGCAGTGAGTGTCAGCTCCTTAGGGAAGCCCATGCTGACCTCCTCGACCAGGTCAAATTGTACCACAGGTTCCCACAGCATCACAAATCTCTCCTCATAGCTGTCCCAGCTTCCTTCACATGAGTGTTTGTGGCTATTGGATTCAAGCCCATCTCCCACTAAACTGTGAGCAGCACAAGATCAGGGGCTGTGTCTGTCTTGAGTCACCATAGAGGCCCTATCACTTGAATGAACATGGCCCAGAGTGGTTGAGCAAAATAGAATTACTGAATGAGTGAATAAATGACTGAACCTACAAAACTGGAAGATAGTAAAACCATTTAACACCCAATGCTGGCTAAGCTGTGGGCAGATGGGCATTGCCACTCCCTACTGTGCACTGCTCACTGGTCTCTTCTTTCTGGAGTGTCAGTGACAGTTTGCATTAGATATGATAAAGGTTCTTTGGCCCACTGATGCAGTTTCCAGAATGCATCCACAATACCTGACGTATACAAAGATATATCTATTAGTATGTTATGTACTTATAAAGGCAATCATACTCCATAGATATCTATAAAGGTGAAAATACCCATTTCCAATTACGTGGCCATGGTTAAAGAGGGACTCAGACATCCATAAAATAAGATGCTATTCATTACCACATCAGCATGACTCTATCAGCCTCCTGGGAGAGCCCAGGGTCTGGGTGTACCCTTCAAGCCTCCTCAGGTGACTCTGAAGTTCAACCAGAGGACAACTCATGCTAGACTGTATTGTTACATTGTATTGTTAAGAAAAAAGCCCAATATTTTGTAGCCTTTAACCCCATCTCCCCATTTCCCTCACCCCCCAGCACCTGGCAACTACCATATTATACTCTCAGCTTCTATGGGTTTGACTATTTTTGATTCCACATGTAAGTGAGGTCATGTGGTATTTGTGTTTCTGTGTTTGGCTTATTTCGCTTAACATAATGTCCTCCAGGTTCATCCACGTTGTCACAAATGGCAGGATTTCCTTCTTTTTAAGGCTGTATAATATTTTGATGTGTGTGTCTAGATAGAGAGACAGAGATAGAGATAGTTTATATTTATCCACTCATCCTTTGAAGGACATTCATGTTGTTTCGTATCTTGGCTATTGTGAACAATGCTGCATTGAACATGGGAGTGCAGATCTCTCTTCAAGATCCAGATTTCATTTCCCTTGGATATATACTCAGAAGTGGGATTGCTGGAGCATATGGTAGTTGTGTTTTTAATTTTGGAGGGAACTTCTCTGGCAACTTTAGTTAACAACTTCTGTATTGTATACTTGAAATTTGCTGAGGGTAGATCTTAAGTATTCTCACCAAATAAAGGGAGGGAAGGAAGGAGGAAGGGAAGGGAGGAGGGAAGGAAAGAAAGAAAGGGAAAGAAGGAAAGAAGGGAAGACAGTAACTGTGTGAGGTGATGAATATGTTAATTACTTTGTGGTGATCATTTCACAAGGTAGACAAAACATCAAGTTGCATACCTTAAATATATATAATTTTTGTTTCTCAATTGTACCTCAGTAAATCTGAAGAAGACAGTTATAATATAGGATGAATCCATTTTCATGAAGACAATGCACAAATGTGTAAGTGTATACACAAGCTCTCACATGCACAGAACCTGAAAAGCTATGAAATATTCACCACAGTTTTCTCAGTGGCATAATCATAGGTGGTTCTTTTCCTTCCTTTTGGTTATCAATAATTGACATATTTTCCATAATAAAAAAATTGCTTCTAAGCTTCCAAACACAGTTGTTGGCACGTGGATATTTCAGAATGGATATGTAAGATATTGTCAATACTAATAATACTATCACAAGAGGAAAAATCCCAAAACTCATGATTTTATAGACTGATATAAATGATTAAGAGTTGGAAATGAATAGAAGCAAATATGTATACCTGGAGTCAAACCGCCAAATTTTTTTCTAGTAGTTGCTCAAGAAAATGCTCTTTAAAAATTAATAAATGCACACCAATAAATAGATGATTTCCTGGAATAAGGCCAAAACTTGATTCACTGTTAAAAAAAAAAGTGATGAGTGGAAATGTTTCATTCAGGAAGGGGCAGAAATCTTTGAGCAATCAGGGGAGACTTCACGAGAACAAGTGGAAGGTCTGAGGGTTCATCATGAGAACCAGCTGATTTCCAGGCTGGTTCCTTGCAGGGATGTCCTAAGAGAGGACACTGAGGATTACTGGGCCCAAAGAGAAACCGAGTTGACAGTTCCTCCAAGCCTGGCCCTCCAGCCCAGCACTGCAGCTTCCCCGTCTGCGTTTATAGCAAGAGTCTGTGCAGGAGCCAAAGAAAGGATGGGAGGAGGTGTGGGAGAGTGATCCCTTCTGATTGCGGGCAGACGTGCTGCCTTGAAGAGTGCTTGGCATCCTCAGGTACAGTCAGGGTTCCTGTACCACAGCCTCCAATTTCTAATCAACCTTCAGAAGACAGAAGGGAAGCCAATCTTAAAACCCAGCAAAATGGCTGATAAAACCTACTTCACAGACGCGGAGAAGCATGAATGGAGACTATTAACTCATCATCTGGATCTTCCCCAGGCCTCTGATATCACAATGGTGCCACAGTCTCCTGCTATGGAATGAAACTCACAGAGCAGCCAGGTGAGGAAAGGTAATACATTAACTGTCACTTGCAGCTGAAGAGTAATGGGGCGGTCTCCAGGACTCACAACATTGCAGAGCCCTCACTCTCTGCCAGGAACATCCATGTTAGATTCCTTTTTGCTGATTGCTTTTCTCTGAAGGCTGTTCTTGCAGGTGGAGCTGGACAGAAAGTGTCCTAGGTGGGGAATGTGAGACGCCTGGGCTGAGACCCCAGAAAGCATGTAAGCCCCTGCTACTCCAGGTGTGGAGTAGGACCTACAGCACAGAATCCTCTGGGAGCCTGTAAGAAATGCAGAATCCCAGGCCCCTGCCCAGACTTAGGAATCAGCAATTGCCATTTAACTAGTGCTCTGAGGAACATGGGGCTGAGCCACAGCCAGGAGGGAAGCTGCTTTCTCCAGTAGCAGCACCGCACAGAGGGTCAGGAAATGCACATGCTATGGCCATGTTGGTTAAGGTGGGATCAGCTGTGAGCCACGGAAAACCACAAACACAGGAGCTTAAACAAGACGGGAGCATACTTATCTCTCACAAAACAGTCTAGAGAAGTGTAGTCCAGACCTGGTGTCGTCATTCATCTCCGTAAGGGAGGGGGACTCCTCCATCTTGCTTCCCACACATCCTCAATATTTGATCCTCCTCACGTTCCATTATGGCTGCTTGAGCTCCAGCCCCTGCACTGCACTCCATCAGCCTGGGACAGGGAGGCCACCATCCTTATGTGACTCTACTCTCCCACGTTCTCCAGTCACCTCCACACTTGGGCTCAGCTTCACACAAAGCAGCCTTCACACAAAGGCAGCCATGGCCTGCATCCTGGGATGAGCCCTGGGAAAGCCTAAGTAATTCTGCCGTGGGGCCAGGCAGGAGGAACTTTGTGCCCTGTGTCCCCCACCCCACATGGAAAGAGCCTGACCAGCATCCGTCTACAGGACCCACCGGGGAGGAGAGAGAGAGTCACTTCATTTAGGAAACATCTCTCAAAACCCAGGAGATCTGCAGGACTGGGAATAGAATGGAGGGAAGGTACTGTTTGCAATCTCACTGACAAACACAGCTTGTTAACCTAATAGGAGCAGAGGAGTCTCCAGAATATGTGAGCAGGCTGGGCAGCAGGCATCAGTCTGGCCATTATCTCACTCATCTAGACAGACTCCATTAGACCATTGCTCTTTCTTTCTTTCTTTTTTTTGAGATGGAGTCTTGCTCTGTTGCCTAGGCTAGAGTGCAGTGTCGTGATCTCGGCTCACTGCAACATCCGCCTCCCGGGTTCAAGCAATTTTCCTGCTTCAGCCTCCCGAGTAGCTGGGATTAAAGGTGCGTACCACCCTACCCAGCTAATTTTTTATTTTTAGTAGAAATGGGGTTTCACCATGTTGGCCAGGCTGGTCTCGAACTCCTGACCTCATGATCCGCCCGCCTTGGCCTCCCAAAATGCTGGGATTACAGGTGTGAGCCACCGCACCCAGCCTCCATTGCTCTTCCTTGATTAAATCTTCTCTAACGATGTCTGTCCAGGGAGGGAGAGAATAACCACATCTGCTGGAGGAGATGTGAGGGTGAGGGTGGCAGGTGGTGCCCCTTCCAGACCTGCCCACACAGCACCTCATTCTCCCTCAGCCCTAAGTCAGAAGCAACCAGTGCATGGGCCTTCCTGCTGTGGGGGGACATCCAGGAGACCCCCAGCTGTGAACAAGAAACACTGCCCTGCTGGCTGAAGGGAATGAAGGAATTGTTCTCGTCCCGCAGTGGCCCTAAGGGGGTTTCCAGGGCTGGTCCATAAAGCAGCTCCACCCAGAATCAGGAACCTCAGCTCACTCCAGCTCCGGAGCCATTCTTAGTAGTTAGCTGTAGCCTGACTAGATCTCCTGCATCACATGATGGTTCCTGACTTCCTGGGTAAACACCACGGCATCTGGGGGAGAGACAGCGAAGATACCCTTATATTGTCATGGGATCCTTGGAGTGTCACTTCACCAGCCAGAAACCTCTGTGACTGGTAGCACCTTCTGCCTGAGTATTGTTCATGCTCACTGGGCTTATTATGTCCACTCAGCCCAGCAGGCTGCACCCGGCTGACACTACTGACCCAGATCCCACACCTGCCAAGGGCGAGCCAAACGTAGAGCAGCAAAGGATGTGTTAGCGAGCAAGTGTGGGGTCTGGCCACTGTGTACAACCAGGCACACCAGCTGCTGCGGTGGGGTGGGCAGCTCCAGGTGTCAGCTCCATGTGAGGCAGCAGCTGGACCAGATGTACCACATGTGGTTTCCATTGCAGGCACCTGTGTCTGGACAAGGAATGTGGTGGTGTTCAGAAACTTGGAGACACCAGGAACTACAGAGCCACAAAGAGGGTGTCACAGCCCTGGCTTGGGGAGCTCCTAGGTCTGCACTCCCCAAAGGGCTACAGCTCTTCTCTCCTCATCCTCCACAACATGGCAAGTCGGGGGGGTGGCATGTTTCAGCCCTGTTTGTGTTACAGCTCTTTCAGTTCCACCAATCAGCAGGACTGAGTTCTGGTCCCGCCAGGAAGCATTAAGTACTCAGACAACTGGAAGGTCAGCAAGGCAGAGATGAGCTTCATTGAGTAACAGAACAGCTCTCAGGAGACCTGAAAGGGTAGCTTCTTTCTGCAGGCAGGTCATCCCAAGTGTCCAGCTCTCAGTAAACAGGAGAGCCACAGTGGGTAGCTCCTTTCTGCTGGCAGGTCATCCCAATGACTGTACAGCTCTCAGCGGAGAGGAGACCCACAATGGGTAGATCCTCTCTGAAGCTGGTAGTCCCAACATCTGTGTGAGTCTGACGGAGTCAGGGGTTTTTATGGGCTCAGAAGGGAAGAAGTGTGTGCTGCCATGGGCAGGCCCAGAAAAAGCACCATGAGTTCTCACTCCAGGCCACGGACTCCACCCGGCACTGGCAGCCTGGACCTCATGCTTCAGGCCGTCCATCATTTTTCCAGAGTTGAGTCCAAGTTCCAGGGAGCTTCTGTAGCACCAAAGTATCAAGAAGTGGAATCGGATCCCCACTTCTGTAGCTGAGAGCCTGCACACTGCTCATTCCTCTCTCAGTATTCTCCAAGTCCCTAGAAAGACAATAAAGAGGGAAGAGAATGGGGGAAGAGAACATTTCCAATGTAGTTAAAGCGCACCTTGGTGACATGCCAGGAGAGAGCTGGCAGCCAGAGAATGGGAACTGTAGCTTGTTCCTGCCATGGTGCCAGCAGGCAGCCTATCTTCCAGGGTGAAGTATTCACCAAAGCTTCACCCCACCTGGGGGAGGGTGGTCCCTCCTCCCAGCTCCCTCAGGTCTTTTTATCTACACTAAGCGGGGAAATGCTGTCACTGGAGTAACTTGTGAGGGTTACCACCCTAGACACAAACCCACTAAAAGGCTGAGATTTATTGTAAGATGATAGAACATTTCTCCTACCCCACACATTACCCCCATGACAACGAGAATACAGAACAACAGGAACTGACTACAGCTGGAAGAGATGCAAGATGCAGACTCTATGAGGAGTGTACAGGAAAAGTCCGAAGTCAAGAATAAAGACAAAAGCAAGGACACTAGAGGAATTTGAAGCCTCTGGCACCTACAGCTACAGCAAACATTAAACAGCCCAACTCCTAGCCAGGTAACGTAAGCCTTGATGTTAAAGTCCTCGTTACCTCAGTTCCTGATACCCAGTACAAAATGTTCAGCTTCTAACAACAATAACAACAAAAATTGCAAGACTACAGATGACAAGAAAAAAACCAACCAAGCATTAGAACTAGGTTCCCATATGACACAATGTTGAAATTATCAGACAGGGAATTTAAGATAACTAGGATTAATATGTTAAGAGCTATAATGGAAAAAGTACACAACATGCAAGAACAGATGGCTAATGTAAGCAGAGCTGTAAAGACTAAGAAAAAATCAAAATGAAACACTAGAAATAAAAAACCCTTTAACAGAAATGAAGAATGCCTTTGATAGGCTCGTCAGTAGACCAAATGCCGCTGAGGAAACAATCAGTGAGCTTGAAGATAGGGTCATAGAAATTTCCCAGACATAAATGCAAAGAGAAAAAAGATTGGAACAAATAACACCCAAGCCTGTGAGGCAACTGTTAAAAAAAAAGTAACGTGTAATTGGAGCATCAGAAAAAAATTAGAGGAAAGGGTTGGAAGAAACATCTGAAATAATAGTAACTGAGAACTTTCCAAAATTAATAACAGATACTAAGCCACAGATCCAGAAAGCTCAGAGAATACAAAGCAGGATAAATACAAAGAAAATCTTGATGTTTCATATTAAAATTGCAGAAAGCAAAGACAAAAAGAAAATCTTGGTCAGAGGAAAAAACGCCTTACTTATAGATGAGCAAGAATAAGAATTATAGCAGATTTCTTGTCACAAACCATAGAGGCAAATAAAGACAGTGGAGTGAAATATTCAAGTTATTGAAAGAAAAAAATCACCAATGTAAAATTAACATAATAGCCAGCAAAATGATTCTATAAAGGTGAATGAGGTTGGATGTGGTGACTCATGCCTGTAATCCCAGCACTTTGGGAGGCTGAGGCAGGTGGATAACTTGAGCTCAGCAGTTAGAGACCAGCCTGGGCAACATAGTGAGACCCCATCTCATAAAAAAATAAATAAAATAAAATAAAATAAAATAGTGAAGGAGAATAAACACTATTTCAGACAAAACTTGAGGGAATTAGCCAGCAGAACTTCCCTGTAAAAAATGTATAAAGAATTTCTCCAGAGAGAAGGAAAATGATACAATCAGATGTAAACTTAGATCTACATAAAGAATGGGAGAGTATCAGAGAAAAATAAATGGAGGTGAAAGAAAATGTTTACTTTTTTTTTTTGTTCTTGATTGATCTAAAAATAGCTGTTTAAACTTATAGCATCAATGTATTAGATAATTATATACCACATAGACAAGTGAACTGGATGATAACAGGGCATGGGGCCAGAGGGAATTGAGATACAGTGTTGTAAGATACCTGTATATCTGTGGTATACTCTTATTTGAAGATGGATTTAGATTAGTTAAAATCTATATTACAATCTCTAGGGCAATCACTAAAAATAAAATAAAAACTAGTTAAAAATAGACATTGGGCATGGTATCTCATGCCTGTAATCCCAGCACTTTGGGATGCTGAGGTAGGAGAATCACTTGAGTCCAGGAGTTTGAGACCAGCCTGGTCAACAGAGTGAGACCTCATCCCTACAAAAAAAAAAGGTCAAAACTTGCCAGGTGCAGTGGTGCACACCTGTAGTCCCAGCTACTTGGGATGCTGAGGCGGGAGGATTGCTTGATCCCAGGAGGTTGAGACTGCAGTGAGCTGTGATCATGCCATTGCACTCCATCCTAGGTGACAGAGTGAGACCCTGTCTCTAAAAATTAATTAATTAAAAGTATACACATTGGAATTAAAAAGTAAGTCTAAATTCTACCAAACATTTAAATAAGAAATTATTCTAATTCTAAAAGTCAAAATAGATGGAGACATATTCCATATTCATGGATGGGAAGACTCAATATTGTTAAGAAATGAATTGTTTAAGATTGACCTGTGGATTCATTGAAATCCCAATCAACATCTCAGCAAGGTATTTTGTAGATATTGACAAACTGATTCTAAAATTTATGTGGAAAGGCAAAAGGCCTAGAATAGCCAATACAATTCTGAGGAAGAACACAGTATGGGGACTCATACTTCCTGATTTGAACAATTACCATAAAGCCAAATAATTAAGACAGTGTGGTATTGGAAGGAAAACAAATAGACACATATGTCAGTGGAATAGAATGGAGAATGCAGAACTATAACGATACAAGTATAGTCCATTGATCTTTGATGAAGGAGCAAAGGCAAGTCAATAGTGAAAGGAGAGATCTTCGAACAAATGAGGCTAGTACAACTGGATGTCCATTAAGACATCCACAGGCAAAAAGAATGTGTCTTGACTTCAGCTTCACACCTTATGCAAAAGTTATTTTTTAAAGGATTCTATATTTAAATTTAAAGCTGAAACGATAGCCCTTTTAGAAGAAGATCTTTTGGATCTAGGTTTTGCTGAAGAGTTCCTAGACATGATACCAAAAGTACAATTGACAAAAGACAAAATTGATAAATTGAACTTTATTAAAATAAAACTTCTCTTTGGCAATTTCTCAAAAGAAGTCAAAGCAGAATTACCATTTGACCCAGCAATCCCTTATTGGGTATATACTCAAAGGAATATAAATTGTTCTACCATAAAGACATGTGCACATGTATGTTGATCACAGGACTATTCACAATAGCAAAGACATGGAATCAACCTAAATGCTCATCAGTGGTAGACTGGATAAAGAAAATGTGATAGATATACACCACAGAATCTTACGTAGCATAAAAAAGAGTGAGATCATGTCCTCTGCAACAACATGGATGGAGCTGGAGGCCATCATCCCAAGTGAACTAACAAAGGAACAGAAAACCAAATACCATATGTTCTCACTTATACGTGGGAGTTAAACACTGAGCACACATGGACACAAGGAAGAGAACAGACAGTGGGGGGCCTACTTGAGAGTGGAGGGAGGGAGGCAGGTGAGGAGTGAAAAATTACCTTACTGGGTACTATGCTTAATAATCTGTATATCAAACCCCTGTGACATGCAGTTTACCTGTAACAAACCTGCATTTGCATCCCTGAACCTAAAATAAAAGTTAAAAACATAAATAAATAAAACTTTTGCTCTGTGAAAGACTCTGTTAAGAGAATGAGAAGGCAAGCCACGGACGAGAGGAAAATAATTGCAAAACACATATCTAATAGAGGAAGTGCTCCTCTCTCACACACACACACACACACACAGTGGCATGTCAGACGGACACAAGATCCAACTGAGAAAGCTCTCAATGGCCAAAGCTGGAATAATTTGAGCAACAAAATCATTAAAGTAGTATTGGATAATAATCCATCAAGTAAGTATCCATGAGTCTGTACTGATATCAATGGCTGAATTAATTAATAAATGGGGAAGAATAGACATGTCCCATGCAGAAGAATTCAAAATAATTTATGCAGAGCCTCCTTCCTTGAGGAGGTAGAACATAACTCCACAATCCTTTAGTGTGGGCTGTGCACAGTGGCTTCCTTCTAAACAGGATGGAATGGGGAGACAGGGAGGGAGTAATTTCCCATTGGAGAAACCAGACAAACACTACCTCAGCTCAGTGATTAAGGTCATCATCGACATATAAGTCATATGTCAACATACAAGTCAACATATAAGTCATGTTGATAGTATGTACATACCCTTGACATGATGCGATGAGAATGACACTTTACCTCTATAGTCTTCCTCCCCAAAACCCATAACCCAAGTCAGGCATGAGAAAAACATCAGATCCATCCCAACTTAAGTACATTCTACAACATACCTGATCATTAATCCTTAAAACTGTCAAGGTCATCAAAACAAGGAGAGACTCAGAAACTGTCACAGCCAGGAGGACTGTAAGGAGACATGGCTACTAAGTGTAATGTGGCATCTGAAATAGTATCCTGCAAGGGAGAAAGGATACAAGGGAACACCTGGAGAAATTGGAATAAAGTACTACTTTAGGTGATACAGTATCAATACTGGTTCATTATCTGTAACAAATGTGCCATATTAACATAAGATGTTAATAATAGAGAAAACTAGGTGTGGGTTACATGGAGACCTTCTGTATTATTTTCACAATTTTTCTATAAACCTAAAATGTTCTAAAATAAAATGTTTATTTTTTTAAATGAGACACGGAGAACGAAACACAGGAATCCAATCTGTGGACAGCAGGAATTCTTTATGGAGACAAAACCATCAGGTCAATAATGGGATCGATATGCAGCCAAGTCTCACCTTTTGATTTACACAGAGCTGATTTTAATTGCTTATGCTGGAGGGCCCTGACTTTCACTAATAAAAATGACTGGTTGAACTCTCTCTCCTTCCCATGAGAGGAACTGTATGATAAATATTCACCAGTTAAAAAATACACAAGGTCAATCTACAGTTATGACTGCAATGAAGCTTTTAAGTGATCTTCTTATTAATTACAGCATGATCTACATTTGGAAAGACAGGCACCTAGATGTAGGAGACACATTGCTTATTCAAACTGTAGACAATGCTTAGGGTAGATATTGATTAGCAGATACCCTGTTTAAAAAAGCAGCTCTGCATGGCCCACCACAGGCTGGGAACCACGGATCAGTACCCTGGAGGTCTGCCATAGAGTTATTTCCACTCAACCCACAATCTAGTCCCATCCCTGTATTCCAGAAAGTCTAATTAATAGCCACCCTAGCCATGGGAAAATCCACTGAGATTCAGGAAAACAATCCTGATCTCCAGAGTAAACTCATGAGTAAGAAAAAAAGTACTGGCACTGCAAAAGATTTGCAACGCAAACACATCATAAAAAGAAGAAAATGTTCTTCTTGGAAAAGATTTTCTTGTGAAGCAAGTAAAATTCACAGCATGGCTGTTTTCTTTTATCAATAAGATAAAAGAACACACTGCATCACATCAAGAAGAACCCATCTGGATAAAATGTGCTGTGCAGCAGAATGAAAACCACAGCAGACTAAATAAAACCTTTGTTGAAAGCAGGAAATGGAGAACTGACCCCGAAAAAAGTATAAACTTGGTAAGTAACGATTATTTTATAAAATATATCCAAAATATCAAGAAAATGTAAAAATAAAATAAAGAAAAATAGGCTGGGCGCGGTGGCTCATGCCTGTAATCCCAGCACTTTGGGAGGCCGAGGCAGGTGGATCACGAGGTCAGGAGATCGAGACCATCCTGGCTAACACGGTGAAACCCCGTCTCTACTAAAAATACAGAAAATTAGCCGGGTGTGGTGGTGGGCACCTGTAGTCCCAGCTACTCGGGAGGCTGAGGCAGGAGAATGGCGTGAACCCAGGAGGCGGAGCTTGCAGTGAGCCGAGATCTCGCCACTGCACTCTAGCCTGGGCAACAGAGCCAGACTCCATCTCAAAAAAAAAAAAAAAAGAAAGAAAAAAGAAAAATAAGAGATGATGATAAACACAAAGGACACAGCACAGATTCCCAACTCGTGAACAACGGGAGTCCCTGATAGAGATGAATGCACATCTCAAATATGCCATCGGAGCTGCAACTCAGAAGGGATAGCACAAAAGGCCTGGGATTCGAAAGAGTGGCATGTCTATATTCTACTAAAAACTGAGAATGAAAACAATATCAATACATAATCTGGTTAAAAATTAAACTAAGGGAAAGCATCTTGAAATTTTCCAAAGAGATCAGACGAGGGTAAGTTGACTTTCACATAAAATTATATTATTAACTTCTGAATTTCTCTTCATTAAACAATCATACCTACAGATGTTTCTGGGGAAAAGGATGTGACATCAGAATTGTGTATCTTGATTTACAAAGAAAAAAAAACAAAAGATACTCTCTTTTTTAATAAACTTAAAATGTTCACATGGCAAGTGTTCACTCAGCAAAGTACTTCAGAACAAATTTCAGAATCACCAGAGAACCAGTGAACAAAGAGGGTGCAGAGATAAGGAGAGGCATTAGATGATAAAGCAATCAGTTCTCCAAGGAGACATAACAGTCCTCACTGTGTATGCACCAAACAACACAACACCCCAATACATGAGGCAAACTGATGAACTGCAAGGAGAAATGGCCAATTCAGATACTGACTGGATTAGAACAAATACCCAAAACTTGGGGAGTAGTGCTCAATATCATATGCCATTAGGGAACTGATAATTCAAACAATCAGATGTCACTACACACATATTAGTATGGCTAACATTCGACACACTGACAACACAAAATGCTGGTGAGGATGTGGAACACAGAAACTCTCATTCATTGCTGGCAGGAATGCAAAATGGTGCGGCTACTTGGCAGTCTCTTATAAAACTAAACATTTTCTTACCATACAATCCAGCAATCATGCTCCTTAGTATTTATCCAAATGGGATGAAAACTTATTTCCACACAAAAACCTGCACACAAATGCTTATATTAGCTTTACTCATCACTGCCAAAATGTGGAAGCAACTAAGCTGTCCTTCATAGGTGAATGGATAAAGTGTGGCACCTCCACACAATGGAATATTATACAGCAATAAAAAGAAATGATCTGTCAAGCCATAAAAAGATATGCAGGAACCTCAAATGCATATTGCTATGCAAAAGAACCCCATCTGAAAAACATACGTACTGTATGATTCCAACTATATGACATTCTGGGATAGGCAAAGCTATAGAAACAGTAAGAAAAAAAAAAGAAAACAAAACAGTGGTTGTCAGGCTTAGTTGGGGAGAGAGAGATGAACAGGTGAAGCCCAGAGGGTGTTTTAGGGCAGTGAAGCTACGTGATGCTGTAAGTCAATACTTTTGTCAAAACCCATAGAACAGTACAACACAGAGTGAGCCCTGGTGTAAACTATGGACTTTTGTTAACAACAACGCATCAACATTCATTCGCCAATTGTGACAGATGCACCGCACTGATGCAAGACATTGATAATCGGGGAAACTGCAGGAGAGGGATGGGGAAAAGGAGGTATGAGGGAGCTTAGTTGTTCTATAGACTTAAAAGTGCTCTAAAAATAAAGCCTATTAATTTTTAAAAAGTAGATTAACAATTTAAATTTGCTTAATTTATAAATAAGATTAAAATAGCATGAATGTGTACAACTTTTAAGAGTAAAAACACTAATATGAAAATCCTTTTATTTTTTATTTTTTGAGACAGGGTTTTGCTCTGTCACCCAGGCACAGTGGTAGGAACATGGCTCACTGCAGCCTCAACTTTCCAGGCTCGAGCGATTCTCCGGCCTCAGCCCCACAAGTAGCTGGGACTACAGGTGCACACCACCACACCCGGCTAATTTTTGTATTTTTAGTAGAGACGGGGTTTTGCCATATTGCCCAGGCTGGTGTCAAACTCCTGAGTTCAAGTGATCTGCCTGCCTTGATCTCCCAAAGTGCTGGGATTACAGGCAGGAGCCACTATGCCTGGCCGGAAAATCCTTTCTTTAAATACCAAACAGAAACAAAGTTGCCAACAGTAAGTGCACACTAAACACTAAGCTTTATGGGCCTGTATTATGGCATTAGTGCAGATGTAGTCAGGGAAAAGGCAAGATAGCGCTGAAGCAAATTATTGTAAAAGATTGAAAGATTGCAACCCAGACACCAAAAAGCAAAACAAAAAAGAAATAACAGAACAACACTCCCCACAACCCCTCTACCACAACCCCCCACCACAAAAAAACCCAGGAAGCATGAATAAAATGACGGATGCAAAATGTTACAAATAGATCACATAAATATCAAGATGTCAACTCCCCAATTAAATGCAGAGATCCTCAGACTGGCTTCGAAAGCACAGCCACGAATACGCTCTTTAGAAAGAATCATCCTAGCGCAAACTGGCATAAAGGCTAAAAATAGACGCTGGGCAAAGAGGAACCAAATGCCATTCAGAAGCAAGCAGGGAATCAGACAATGGTGCAGACTGCCCACATCTTCTTTGTTCACATCCAAACTCCCTGAATTTAGCTGAAAAAAATATTTTTAAAGGCCTGTTGGAGCACGAAAATAATGACTCCCATTTGTGGACTGTAATTTCTGATGCCTCTGAAGGAAGTCAGAGGGCGGCAGGAGCAGCTCGCTGTGGAGGAGGGGCCGGGATGCAGGAGGGCACTTGGGACGCCCTGCCTTCCAGAGTGGCCCCTCTGCCTCATGCTTGCAGCTCCACCAACCTGACTCGTCCCCTCATCCCCGGAGGCTAAAGGGAGAGGCCTGGCCAAGGCTGGGCGTCCAGTGGCTTGTGGGAGAGGGAGGGCCCTGCACCACCCTGGATGGGTGGCACCGGCTGAGGCATTTCTCCAAGCACCCAGGACGGCCACAGCTGCTGGCTCCTGTCACCATGTGTGCGGCTCCGGTGGGACCTGGTCCCACCATCACCACAGGAGAGCGCAATGGGGATGGTTGCAGGGCAATGAGTGATACTGTAAACAAATGAAACATCTCCCCTATATATTCAGAATTGTAGCCACCTTCCTAAGAAAATGTAAAGACATATGAAACACTGTTCAAACTCAGTAGTAATCAAGAAAATACAAATGATAAATTTCACACATACTAAGCTGGTGATGAGAACACTGCTCACCTTTCCTGTAAAAGTTTTGAGAAATGAGAGTATCAATAAGTTCTCACTGAGAATATTAATAAGTTATCACCAGCAGTGAAAACTGACCCGATAACTCTTTACCAAATTCTTTTGGTAAAGAATTTGGCAGAATGTTTCAAGAGTCATGGAATTCTTTACTTTTTGACGCATACCCATTTTTTTTCAGATTTTTAACCTAAAAAATAATCAAAATAAAAAATAAGGAAAAAAGTCATAAGCACAAAGACATTATATCTATTCCTCTATTATATATTATGGATATAAAAAATATTGAAATGTTACATAAATAAAAATATATATACGATAAATATGTAAATGTTAATGTATGACACAGAAGCATAGAAACAATCCAGTTATAAAACAGTGCAAGATTTTTGGTAAAATATAATATGTAACGGAACACTTTATATTACAATCATAATTATGAACAATAGAGTAATATGGAAAGTGGTTTATGAGTGCACATTAAGTTTAAAAGCAGACGGTGGGCCTGGTGCAGTGGCTCACACCTGTAATCCCAGCACTTTGGGAGGCCGAGGCAGGCAGATTACCTGGGGTCAGGAGTTCAAGACCAGCCACGCCAACATGGTGAAACCCCATCTCTACTAAAAATACAAAAATTAGCCGGTTATGGTGGTGTGTGCCTGTAGTCCCAGTTACTTGGGATGTTGAGGCAGGGGAATGGCTTGATCCTGGGAGGCGGAGGTTTCAGTGAACCAAGATGGCACCACTGCACTCCAGGCTGGGCGACAGAGAGACTCTGCCTCAAAAAAAAAAAAATAAATAAAAGCAGACGGCTGCACAGCAGAGACAATGTAGGACCATGTAAATTACATCCCTGTAAATTCTGTAAAGAGTGGAAAAGCAGCATGGGTAAGGAATGAATGAGTATATCTGGGGGTGTGGCATGTGGCTGAACTCCGCCTCCTTTGAAGCAGCAGCCGTGTATTTTGCAGTAAATTACCCTGGGCAGACAAAGGCCTGTGCACGTCCCTCCAGGCCTCCTTCCCACGCTTCCTCCCCAGGCATGCTGCTTGCCCCCGGTTTGTGTTCATACCCCATCCCTGGGACACAGGCTCCCGGGGCATCCCCAGAGCAAGAATGTGTGGGGCTCACAGCAGGTGCTGAGTGAATGTCTACTGAGTAGATCCCAGCCTGGGATTTCACTGATGCGTTAAGAGACTCACGGTCCTGTTCACATTCCACCAGCAACAGATTTTAAGGAGCACACTTTCTTTTCAGGACATGAGTTTATTTCATAAAAATCACAACATATTTTCACAACTTAGTGTCATCATCTTTCTTCTACTATAAACTAAACATTTCATTCTTTCCAATTTCTTATTTTTGGCCAAATTATGTATAGATAATAAAAGTACTGCAGAAGCCAAAACATAGAGCCTATAAATAAAGTGCATGACTTTCATTCATTGGAAACAAAAGGTTTAGACAGGTTTTGTTCATTACTTATCTTGAAATATTAGCTATATAGATGAATACGGCAACAATTAAAAACAAATAATTCCATCTAAACTAAAGATAGTTCCTTACTTGATTTGTTTCACTAGAAACTAAATAAGGAGAAATATCCAAGTGTACATTGTAGGAATACAGTGTTCTCACTTCTAGGTGCTCACCGGCGTGATGAGGATCTGGCACTGTGGTCCATGTGACCTGGTTTCTGGGGTCACGGGAGCCTGGGGCAGTGGCTAAACATGGGACTTTAGTCCATACTAAACATGGGACTCTTCACTGAACAGCGGCCTTGGCCTGCAGCAGCCAGGTGTGCCCGCCAGAGCACGGTTGCAGGGGCCATACGCAGGGCCCGTGGCACTGTCACCATGTGGCAGGTGGCTGGTGCAGCCTGGGCCTCGCCTGACAGAAGAGCAAAGGTTCACCCCTGCAGACATGCTGCTCCCTGCCTACCCTCCCCATGCAGGAGAGGCCTGCAGATGAGTGGTCCACTCCAGGCGACCAGGGGAAGAGTTACATTAAGAAGCCACCAGGTGGGCTGCAAAAGGGCCACAGGCTCCATAGAAAACTCACTCTGAAACAAGGCAGACATAGGGGTGTGGAGGGGCTGAATGAAATCATGGTCACAGTTTTAAAGGAAGAGTTTCCAGTATCAAAACCAGGTTTGAATGTCTTACCCACATTTCACAGACACCACGAGTGCTATCAGCACAGTATGAACCTCACAGCCCGTATCTCGGTGGTGTCTTAATTCACATCTATGATCCCAAACCTGTGTTCCACAGGATCATGCCCACACATGGGTCCATAACAATTATCCCATCTCCTCTGGGGCTGAATCTGAGTCCATAAATTTCCCTCAACACAGAAGACACGGCTGTCACCAGCCCTCCCTCTCCAGGTCAGTGGGGACTCAGCGCAGGTCGGTCTCATGGTGACCAGACGGAGCGCACTGTGCTACCTGCCGCGTGGTCTGCCCATTAGAAACTTCGTAGAGTGCCTGTGAGCCATGAGGAAGCCTCTGGGGAAAGCAGTGCCCTGGAAAATGCCCTCCACTTTCCACCTGGACACCAGGCACTGCGGGGACACGGCCAGCTCCTGTGGCCCAAGAACAACCAAGGAGGCTGGCACACGAGGGAGGAGGGCATCTTAAGGCCGAATTGGGGTCCAAAGAGGCAAAACTCACAGCGGATGGCCGAGAAGCTCCCCCAAGCACAGGCACCATCAGGCAGCCTCAAGGCCCAGAGCGGCTCTTCACGTGAGCAGAGGGGACCCCCCCAAGGACAGGGCAGAGGGGTCGCCCTCACCTGGAGAGTCAACGACTCCCGCCCACGGCTCGAGCTCGGCTTGGGCAGGGGCCCCCAACTGATGACACAGCACAGGTTGGCCCACGCCGGCACCACCTACAGAGACACACACCACGGCTAGCGCCGGCTGTGGGGAACTCACCACTCAGTGGATTCAGACACTGGGGACTCCGCATGCTCTTCCCCACACACCCCCAGCTGCCTGCGCCTGACTGAGGGTGCGTGGGGACCTGAACCACCTCTTTGGCCCTGAGTCCCCAAGCCCCACCAAGGCACAGAGGCTGAACATCCCCTCCTGGTGCTGCGGGACCGGCCCCGAGTGTCCTGGCCTCGCTGGGTCTGATGCTGAGTGATGAAGGGAGGCTCAAGGGCACCATCACAGTCAGGCCACTGTGTCCTGGGAATCCCCCGAGGAAGTCACTCAGCCCACGGGTGGATGCAAGGCAGGAGGGCCCACGCTGGCCTGGGCATCAGGCTGCTGGGCTGAGCAGTGTGCTCCGACAGCCAGAGTCACAGGGGAGGACAGCTGTCTCGGGGCCACAACACCCATGTCCAGACAGCAGCAAGGAGAGGGTCCATGGGCAAAGGTGGGGCATTTCATTCTGTTTGGGGGGGTGTGTTCTGAGCGCAGCCTGGCCTGGTTGGCAGCCTCCCGGCTCACACGGCTGACAGGTCGACGCGGTGGGCAGAGTGGCTGCTCTTGTCCCAAGGGCTGAGCTTGGTGGAGGCCATGCCTGGCCGGGTCCCATTCATCTGCAAAGCATAAAGGGATGAGCAGTGAAGGGCCTGCTCCCAGGGGGAGAGCCATAAGCCCAGTGAGTGCGGGGAGCATTGGGCCCATAGCTGCCCGAGGATTCTCCCTGCGGGAGGAAAGGTGCAGAGAGAAGGGAGCCCCCATGCTCCTGGGGGAGATGAGGATGTGCGCACTGTGGCGTCTCCAGCCGCACGGTTCTCCACGCTGACTCCCCTTAAGGGCACTGCAGGCGTGCTGTGCTGAGCGCTCACTCCCTCCTCTGCTCACCCATCTGCCCGGCACCCACGCTTTCACCCCCATGCATCTGTCCACGCTGCGTTCATTCCACGGTGACTCATGGAGCGTGCCACACACCCGGCGCAGCTGTAGCCGTGGGGCTAGAGCAGCCCATGAGCCAGCCAGCTCCCATGGAGCAGGGCAGACGTGGTCCCTAAGCAAATGGAAAATCACACAGCTGCGGGCGGGGGCGGAGTGCGAGAATGGGTGGGAGCGCCTTCATTGAGCACCGTGTGCGGGGAAGGACTTCCTGAGGATGGGACACCTGAGCAGGGCTCCAGCAGGGGGGAAGCAGCGGCACAGTGAGAACCCTAACAGGGCCTGCTCCAGACTGCCTGGGGGCCTGCCTGGGCTCTGGAGGGCGGCGGGGATGGGCCACCTCACGGTCAGTTGATCTCTAAGTCCTTCCATCCCTAAGTGAACACAAGAAGCCCTGACTCTTCGGGGTCAAGGGGTAGGGCTGTGGTGACTTCATCAGGACACAGGGCACTGTGTGGGGGACACAAGCCCAGAGCACGTGCAGCCTGCAGGCATGAGAGGGGGACAAAGACTGCTGGGCACCCGAAGCCACCTCTGCTGCCTGCACACCCCATCCTGCTGACAACCGAGCCTGGGGAAGGAGGATGGGCTGGGACCCTCGGTTTATGGAGGCTGCACTCACGAGGTCCGAGTGGAAGGGCTTCGCGTTGGAGGTGCGGGCAGAGCTGCTCGTGAGCGACCAGACCTTGGTTTTGTGCTTGAAGGCGGCTCTCACCTTGAAAGCGGGGAAGGGATCGTGAGAGCAATTTCAGAGGCTGCAACAGCCGTAACCAGAGGAGTCTGTGCCGGTGCAACTCCGGAACCAGATGTGCGAGGGAGGTTGGGATTTGGAAATATGAGTCGGAGCTGCTGGCTCCACAGCTGAGCTGTGCATCGCTGCTCTGTGGGGCAGAGCCAGGTTGTATCGCAGGCCAGGGAAGCTGGGTGTGGAGTGGCCTCTGCTGGGCTCCTCACACTCAGCAATGAATGTCCCGGGGTGAGTGTGAGAGAGAAGCAAATAAACAAATGCGTGGTGGGCAGGCAGGCGGGTGGGCGGGCGGGCTTCCATGGCTGCACTGCCTTCCTGCCACCGGGATCCACCTCAGGCCTTGCAAGGGGTCACTGGGCGTTGCGATCAAGGGGTCACTGGGCTTTGTGATCATGCAGCCCTTCTGCCCGGCCACCATCCTGCTCAGCGACTCTGCTCTGCCCTCCTTGGCCCACCTGGCCTGTCCTTGCAAACGGACACCGCCACTGAGATGGACCGGGCAGGACGGCCCCTCTGCCCTGGGCCCATTCCCCATCCCAAGGCAGCTCCCACAACCTCAGCCTGGTAGGGGCTCAAAGCTGACTTGGGAAAAGTTCTCCCACAGGAACAGAAGTCCTTGGGGCAGCCCCTACCTCCCCCCAGCCAAGTACATGGCAGGTGCCAGGCCCAGAGCAGCACCGAAAGAATAAGCCTGCGCTGGCTGCCCCAGAGTCCAAGGAGGCCACATCACAAAACTCCTCTTCCCAGCTCCCGTGGACAGAAGTCCTCCTTCTCACAGCCAGGCCAGCTTCCCCAAGGCCCTCGAGGAGGACTGTGGGGAGCACGCCTACATCTCACTCTCCCTAAGATGCAGTCGCCAATTCTCCAGGGAGAGAGGATGCTTGCATATCGCTTAGCAACTAGGCGGGGAGAGAAGAGCTGCTCAGCAGCAGGCCCCAGGGCACACAACTTGGCATCAGGAACGTGGCTGGCTCAGGATTTGAGTCCCAGACACCACCCTGACAGGGCAGCGCTGTTCCTGCTCCTGTGACCTTTCGGAAAGGAAAAGCCAGCTGCACCTGCACCTGCCAGCAAGCAGAGCGGACGTACCTCTGAATTCAGGAGACAATGAAAGAGGAATATGAACAGTCCCTGGGAAGAAAGGGAAGAAACGCAGAGATTAGAGCCCTTTGCACGTAGTTAGGAACACTGGAGGTTCCTCCCATGCAGCCTGGGAGTGGCACTGGCACCGCACACTGTGACACCAGGTCCCATGACCTGGGGCCCGTGAGGACGGAGAGGCGTCCTGGGTCCCACCATGATCCAACCTAGAATCAGGCAGCTGCTCGGACCGAGTTCAGAGAGGGGGTGCTGCGTGGGCATAGGTGCGGCAGCAGGTGGGTTCCCAGGCAGGCTCAGCGTGGGCAAGGGCAGGCACTTCCGGAAGACGTGCCACTGGCCTGCAGACACAGACGCAACTTGAGTAGCCCAGGGAGGGCTGGGAGGGCCATGGATGGCGATGGGGACCCATGCCTGCCCTTCCTTGGGGGCCTGTGGGTCTGAGGGCCCTGACCCTGCGCATCCCAAGTCTTTGGTTCCCAGATGACCCTCCCTGGCCCTTCACACAGAGGGCAGCACCTGGGGGACCGCCCTGGCCACCTCTCTGCCTTTCTTTCCAGAGCTGCCACAGGCAGACTGTCTTACTGTCCTCCATTCCCAGCCAGGACATGCCAACTACAGATGCTGGCCAGAAGCATAGGCAGCCCCGCCCTGAAGGGGTCAGGATCCTGCAGGCCCCACTTTCTGAGAGTCCTCAGGCTTCGGGGATGCCCCGCATTACAGGCTCCTAAGGTGTGGCCGGGAGGGCAGGCCTCCCTCCTGCCCCTGCAGCCCTAGCTCCCTGCAAGCCTGCTCCTGATGGCTGGCGGCCCTGCCTCCCCGCCAGTCCCCGCGGCTCTCACCTGCAGGGAGTTGAGCGTGGCAAACATGTACTGGAAAACCACAGCACAACCGTTGACAGCAAGCACGCCAAAGACCCACGAGGTACCCAGGATGGGCAGCAGCACGGCCACTGCCTTGGCTGTCAACCTGGAGAGAAACAGTGACAGTCACCCTGAGTGGCAGGAGGGCAGGTGCAGGCTGTGAGGACTGCCCTCGAGACGCCAGGCTTCCAGATGGGTGCAGGCACCGCCCTGCCGGGAGCAAGACCTGGGGTCCTCCCTGCAGGTAGCCCTGGTTGAGGCATTTACCTGGGAGGAGCCTCGGTGTTTCCACACCTCCATCCCCTTACAGCTGGTGGGTGGGAGAGAGCTCTGGAAAAGTTCAGGTAGCACCCAGGGCTCACCTAGGCCATAGGGAGAATCTGTCCAGGCCCAGGGCTTGCATTTGAGCTGTTTGCAAAGATGAGGAGGAACCAGGACGGAGGGGAGAGATTCGGGGGACTGAAGCAGCAGAGCATCCCCCGCAGCGTCCAGAACCCAGGCCTCCTGTGAGACGCTTGGAAGGGTGCAATGAGGCCTGGGCCTGAAATGAGGCCATGGCCAGGAAGATTTCTCCAGGCCTCACTGGGCTGCAGCCCGCGTGTCCCCCGCTGATCACCCGAGCCCTCCTGTGACACTGACGGTGAGTTCTCAGAGGGCAGGGCCAAGTGGTCATCTTCATGGCCCTGCTCATGCTCAAAGGACGTGCTAAACAAGGGCTTGCTGAACTGCACTGTGAACTGACAGAGCCCCATCGCTGAACACACCAGCCCCATCAGCATGCGTTTTTATCTCCCTAGAGCCCATGGGCCCTCTTGACACAGGAGAGGCAGGTTATATATTGACCCCATTGTATAATAAGGAAACTGAGGCCCCACAGCCCCTGGTAATGGCTAAGGTGATACAGGGTTTCATCAGGGGCAGAACCAGAGGGTATGCAGACGTCCCCACCTGGGCCAGTTAGCACCTGCTCTGACTGGGCACACCAGCTGCCTGCCTCAAAGCCATTCCTGATGTGCTGTGTCAATCATGGCCAACTACCTCAAGCCCAGTCCATCCTGACTTCTGAAACAGCTGGGCTTTCCACAGCAGGGACCTTCTGCCTTTGAGCTTTAGAGAAAAGTCTAGAGACTAGCGGAGTTCCTGCTGCCCAGGTCAGCCACTGTCACATGCCTCGGTTTACCCCTCATCACTCAGGCCAGTGACTGAGATTGTCTCCCTCATAGACTGTGGGTTCCTTAAAGGCTGGAGCTTGGTCTTTTTGTCTCTGTAACCCCAAAGTGCATCCCAGCACCAGGACTCAGAGGCTCTCAGGAAATAAACATTGAATGAATGAATGAATGAATGAATGATGAACAAGTGGACGGCCATGCAGCAGTGCTGCACACAGATCTGGCACCTCCCCGGAGGAGGTGAGATGCGGCCATAATGAGCTTCCTTGTCAAGAGACCAAGAGCCTGGCACTGACAGCTCCGGGCAACCGGTGCCTGTAAAACCCAGAAGTGTTCCAGCACTTCAGCTCTCAGAGAAGCCGCAGCCAGCTTGTTCTCATAATGCTAATGCAATAAAAATAAAACACCTGTTTCTGGGAAACAACAATATCATGCATTATTCAGCTACAATCTTTAGGTCCCGGGAAACCGTATCTGAAAGGATCAATCACTGAGAAATAAGTACCAAAATGTGCTACTTTTAAAGTGATGGTTTGACTTTTCTTAAAATGAACAATAGAAGAAGATCTTGGGGGAAGACGCTGAGCTGAAGCTCTGCGGACTCTCAACACGGCCAGAGCTGTCAGTGTCCCTGGTCAAAAGCAGAAGAAGAGGGGTCCCTGGATCTGAAGGAGGCTCTAGGCAGGGGGTGTGCTTTCCTCTCTGATCTATGACCCCCTTCTGCTCCCCCAAGGTTGGCCCTGGCCTAGGGGGCTCAGGCCCTGAGTCTCCAGGCCCCACAGCCCACCTGCTCGTGGGTGCACTTCTGTGGGGGTCTCACCCTCACGCCCCCGCCCCCAGGGTCCCACTTGTAAAACCTGACCATTCTCTGCTTCTTTTTCAGGAGTCTGGAATCACAATCAATAAACAGAGACTTTTTTAAAAAGTGAAAGCCAGGCTTCTCCCCCTGCTCAGACCTCACTTATTCTATTCTCCACTTTTCTTGGGGTAGGGGGGTGGCAGGGAAGTGAAAGCCAACCCTGTGGAGGGCCCCTGAGGAAGAATCTTATCTTGTTATTCACTGAGTACTGGGCTGCTTGGCACTAAGAAAATCACTAGAATAAAACCAGAGGATGAAGAATAGCAAGGTGCTGGGGAAGCTTCCTCACGATGCAGTGACTGCCTCTTCCTGCCTGGCGCCTGCTCCCTGGCTGTGCTTCCTCAGCCCTGGGAGTCAAGTGTTACACAATCCACACTAAGAAGATTGTGAGGAAGCATCCCTGAGGGGCAGACCTGGCCGCCCAAAGGAGAGGAGCTGAAGGCATTGGGAAATGTGCTGGGTTGCACAATGGAGAGGGACCCAGAGCGGTCTGTCCCCAGAGATGCCTGCCTGCACCTCCCCGGAAGGGACGCATCCCTGGGCTGCCAGGTGCAGACGCAGGTGGGAAGGATGGGCAATGCCTTCAGCTGTGCCCTGCAAAGACCTGGGCATGCTCTCCCGGGGCACGCTACCTCGAGCCTTCACAAGAGCTGCAGACACAGTGCCAGCCTGTCGCTTGGAGGACATTTCCATGGAGAAGCAAAGGCAGTGGACAGAAGCTGCTTCCTGGGTGGGCACTGATGGGAGGATGGGGCGCAGTGGGGTAGAGATGGAAGGCGGTGCACAGGTGCGGGGCAGGTGCACAGGGGTGTTCTGGTGACAGTGGAAGTAGTGGCCTCATGGGGCTCAGACAGGGGATTGTGAGCTTTTGCTGGAGACAAGCTGGCAACAGACTGGCTGACCCTGAACGCTGAGGTGAGGGCCTGGGGAGCTGAGGGCTGGGGTGAGGAAGGGACAGGTCCCTCCCCAGCCAGGCCATGAGAGGTCCAGGAGACCATCCTGGTCTCAGCAATGGAAGAGGAAAGGACGTGATCTCTGACCCCACGAGCATCTCTTCTCGCACGGGGCACAACCCTTGAAGGTTTCCAGGAGCTGAACAGCCCAAGGAGGCTGCAGCCTCTTGTCAGGTTAATTTATGGTGTTTGGAATTCATTACAGACTAATTCTCTCATAGATTCGCTGCTGACATATTTGCCACTTTTGCTTTCACATCAGAACAGATACGCGGTGGCTGAAGTAACAGTACAGAATGTCAGCTGCCTGGTACCCACGCCCTGCTTTTCACAAAGCCCCTGAATTCCCTGCGAGGGACAGCCTCCCCAGCTTTCAGCCCTGTGGTTTGGGGGTGCTAACTGAACAGTCACACGGTCATATGAGTGAATCCCCCTCTACAGGGTCTGGCTCAGGGAGGGCACAGGTCCAGCCTGAGTCCCCATCGTCCTCCAGGCGCAGGCCTCCGTCTCAGCAGGTGGGACAGGGACTCCCCCGTGGGCCTGAACCCCTGCCGCAGCCATTCGGCCACCAGGGGGCAGAGTCGACCTCGGCCTGAAGCCAACACTAAGGATGCGAAGGCGAGCTGGGCCCGGTGCTGCAACTGCCAAAGAATTCCTGCAACGCCAGGGCTTCTGAGCTCCGGACTTCACAGTCAGCTGCGTCAGTGAGTCCCCCTTCTGCTTAGGCCAGTGCATGCTGGGATTTCTGTCACCTGCAATCGGCTGGGCCGTAAGAGATGCAGGTCAGGACACCCCCGATGGCAGTGAGTTGTGTGGCTGGAATCCCTCCCAGAGACCCCGCCCCTTCTCCAGGCGGGGCAGCCCAGAGCACACCAGGACACTGCTCTCCCTTGCACCTTCCCTGATGTGCCAGCTGAGGGGGAACCTGTTATCATCCCGTTCTGCACGTGAGGAAGGCGAGGTGCTGAGGGGCTAAACTCGCTGAGCCCAGCAGATGGCCAGGGCAGATGCGGGACTGGCAGGGGCTTTCTGGCTCTAGAATCTTCCCCGTTGCCGCCCCCCAGCTGCTCATCACCCTGGGGTGAAGAAATCCCTAGGAGAACTCCGTAGACTCCGTTCTTCTACACATGGGAGCTCTGGGGCTGGGTAAAGGCCCTGTCCTGGGTCACGAGAGCCAAGCGAGGGCGTGAAACCAGAGCTGCCCTGAGATGGCAGGGACACGGAGCAAGTGGAGGACTTTGGTGCCGGCCACAGGAGGCAGGAGTGGCTATCTCTCCTGTGACCTCAAAGCATCCTCTGGGGGCAGAAGGGCCGTGGCACTGCTGGCAGCCTGAGGTCAACTTACTTGAAGGCACTGGGGTCTCCATGGATCTTGTAGTTGTCGGCGCTGATCTGTGAGATGACTCTGGTCACAGCGATGAGGATGCCAATGTTGACCTGCACAAGAAACCATGGAGGAAGGTGAGGGGGGCCTGGGCTGCACCTGCAGGAGAGCTGCGTCCGCCTGGCCACTGCCCTCACCACAGGCTACCCCTGCCCAGCCAGGGCTCCTGGGACACAGGGGCATCACTGGGACAAATCTCACCCTGTTCCGTGGGCTTTTACCAACACACACAACATGCAAGCTTGCCTCTGAGAGCACCTGCACTGAGAAGACAGCAGAGACGAGTTCTAGTCCCAGGAACACATCCGGGCATGAGGGCATGAGCCTGGGCCAGACCTCATCTTAGCATTTGCTTCGTTAGTGTGACCCTGGGCAACTCACCCAGGTCCTCGGAGCCTCAGTGCCCCAGGTGATGAGAAGGATAGTGCCCACTGTGCAAACGACTGCTCAATGTGCCAGGCCCCGGCACAGGAGCTGGCTCTCATCTCCCGCCCCGGCCCAGGCCTGCGGCTGTGCGAGCCACAGAAGCTGCGGCAGAGGGGCATCATCTCCTGCCAGCACCCCTCCTTGCTGGGAAACTGCTGGAAGGCTCCTGTTGGGACCTATGGGGCTGGGCGGGGCACTGAGGGGCCCCGGCAGAGGCTTCAGCACAACCTGCCCCTCACCTGGGCAGCTCCCTCAGTAGGAGGCTGGCGAGGCAGGCACAGCATGGGGAAGAACCCCCTAGTGTCCTCTGGCTGCGGGGTTAGGGTGAGGGTTAGCCTTCTCCCTTGTGTCTGAAAAATTCTGAGGCCGTGTACAGAGTCAGCAAGGAGTCCAGTTCCAGGATAAAGTCCTCTGTGTGAACTCTCAGGCTCGAACTTTCAGGCAATGAACAGGGCTCTACCTCGCCGGCCTCACAGGGCAGCTGCTGTCCCCACGCCAGCCTGGGCGCGGCCAGAGCCTGGCAGTCTCTGAAGGGAGCTGCAGTCGGAGGGCAGCCACTGGGGCCCCGCACGGGATGGCCAGCTTCGCTCTCCCCCCGCACGGGATGGGCCGGCCTCGCTCTTCCCCCGCACGGGATGGGCCAGCATCGCTGTTCCGCACACCTGCACCCCTCGCCTAGGTGCCCGCGCCAGGCCTTTCTGAAGCAACTGCTGAGCCCGCCTCACCCTAGGGGCCTTGAAGCCACCTTCTGTGCCCAGGACTTTTCCACTGTGAGCCCTTCCCCTTCCTCCTCGCGCAGCTCCCGAGCCCATGAATCAGCAGGAGCCCTCCGCCCAGGGCTCTCTCAGCAGGAGACCGGCCCTGTCTGCACGGAGGCTTCAGACCCTCCTGGTGCTGTTCTTTGGGAGAGAGTGGTGCGTGGTGGGGCCGCCCCCTCCTGCCTAGCCCCTTAGGACACTATTGTGGCAGTGAGCACCCCAACTGTTCCCTCCTCGGCTCCTGTCTTCACTGACCACCTCAACACCTGGAAGCTCAGCTCACGCCCAGCTCAGCTGACAGTCGGATGCACCTTAGTTGCCCTTATTTTCCCATCTGTAAAGTGAGGCTAATAACAGAAGTGTCCAAAGGCCAGGGAAGGGAAAAGAAGTCAACACATTAGCCACCCAGCATGGTGTCTGCACAAAGAGCATGTCCAGAAACGCTGATGCCCCCCAGCCAACCTCACTGTGTAACGACGAGAAGAAAGCCACACTCAACTAGGAGCAGCAAGCGGGAGCAGCGTGGATGACAGGTCAGTGGTTTTCAAATGCAGTGATGATTCAACTAGGACAGTGACAAACGCGTGACTAATGTGCAGTTATTACTTCGAGTGGGGATTTCAATTGCAGATGGCTGATGGTCACTGATGTGTGAGTGCGGCCCATGCCCTCGGGGCAGGCTGGCCTTGGCCATCTGCCTGGGAAGCACTTTCGTGCCTCCAGTGGTGGCTACAGCATCACACAGAGAGGGAGGTGGAGATGGAAGGTGCCCCAAGTCAAACTGCCACAGACCCTGCCTGCTCTTACTGAGATTCAGAAGTTTTTCTTGAATAAATGCTTTTAGTGTGCATGCCTTTGTTTCTAGAATTCCGACTATTTTTTCAAAACAATTCTTCCAGTTCTTTCCTTGTTTTGGGAGTGGAGATTTCCCCAGGTCCTGACTCTGCCATTCTGCAACTCCTGCCCCTTTCCCTTGAGGGATTTCTATTCCGGGTACCTCACCCACTGACACAGGCGGGGGCCTCATCTGTAACAAGATTGGAAACAACCTGAACGTCCACACCGAGACAGCAGGGCGGGGCTGTCACTCACACCCAGACAGCAGGGCGGGGCTGTCACTCACACCCAGACAGCAGGGCGGGCCTGTCACACCCAGACAGCAGGGCGGGCCTGTCACTCACACCCAGACAGCAGGGCGGGCCTGTCACTCACACCCAGACAGGAGGGCCAGCCTGTCACTCACACCCAGACAGGAGGGCAGGCCTGTCACTCACACCCAGACAGCAGGGCGGGGCTGCCACTCACACCCAGACAGGAGGGCCGGCCTGTCACTCACACCCAGACAGCAGGGCGGGCCTGTCACTCACACCCAGACAGCAGGGCGGGGCTGTCACTCACACCAGACAGCAGGGCGGGCCTGTCACTCACACTCAGACAGCAGGGCGGGCCTGTCACTCACACCCAGACAGCAGGGCCGGCCTGTCACTCACACCCAGACAGCAGGGCGGGGCTGTCACTCACACCCAGACAGCAGGGCCGGCCTGTCACTCACACCAGACAGCAGGGCGGGCCTGTCACTCACACCAGACAGCAGGGCGGGGCTGCCACTCACACCCAGACAGGAGGGCCGGCCTGTCACTCACACCCAGACAGCAGGGCGGGGCTGTCACTCACACCCAGACAGCAGGGCCGGCCTGTCACTCACACCCAGACAGCAGGGTGGGGCTGCCGTCCACACCCAGACAGCAGGGCAGGGCTGCTGCCCACACCCACTCTATGGAACACTTTGTGGGTCTGAGACAGACTCAGGCAGCTCTTCCTTGGCGAAGAAGCCACACCCCACATACACTGAAGGCCGCCATGGGGTGGGTATGTAGTTACAGTCCCCCTATCTGCACAAAACCCCAGGATACCCATGAAACCAGCATCACGGGTTGCCTGTTTGGAGGGAGGGTGGAAACCAGGGAATGCAAAAACATACATAGGCAGACACATTTATGCATAGATTCTTAAGCTTTTCCTGTAAATTTTGTGTTGCCATTTCATAAATCAGATTCTTTAAATTTTAGTTTTAAACAATTATAAATTAAAAGGAAATAATATGAAACCCATTTCCTGTGAATGACGGAGCAGTGTCCTTGGGGTCAGGTGGAATAGAAACTCAGCCATGCAGTGTTCCAGTGATTCAGGGGATGGAGAAACCGTGAAGCCTGGGACCCATGAGAGGGATGCCTGGAGATGCTGGAGAGGATCTCGAGCAACTTGAGTGAGTGCAGAGTTCCCATCAACCAACACCCCACCTGAGCTCAGGGTCCCATCACAACCAACCCAACCAACACCCCACCTGAGCTCAGGGTCCCATCACAACCAACCCAACCAACACCCCACCTGAGCTCAGAATCCCATCACAACCAACACAATCAACACCCCACCTGAGCTCAGAATCCCATCACAACCAACACAGTCAAACACCCCACCTGAGCTCAGAATCCCATCACAACCAACACAACCAACACCCCACCTGAGCTCAGAGTCCCATCACAACCAACCCAACCAACACCCCACCTGAGCTCAGAGTCCCATCACAACCAACCCAACCAACACCCCACCTGAGCTCAGGGTCCCATCACAACCAACCCAACCAACACCCCACCTGAGCTCAGGGTCCCATCACAACCAACCCAACCAACACCCCACCTGAGCTCAGGGTCCCATCACAACCAACCCAACCAACACCCCACCTGAGCTCAGAATCCCATCACAACCAACACAACCAACACCTCACCTGAGCTCAGGGTCCCATCACAACCAACACAACCAACACCCCACCTGAGCTCAGAATCCCACCACAACCAACACAACCAACACCCCACCTGAGCTCAGAGTCCCATCACAACCAACACAATCAACACCTCACCTGAGCTCAGAGTCCCATAACAACCAACCCAACCAACACCCCACCTGAGCTCAGGGTCCCATCACAACCAACCCAACCAACACCCCACCTGAGCTCAGGGTCCCATCACAACCAACCCAACCAACACCTCACCTGAGCTCAGGGTCCCATCACAACCAACCCAACCAACACCCCATCTGAGCTCAGGGTCCCATCACAACCAACACCCACATGAGCTCAGAGGTCTCATCATCACTCCTGCTTTGCCTCTGGAGGCTATAAAGCGTGGTTCTGCCCCGGACCTCTCAGCTGTAAAGCTGAAAGATGCACACATGACTGTTCCCAGACTTTTCTGACAAGGCCACCGAAAGGATGATCAACTTGCAGCAAAATGTTTTGCCAACATGAAACACTACGAGTGATTAATTTGAGATTTCAAGTCCTTTACTTTATCTTGACCGCTTTGCGTTAAGATGCACTCTAAGTGTTTCATAACAGTTAAGCTGATCACATTATTACTTGTCAGAATTCATCATCTTTCCTTTTTCTCCAAAGATTTTGCTGGGTCTTTTTTTTTCTTTTAGCCTGGGTCAGTCTGGTTTCATTTTCCAGGCACATTTTTTCCATCTTATCAGGATGATACATTTGCTGTGGCTTCCTAAGAGGAGGAGCGGCTCACCATGGCCTCCAATCCTGCATCGGTGCGGTGGGGGACTTTGGCTGCGAGTGGCACAAATCTGACATTTCATGAAAATATAATACAGAATCAGGCCTGGCCCCCCTCACTCCATTTCACTCATCCTCATCCATGCCTTGCTGTATGGTACACCCACACTCGACTACAAATCGGAAAATGCCCTGGGACTGAGGCATGTACAGTGTGAGTACCATGGATATTCCAGCAGCTAAGCATCTCCCCACTAAAGGCAGATGTCAAAGAAACAACTCACAGGCCTCACTGCAGAAGAAAAACTGGAATGCACATGGAGGCAGTAGAACTGTAAAGCAAAGGTCTCGTGGCTACTATGAAGGCCAAGATCACGGTGATCTCTGGTGGGAGGAGGGAGGCAGGACTGCATAGGAATCCTGGTGTTCTGTTTCTTGACCTAGCTCAGGGTCACCAGAATGTTGATTTGTGAATAAACACTGAGCTGGACACCACTATTTCACAATGAAAGGGCTATACAGGTACATACACACATACAAATAGCTAGTTTACACAACAGTGGGTGCCTCAGTCTGTTTTCTGCTACTATAACAGAATACCACAGACTGGGTAATTTATAAAGAACAGAGATTTATTACAGTTTGGGAGACTGGGAAATCCAAAGTTGAGGGGCCTGCATCTGGTAAGGGACTTCTTGCTACACTGTCCCATAGCAGAAGTCGGAAAAGCAAGAGAGCACAGAGAGAGAGAAGGGGGCAAAACTCATCTTTTCATCAGAAACCCACTCGTTCAATAATGAAACCACTCCCACAACAGCAGCATTAACTTATTCACGAGAGCAAAGCCCTCACAACCTAATCAGCTCCTAAAGTTCCACCTCTCCGAACCTGTCGCACTGGAAATTAAGTTACATGAACTTTGAGGGAAACATTCAAACCACAGCAGTATGTCTCTGTCTGCCTGTATTTAGGTATCCGTATCTATGTATCAGTATCTACATGTATCTACAGGCAGTTCCTAACTTAGGAAGGTTCGAGTAATAATTTTTCACCTTTTCAGTGGTGTGAAAGCAAGACATGTCAGTACAAACTGTACTCTGCAAACCTATACAACTAGTTTTTCACTTCCAGTATTCAACTCATTTGATATTCAACATTGCATTATAAAGAGGCTTTGTGTTAGATGATTTTGCCCAACTCTAGGCTAATGTAAGAGTTCTGAGAATGTTTGAGGTAGGCTAGGCTATGATGTTCTGTAGGTTATATGTATTAAATGCATTTTCAATTTATGGTATTTTCTGCTTATGATGAGTTTATCAGGACTTAATCCCATTGTAAGTTCAGGAGCATCTGTATATATCTGTATCTATATTTATGCTTATCTGTACCTATGCATCTATAGCAATGCATCTGTATCTATCTCTGTATTTGTATCTGTATCCATGTATCTGCCTATATCTGTATCTACATTTCCATCTGTGTATCTGTCTCTATGTATCTGTTTGCATCTATACCTCTGTATATATATCTGTAACCATATCTCTGTCTCTATGTAGACACATAGCTACCCTGGCTTCTCCCCAAGGGAGACAAAGATTTTAAATCAGAGACTCCTTCTCTTCCCCAGACCTGGAGGCACTCTCCTTCTTTCCTCGGTGGGGCCAGCACAGAACAAGCCATTTTGAAGGCTCAGGCTAAAGTGCCCCTGACATCCAGAGTCCCTGTTCTTTGGGGGAACGGGGTGTCTAGGCTCTGTGGCTTCTGGAAAATCAGGCGTTATGGGCTGAACTATGTCCCCTCAAATTCATATGCTGAAGCCCTAAGCCTCCGTACCTAAGAACAAGACCACTTAGAGACAGGTTCTTTAAAGACATAATTATGTTAAAACGAGGTCACTAGGGTGAGCTTTAATCCAATGACTGGCTTAGGCAGTCACTTATTTTAAGAGGAGATTAAGACGCAGACATGCACAGAGGGAAAAGCATGTGAGGACACAGGGAAAAGACAGTTATCTACAAGCTAAGGAGAGAGGCCTCGGGAGAACCAACCCTGACGACACCTCGATCTTGGACTTCTGGCTTCCAAAACTGTGAGAAAATAAATTTGTTTAAGCTGTGCAGCCTGTGGTCCCGTGTTACAGCAGCCCTATAGACTAAGACACCAGGGAATAACGGGCCTATGGCCATGTTCGCATTTTGTGTAACTAGAATCACCGAGTGAATGAAAAGCCATTTCCCTGCCTTATAGCCAAGAACAATTCGAGAAGGGGCAGTGGGCAGTGTGTGTTAGAGCCGAGAACAATTCGAGAAGGGGCGGTGGGCAGTGTGTGTGTTACAGCCGAGAACAATTCGAGAAGGGGCGGTGGGCAGTGTGTGTGTTTGGCTGTAGACGCCTGGTGGGGGGTGTTACTGGAAGTGGCTAGGCTCTGCCCTTTTCTCCTCAACCCTAGGCCCAGCAGGCCCCACAGTGACCCTTTACTGTCTCCCAAATTCTTGCCTTTTCAGGATGAACCTTGCCAGGACACAGGGAAGCTGATGTTCTAATGTAAACACACAGCTTCCTAAAAGTTTTTAATTTTCAAATTATGCAGGCAATACATGGGTGTTTTTAGGTGCATATAATCTTGAAGCACATACTCCCCAAACCCAAACCTCTCCTTAGGGAACCATTATTTTGTGTGCATCTGTCTGGGCATTTTCTTATTCAGTTATATGTTCACATGTGGGTGTGTACCCATATAGAGCTTTTAACTTTTTAAACAAATGGGGTCATGCTATACTTGTTATCCCAAAACCTGCTTTCTTCATCTGGAAATAAGGCTGATGACTTGTGGGTAAATGAGGAATTGGCCCAGATGGCACAAACCCTGGGATCCTCTGAAGACGTGAGAGGGACAAGACCCCCAACTCCCCTCCACGGCACTCCCCGCAGGGGTAGGCTGGAACCTCCACGGCACCCCCTGGCCCAGAGGTTGATATGCCTTCTGCCAAGAGCCAGTTAGTATTTTTGGCTTTGCGGGCCACGCAGTCTTTGTTGCAACTATTCGGCTCAGCTGTTTTAGCCTGAAAGCAGCCACAGACAATGTGCAAATCAATGGACGTGGCTGTGTGCCAAGAAAACTCGATCTACAAAAGCAGGTAGTGGGCCACACTGCTGCAGTTTGCTGGCCTCTGCACTTGAACCTGGAACCTTTTTTTTTTTTTTTTGAGACGGAGTCTCACTCTGTTGCCCAGGCTGGATGGAGTGCAGTGGCGCAATCTCGGCTCACTGCAAGACCCGCCTCCCGGGTTCACGCCATTTTCCTGCCTCAGCCTCCCGAGTAGCTGGGACTACAGGCACCCGCCACCACGCCCAGCTAATTTTTTTGTATTTTTAGTAGAGGCGGGGTTTCACTGTGTTAGCCAGGATGGTCTCGATCTCCTGACCTCATGATCCGCCTGCCTTGGCCTCCCAAAGTGCTGGGATTACAGGCGTGAGCCACCGCGCCCAGCCTGAACCTGGAATCTTTTAAGGCTGCCCCATTCAGCTCTTGCCTCCCTTCCAATCTGCCTGTTGCTACCAATGTCCCAAGAGGGCATGAGGACCTCAAGCCAGCTGTGCTGAGAGTCACCTGGAAGATTCTAAAGGCCAACAAGCCGAAACTTCAGGAGGTGGAGCTTAGACAGGAATACTCTTAAAGCTTCCCAGGGCCGGGCGCAGTGGCTCACGCCTGCAGTCCCAGCACTTTGGGAGGCCGAGGCGGGTGGATCACCTGAGGTCAGGAGTTAGAGACCAGCCTGGCCAACATGGTGAAACCCTGTTTCTACTAAAAATACAAAAATTAGCTGGGCTTGGTGGCACCTGCCTGTAGTCCCAGCTGAGGCAAGAGAATTGCTTGAACCTGGGAAGCAGAGGTTGCAGTAAGCCAAGATCGTGCCACTGCACTCCAGCCTGGGCGACAGAGCGAAGACTCTGTCGCAAAAAAAAAAAAAAAAAAAAAAAAAAAAAAAAAACTCCCCAGGTAATTCAATTATGTAATGAGTTTGAGGGCTCATTCTGTCCTCCAGGAATGATGGCCACTGACAACAAGGAGTGGGGTAGGGGGTGGGGCCCTGAAGGTAATGTCCCCTCAGGAATGACAAAAGGGACTCTAGTGAAGCTGGGAGACACAGGGGTGCTGGGTTCCTGGCGCTCGGCCCCACGCCGTGTGGGTGGTGAAGGAGCCAGGCAGAGCCACCTCGGAACCCCAGCTGTCACTGACCACGGTCAGACATGAAAGCCAGATGACCAGGACAGTGTCTGACACAGGGGCCTGTTCTGCCCAGGCCCTGCGGTTCTAGAGGGTTTAAGTCAGTAGAGAGAAAGGGAGAACAAGGAACAGCAGAGACTTGAATACAACTTACCCTTCCCACCCTCTGTCACTAAACGTCCTTTAAAGCCCCTCCCAACTGGCCATGCTCCGGCCAGGAGTTTGATGACTGGAGTCCGCTCTGAAAGCGTTTTTGCATGTTGGTTGGCAAAATGAATGGTCCTCCCAGACCCCCAGAGAGCGCGGGGACCTCTCCCTGAAGCCTCTGACACTCTTTAAAGGGTAGAGTCGGTAAAGCGATGGCAGGTGATCCTCACGCAGCCCCGGGGAGGCGCTGCGGCCCCCAGACCCTAAGAGCTCAAGCGCGCAGCCCCAAAGGCGTCCCCTCTGCAGCTGACAGCGATTCACTGAAAGAAAAACCAGCCCTGCTCGGAGCTCTGTAGACGCTGTGAGGGAGGCTCTGATGCCACAAGCCTTTCCCTCGCGACCACCTCTGCTTGCACAAAGATCCCTGCCCTCGGCTCGTGGCGCCCCGCGCAACACCCCTGGGCCCCTGACGCCCCTCAGTCCAGGGAGCTGCTCCAGTTCACTGCGGGGCCCTGACCCAGCCTGCAGACGGGAAGCCTGGGCCAGGACGCGCAGCCCGGGCCCAACCAGCCAGGGCCCTCAGAGACAGGCACGTGGAAGTACCGAAGGGAAAGCACAGACTCTGCTGAGGTCACACCCTCTGATCACGACCCCACCATACCAGCAGCTCCTGGTGTCCACCGGTGCTAACTGCACAAAGAAATCATGGGAGGCAGCCCTGACCAACATTCGACTCCATCCCATTTCCCTGATTGGTTCTGGGACGGACACATGACTCACCGCAGCCAATGAGAACCAGCCTGGGACTTGCGATGGGAGTGCTGGGAAAAAGCCTCCGTTTCCATCCGGGGAGGCAGAGAAGATGAGGGACGAGCCTCATGCCAGTGCAGGTGCAGGAGCCCTGGGCCCAGCCTCCCCACAGATGGTCCTGACTCAGGAACCTGTAAATCCCCATCCGTGTTTAAACACTGAGTTGGGGCCAGGCACAGTGGCTCACGCCTGTAATCCCAGCACTTTGGGAGACAGAGGAGGGCAGATCACCTGAGGTCAGGAGTTCGAGACCAGCCTGGCCAACACGGTGAAACCCCGTCTCTACTAAAAATACAAAATTAGCTGGGCGTGGTGGCGCATGGCTGTAATCCCAGCTACTTGGGAGAGTGAGGCAGGAGAATCGCCTGAACCCAGGAGGCAGAGGTTGCAGTGAGATCGCACCACTGCACTCCAGCCTGGGAGACAAAGTGAGACTCCGTCTCAAAAAAACAATAACAAAAACAACAACAAAAAACTCTGAGTTGGGTTTTCTGTCACTTGCAAACCACTGTAACTGTAACTGTTATGTGTGGTTCCCAGGAGGCTTCTGCTGAGATTCCCCTCTGCAGCCTTGGAGTCCTGGTGACTCCTGAGCAAGGAGCTAGCCGGTGGGTGAGAAGGCACCGGAGGATGGGGAAGGACGAGCCCGCGCCTGTGCTGTTCTCAGGGCTGTGTGCCTGCACCTGCCGCCTCGACTGGAAGAGCCCTGGGGCCTCGAGTGGACCCGCCTGGAAAGCACCGCCTTCCTGAGCATTCCGGGAAATAAGACCCTCAGTCACTGGCCCAGAGGAGCCCTAGCGAGGAGTGACCGAGGAACGACGCTGCATCCTTCGGAAGCTCCTCAGGGAGCCCCCCGCCATCTCCAGAGCCCCACACCCTCTCCTCCTGCCCCTCCCCAGCCCCGCTCTGCGCCCACAAGGGTAGGAAACGTACCACGATGACAAACAGGGCAGGGGCTACAAAGGCCCAGATGGCGCCACTCGCCAACGACAGCCAGCAACTGCGGAGGGAAGCAGAGCCGTTACTTCAACAACCTCGTTCCACCTGCCAGCGTACCTTCATCCAAAAGTAGTTGCTAAGGTGATGTCTTTCTCAGCTACAGGGTCCACCTGGGGCAGTCATACAACATTCCTAATCCCTGCAAATGTATTTTTATCCATGATGATCCCACGTCTCATTCTTGGAAAGGATTTTCCAGGTTTGAAGACCAGGACAGCAACCTCTGGAGAGTTTAGCCAAAATCCAGAATAGATTTCAATTTCATTAGGAAATAGACCTTTGCTGGGGACTGGCTTTCCTGCAGAGCACTTCAAGTATGACCCAATAGGGGCCTTCTGTGAGGGATTCCCATCCTGATGAGTCGTCAGCGATGCAGCACCTGACCATTCCCATATGCCCAAAGCTCGAGGTCAGTTCCCCTCTCTCCGTGCCCTCCAACTGAGAGGAAAGGTTCCAGAGGGTCCTAGTGATTGCTCTGATGTCCTGAGAGGAGGGTCCAGTTTGAGGATCTGGCCTCTGAGAAGTGACCCCAAGAACTCGGGCAAAAAAAAGCCAGCTCCTCCACAATTTTATCTCCAGAGCCTACGGCACTGTCAAGAGCCGAAGAGTCCCTAGGACCTCTCATCTTGACTCCTGGACACTGTTTCCCAAGGACCTGGAGTGCCTTTAATTGGATCTGGGCAGGTGCGTGGCGCAGTCCTCACTGGCACCCAATGTGGTGTCTCCCCGGGGCTGGCTTATTTCATCCCTCCGTGACTGCTCACTGAGCAGCAGGTCTGCCCCACAGCACAACAAACTCCATCATCTCATTTAATCCTATGCTGCCCCTGAGGTGGGCGCTATGATCACTCCAATCCTGCAGATGAGGAATCTGAGCCCTAAATAGCTCAGGTGACTTCAGAGATCACTGTCAGCACACTGCCTCCCTGCCCCCATTCCTCCCCAAAGCCTCCCGGACCAGGAGATGGCAAATGCCCCAAAACAAGAGACAGCACCTGCAAGAGGCTCATTCATGGCTGCACACCCAGAGCACGGAGAGGAGAAACCTCTCATCTGAGGATGCACTGTTTAAAAGGAAAATGCACTGCAAGTCTGAATGGTACCTCTGCAAAGGTGCGATTCAAACCAGGCTCTCCGGAGAGTAGGATGCTTCTGCAAAGAGAGAGATTGTGCTTTCCAGCACTTCATGCAGAATTTTAAGTCGACGAGGGGCTTCTGGTAGATACTCTATCCTGTTCAGAAACCTGGTGAGCTTCCTGAACCTGGCTGGTGCTGCCTGGCTTTCGGGCATGAGTGTGGGAAAAGGCTTGTATTACGGTCAGACCCCGGGACTCAGGACTGTGGGTCCAGCATCCCCAAGCTCCAGATGGGATAAAAGGGAACAAATGCCATTGAGCTGTGTTTGAGGAGAACATTCTTCTTCTAATTAGTCCCTCAACTTCTAACAGCATCCAGAATGAAAGGAAGGCCAGAACAGTGGTCTGCGTAACCATGCTTGTTTCACTGTGCGCTCAGACACTGCCTTCTACAAATGCTTCGCCTTCAGGGAACCTGCACCAACGTGGAAAAGGCTGGATTTCTCCCAGTTTCACTATTCGTCTGTACTATTATCTCATTCTGAAGCTGTGAAAATGCTCAACTTCCTTTCTGTTTGTAAGCACCGTCAATATTTATTTTCCATGTTTTCACTCAGTGGTTTCTCAGCGTGGCTAGGACAGGTAGCAGCTTCCAAGAAACATTTGAGTGAAAGCTCTTTTACTTGTAAGGAAAGAAAATCATCTTTCTGGAACGTGAACAGCTGATCTGGTCCCTCAGCACCATCCCATCCTCTTCCTGACACAACTGTGGACCCATGAGCTGCATTTCAAGTGGCAACAGGAGATACTGGACATCATAAGGTCCATCCCCTACTACCCAAGCAATGGGACCCTCAAGACCACCTGCCTGGTGCACAGCAGGCCCCACTTACTCCAACATGCATGTGTCTGCTCCCTGTGAGTTACTGGGCACACGGTCTGCACAGTGCGCTTGCTGGCCACCCCAAGAAAGGGTGAAAGGGCCACAATTCAGCCTCCGTGGATGACCAGAACTGTGTCTGAGAAGACCACGTGGGTGAAACATTTCCAAGCAGAAACTCCTAGCAGGCCCCCTGCTATTCCTGGAGGCGCTCTGTGGTCTTTGTTGCTAGTTCCGAGGCCCCAAAATGTCCAGAGCACAGCTGGGTTGTTTCTCCCTCTCCCTGGACCACGACTTTCTCACCGGCTGGGCCTGTGGGAGCCAGCTTTGCACAGCACCCCTGCACCCAGAAGAGCACAGGAAGGCAAGAGCCACGGGGCTCTCGCCACAAGCTGTTCCATGGAACGCCTGCCAAAAGCAAGGCAAAGCCCTGCACTTACTTGTTGCTTGTTCCGTAACTGTCCATGGCAAATGACAGTGAAATGATGCAGATCAGAAGAGGAAAACCTGCAGAAGATTGGAGAATATCATGTTCACTTGCTCCAGTTTTCTTCCCTCCCTCCCGCCTCCCCCATCCCTCCCTTCCTTTCTTCATTCCTTGTACACCTCATACATGTATACAGAGGGGGAACTATGTGCTAATTGTTGGGACACAGAACAGCCCCTATCCTCAAAGAACTTTTAGTCTAAACAAAGGAATAACACACACACACTCATACTCACATGTTCACACTTCTGTACTAGACAACAAAGTGTATGAGTCTTCATCAAAACAAACCATGTGGGTGAGATGTGGCATTGTGACTGGCAGGAAGGTAAGCTCAGCTTGGTCTATCTAGACCTGTGGTTCTCAACCAGGGCCAAGGTGGCCCCACAAGAGACAACTGGCAATGGCTTAAGTCATCTAGGGTTGTCATAACGGGATGGAATCAGGCAGGCAGAGGCCAGGGCTTCTGTTAAACACCCTACAATGCACAAGACTGCCCCACAAGAGTCACCCAGCCCAAGTATCCATAGTGTTGGTTGAGAAGCCCTGTTCTAGAGCGGCGGTGGAAAGGTGTGAGATCAGCTGGGACTGAGGGGACATCGGACATGGCTGACTTTGCCATGCACACAGTCCACATTCTTACAGTATTTGAGCCCATAATTTCCTTAGGGAACCTATCACACTCCATCTTTCCATGAGGTCCAGGTGGGCTGGTTCCTTCCTGGCTCTGAGGCATGTGACCCAGGACTGGCTGACTGGAACATCAAATCCCCCAGCCACAGCTATTGGTTCAAAGATGGGCATGTGACCCTGGCTGGCCCAATGAGACTCAATCAAGGGCTTTCTTCGAAACTGCTGAGAAGAAACTCTCTTTTCTACGGAGCCCCTAAGAGGATAAGGATGTCAGTGAGCTTGGGGTCCAGGCAGCCATTTTGGCACCACAAGAGATCAGATCTGAGAGACGGAAAAAGAAAACAAAATCTTGATTATATTACTTAAGCTCATGGATCAAGCCATATCTGAAGTCCAGCATCTTAGAACTTTTTTGTTATATGAGCCATCACATTCCCTTTTTGCCTTAGCCAGTTCAAGTTGGATTTCTATTACTTGAAACTGAGTGTGACAAATTAAATGTGTTTAATATTTGACAAAGCCAAGTGAGACTTTGGGGGTGGTGATAGAAGGGAGGCCCACGAATGAGGTAGAAAGCATCTGGATCACAGCAGTCCCCAGAGCTTCATCATTCTGCAACGAAAACACTCTATGGCCACACTACTTGTAGGAATTGACCTAACCCAAATCTGAACTGGCCTCTACTTTCACTTTTAAAGTGCAGAGGTTTTGTATGCTAATGTGTCTTATGACTCTCCAAAAGGAAGATCGCATTGCAACACTCCTCAAGCTCAGCCATCCACGGAATTTGTCTGGAAACATGGCTCTGCTTCCACACGCACGTGTGAGCTTTGAAACAGATCCTGCACGAATGGGAATCTGTTTCTGAAAAGAACACACTTCTCGTTATTCAGAAAGTGGGGCATCATCCACGGGGCCTGCTCTAGTGCAGCCACCCTGAGCACAGCAGCCTCTGTCCTCTGCTCCCTCTGCAGGGAAGGATGGGAGAGAGATGAGAGACTGCAAAGGACCAGCTCCTTACTCCACACCTGAACCTTTTCCCCAGGAGGATGCTCAAGAGACACAGCTCCTGGCACATCTCGGATCCCTGGGATAGCAGGGTGGGGGATGGAAGTGCACGAAGAGCATGTGGCTCTCTGCCTCCGTAGCTGAAGTCACACAGGTTCTGGGAGATTTCTGCTCCAGAGGAAGGAGGAGGAGGGAAGGTGGCTCCTGGCACCCACCCGACCGCCTCCAGGCCGCAGCCCTCCAGTGCCCTCTGGGGGCAGAGTACACGCCGTGCCTGCCCTTCCAAACATCAGGGTTTGGGTTTCAAGTTAATTACCCTGGAAAGACATTTCCTGGACAGTCTTGTCTCTGAAATACTTGGTTTTAAATGTCAAAAGGACTTAAATGCATTGCAGAATGTCTGGGCAATAAAGTTGTCCAGAAGGAGACCAGGCAGCCTCTGTGGAAGAGGCGCACAGTTGGGGCCCAGCAGTGACTGTGGGCCTTTGTCATCCTGTCACTTTGAGTTTCCCTATGTGAGCTCCTCTGCCATTTCTTCCCCTGCATCTACCCCTGTGTCCAGCAGAGGCCAAGCCATGGGTAAGGACAAAGGGTCTGAGAACAGGGTGGGGCCCACTGTCTGCTTTCTCCAAAATGAGCTGCAGGAGCTATGAAGTCTGGGTGAGTGCGTTTGTGGGGCTTTTTAAGAAGAAAACATTCCTAAGTGGGAGGATAAGGAGAGGGGCAGTAAGATGGAGAAGACAGTGAGTGGGAAGAGCGTGGGCTTTGGGGCCAGAAGACACCTCGTTCTATTCCTGGGGCTGCCCGGGACCAGCTGTGCATCTACAAGGAACCAGCCGAAATTCTGTGCTCAGACCATGGGAACGTAATGAGTTGCCTTCCTCACTAGGCTGTGAGGATGACATGAGCTGTCTATGAATGATGAGCCCCTCGATGATGAAGCTGATCTTGCAATAATCTGTATCATCAACCAGCTCAGACCTCACCCCTTTCCCACCACTGCTGTCATCTGAAACTCTCACACGGTAACCTGGGCAGACCTGGAACATGCTTCTGCGGACAATGTGAAGTCCCTCTGGCCCTGTCATCAGAGACATTTACTTTGGGTGCTCCTCTTTGCAACACGGTGACCTTCAGAGGGACCAGACCGGTGCTGTCCTTGGCATCTGCCCCCTAAGATTGAGGGGCAGGTGAGGAGCATGGGTTATGAGAGATTAACCGAGGTGGGTGAAGCGAAGGCCTGGGAGGATGGGCGCATGGGCAAGGGGTCTCGACAGATGGGGTGGAGGGAGACAATACCAGGGAACTGTGGAAGTCACTGGTGCCACCTATTTCCAGATGCCCCACACGCGGGCACAGGGGAGGTCCACACCCCTGCCCCTCGGGGCTCTTGAGGCCACGGGGCTGGTTCTGGGCACTGAGTTGTGTACAGAAGGGACATGTGTCTTATGGGCTGAGCACATGATTTCCAGTGCAGTGTCCTCTCTGACCCCTTCCCTCACATAGCTCGAGGCGGTGCCTTCTCCGTCAGCCTGGGCTCTTCACTGTCCACCACCACGGGCCACCATGGACATGTAGCGTGCATAGGAAAATGACGTTTGTTCTTTAAAACCAAAGAGGGATGGAAGCTGTTTGTTATTGCAGCCTTGCCCGCCTACCCTGACGGATCCCCCTCCTGTGATCATGGCATTACGCAATCTCTCTGGAATGAAAGTGCAGCTTCAGAGAAAGGGGGGGCCTGGAACTAAGATTAAGTTTTGTCCCTAGAGGAACAGGAGCTCACAAAAGAAACTAAGTTGCAATAAAGAAAAATAAAACGAGTTACATTCTCTTCACCTCTGAGTTTGCAATCAGAGTTTCTTGTCTGCTTCAGTGATGTGTAAACTCTCCAATGCTTGTCACTCTGCCCTCCTGGCTACCTTGTGGGCTCCTTGAGGACAGAGGTTATCTGTCCCTCCCTTCAGAGTTCCTAGCACAAGTCTCGCAGTCAACAACACCTTAAGGTAAGGTGTGGATTTGATGCCCCCCCACCCCACCTCAGTTTCCAAAAAATAATATTGCTCAAAAACTAGAGTAAGGCCAGGATGAAATCTGCAGGAAGAAGCCACCTCCCAGGGGCTCCCCCCACCATGCTCTGGGTGGGCCTCCAGCTCCTTAATTAAAAACTGAAGGTCGAGAGAGCCCAACTGCCTGCAGACCCCCCCGACTTCAGCTTGTAGCCAGCTCCAATCCATTTGGAATGAAAGACACAGTTCTTGGGCTCCTGATGAAATTAATTAAGGGAAAGCTGACAGGGAGATAGATGGAGGTTGCAGGACTCACAGAACCAGCCAGCGCTCCATTTGCAAGAGCTGTGTCAGGGACTACAAGCTCAGTCTCCTACTGGGGCTGCATTGGTATCAGAAACCACACAGTTCTGGCCACTGTTGTCAAGGAGGAATATAAACTCAGGGCGTCGGATCTCCTCATTTTTCAAAAGAACTTTGTAATCTTGTGTAAAATCCCTCAATCTTAAAATATTGGCAAATAATTCATTTTTTCCCTCCAGCATTGTGCAGATCAAATAAAACATCCTTCCAGGCTGGATTGGTTTGGCTTAGATTCTCTGTCTGTCAAACACACACACCCCAACCCCATCCTATCGGCGACACAGACAGCCCCGCTACATACATTGCTCTCACTCTAGCAACAAATCCTGCAGACACTTTTCGTTCACCCAGCTGTCTTTTCTGTGGCTTATGGAGAGTGTGAGTGTGTGTGCGTGTGTGTGCGTGCACACATGCACGTATGCCTCTAAATTACATGACTGTATCCATAAAGAAACTATAATAAACTCTAGATAGTTGGCCATCAGTCAGCCTCTAAATCCTCCCTGATGAGGTCAGATATCATCAGAAGGAGCAGCTCTCCTCTCTGGGGCGTCACAGAGGCCTGAAGAAGCAGGTCATGCGTGACCTGGAGGGAGGGCAGAGGACACGGGCCTCAGGACCAGCGTGTGCAAAAGCATCCTCGTGATGATACAGCATGAGCAGTGAGGCAGGACGGAGGACGTCCGTGGTGACTCGGGGAGCTCCCTGCATGACCAGCCGCAGTCTGGAGGTGGCTGCCCAAGTGGCCTCTTCAGTCTCCCCAGGGAGCCACGAGGGGAGCACAATTTACCTCCACTTAATCCTCAGATAAATTACATTTGCCAACTCAAAGCACAAAGTAAGCCTGTTTACCTGCTACTTGCATAACAAAGACTGTGAAAATTAAACGTATTTGAAACAAGTAGCAGGTCCCTCATGTCTGGTCAGTGTTTTACAACAACTGCGAGAATGCTAAGTGTCAATGCACAGCCCAACCTAGAGCCTCCAGTGCTCACTGGGACCCCTTGGGATGGGCAAGGGCAAAGCTCAGCAAAGAAGCCACATCACTGGGGAGCTGACTTCTAGAATGACAGCACAAGTCGCTCAGCAGACCCCTCCCCAGAGACAGCTATCACTGAAAAAAAAAAGTTTTAAAAAACATAATCATTTAAAGTCTCTGTACATTTTCCTAAGGGTTTACAGCAAATTGAGAAAAACTGGCTCAAGAAAATCTACTAAATCTTGTTAAGAAGACTGAGTCTGTGGCACTTCAGCCAAAACCTGCTTCCCTGCCCAGCTTGGTGTGAGAGAGGCTCTGCTCCAAGTAGGTGTGGGCAAGAAGACAGGGCTCCACTCCCTCCAGCTCCCAGTCCAGGGCTACGGTATCTCCCCAGGCTGGGGGAGGTGGGGAAGGCTGCCCGCATTTCTCATTCCCCCCAACTTTGTGCTTTAGAAGCTCTACTCCAGATAAAAGCAGCTGAAAGGTTGGGACTCCCTTCCTCCTCCAACTCATAGTATGCAGGGTGTGGCAGGCTCAGAACACTGGGGCCTCACTGCCCTCATCTCTGTTGACTCATTGGGCAGAGGTTCTACACTGGGAGAGACAAGCTCTGAAGATTCGAAGCGATTTCCCCCACCCAGTGCCCTGCATGAGAGGCAGACATGTCACTCCACAAAAAGTGGGCCACTGTCCTTGCCTGCAGCTCCAGAGCAGTGCCTCAGGAATTCTTCCCAGGAAAAGAAGCTACCCATTAGGTTAGAGAACTCCAAAGTGCTCCCCATGGGAACTGATTTAAAGCAGAGTGGAGAAGTTCAAGCCTAAGGTAGTCTGGGAAAGAACGGAGCTTTGCAGCAGGGAACGAAGAGGAAGCTGGTGGCTCCGCGACAACACCAAGATAAACCATATTCCGGCTGGTTTACTGGAGACAGCCAGGGAAGAGACAGCTCAGAAGAGCCTTCCTGGGGTCAGAACAAACCTCAAAGACTGGCCTCAAAAATACCCCTACGAAGGGGCCTGGATTTAATCAGATCAAGCTGTAGAGCATCATGTGCCCCAAGCTATTGTTGGGAACAACAGAGCCATAGGCTGGCAATGAGTGGAACCTAACAGATGGTGTCATACAAACATAAGTAGAGAGCTTGAGAGAGAGGCCATGGAAAGAGACAGAGAGAGCCCTGCTAAAACCACTGCCATCCCAGGGTGACTGTACATGCCTAAGACTGCCCTCTGGGGAGTGATGTCAGAGGAATCACACCACAGGAGAAACAGACTGTGCTAAATAGTCCAGCCAAGTTACTAAACAAATAAATAAGCAAGCAAGGAGAAGCCATGGAAGGAGGGAATCAGAATCAAGGGTGGCTACAATGTGTCATCTAAGATGACAAGTCTTCAACAAAAAACTATGAGATATACAAAGAAACCAGAAAGTGTGACACACACATGGGGAAAAATCCAGGCAATGGAAACTGCCTGTGAGAAGGCTCAGTTGTCGTATTTATCAAAAAAAAAGAGACTTCAAAACAATCACTATAAATATGTTCAAAGAACTAAATGAAACTGTCATTGAAAAAGTAAAGGAATGCATAACGACCCTGTCTCATCAAACACAGAATAGCAACAAAGAGATCAAAATTCTAAAAAAAGAGCCAAATGAAAATTCTGGAGTCGAAAAGTATAATAACTGAAATTTTAAAAATCCACTAGAGGGGTTCCAAAATAGATCCAAAGTGGCAGAAGAATCAGTGAACTTGAAGAGAGATAAAGAAAGATTACGCAATTTGAAGAACAAAGAAAAAAAAAACAATGAAGAAAAATCAAGAGTCTTAGAAGCTGTACTGTAAGTGTACTCTAAATGTGGAACACCATTAAGCACACCAACCTACTCATAATGGGAATATTAGAAAGACAGGAGATAGAGAAAGGAACATAAAAAGTATTTCAATAAATAATGGCTGAAATGTTCCCAAATTTGATAAAGAGAATTAATCTACACATCTAAGAAGCTCAATAAACACCAAAAAGTGGGCCAGGCATGGTGGCTCACGCCTGTAATCCCAGCCCTTTGGGAGGCTGAAGTGGGCGGACTGCTTGTGCCCAAAAGTTCAGGACCAGCCTGGACAACATGGAGAAACTCTGTCTCTACAAAAATACAAAAATTAGCCAGGCATGGTGGCCTGTACCTGTGGTCCCAGCTACTCAAGAGGGTGAGGTGGAAGCATCACTTGAGGCTGGGAGGTGGAGGTTGCAGTGAGCCGAGATGGTGCCACTGCACTCCAGCCTGGGTGATTGAAACCCTGTCTCAAAAAGAAAAAAAAAAAGTAAACACAATGAGATACACACCCAGACACATCAGAGTTAAAATGCTGAAAGACAAAGAGAAAGTCCTCAAAGAATCAACAGAAAAACAATTCTTCAAATACAAGGGACCCCAGTAAGATTAAGTTTTGACTTATTATGAGAAACAATCGAGCCAGAAGGCAGTGAGATGACATAATCAAAGAACGAAAAGCAAAAAAGAATCTTATATCTAGAAAAACTACTTTTTAAAAATGAAGGTGAAATAAAGGGATTTCCAGATAAACAACAAATGAATCTGTTGCTAGCAGACATGCCTTACAAGAAATAACAAAGAAAGTTCTCCAGGCTGAAAGCAAATGACCCCAAAAAGTAATCTTAACACACACAGAAACATACATACACATAGCAAGCAACACCACCAGATGGAAACTCAAATTCACAGGAAAAAATACAGAGAACCAGAAATGGAAATCAGAAGGTTAATGTAACTCTATAAATATGTACTTGCTCTCCTTTTATCCCAGCTTCTTTAAAAGATACAAGATTAAAGAAATAGTTACAAAAATGTATTATTGAATTGTGCCTTATACAGATGTAACATGTATAGCAATAATCAGAGAACAAAGGAAAAGAGAATATGCCTATATAAAAATAATGTTTATATCTTATAATTTAGTATAAATTTGGAATAGATTCTAATATGCTAAGATGTATATAGTAAGCATTAGGTCAATCGCTAAGAAAATAACCAAAAAAAAAAAGTGAAAAAAATCATTAAGAGAATTAAAGTGTTACACTAGGAAATATTCACTTAATTCAAAAGAAAGAAGTAAAGGAAGAATAGAGAAACAAAACAGATAGTAGACATATAGAAAACAAAGAGAAAAATTGTTGATGTGAATCCACCCTATGTGTCATAACATTACATGGGAAAGGATTAAATGACCCAGCCAAAAGGCAGAAATTGCCAGACAATTTTTTAAAAATCCAGTTGTATTCTGTTTACAGGAGATATACCTTAGGTTCAAAGATACAAATAAGTGGAAAGTAAAAGGATGGAAAATATATATGCTCTGCAAACAGCAACTGCAAGAAAGCTGGAGCGAGTCTACTAATCATATGGGACGAACAGACTTTAAAACAAAACATAATACTAGAGATGAAGAGATGTTTTATAAATGTAAAAGGGTCAACTCATCAGAAAGATGTAAGTATAAACAGAACCCCAAGCAACAGGAAACAACATCAACAAATTGAAGGGAGAAATACACAATACAACAAGTGGTGACTTCAATACTTCAGTAATGGACAGAACAACTAGAAAAAGGATCAGCGATGAAATAGAAGACTTGAACAACACTATAAACCAACTTAGGCCTAACAGGTATCTGTAGACCACTCCATCCAACAGCAGAATATACATTCTTCTCAAGGGCATATGGAACACTTTCCAGGATAGATACTTACTAAGGCATAAAACAAACCCTAATACAGTTAAAAGGACTGAAGTCATACAAAATATGTTGTCTTTCCACAATGAAATAAAATTAGACATCAATAATAGAAAAAAGTGAGAAACTCATGAATATGTACAAATTAAACAACATAAATAATCAATGGGTCAAATAAAAATTAAATAAATTTGAAAATACTTTGAGATGAATTTAAAATGAAGACACAAAACATACAGGATGCAGCTAAAGCAGTGAGTAGAGGGAAATATATAACTATACATGCCTATATTAAAAAAGAAAATCTCAACTCAGTAACCTCAACTTTCACTTCGACACACTGGAAAAGAAGAAGAAACTAAAGCTAAAATAAGCAAAAGAAAGGAAATAATGAAGATTGAAGCAGAAATTAAAGAAACGGATAATAGAAAAACAAAAAAGAAAATCAAACCAAAAGTTGGTTCTTTGAAAAGATCACCAAAATTGATAAACCAAGTCAGGAATGTTGGAAATGTTTCCAAGTGATGGGGACTTTTTGCCTTTGATTAGCCAGTGGATTCTCCTTCCTATTTGGGTCTCTAGGAGGCACCAAGAAGGATAATATGAAGATGAAAGCACATCTGACTTTCCCTGTCCCATCCGATCAAACCCCATTCCCACCTCCCCCCATCCCCACCTGCCCCTTCTGTCCCCACTTCCACCTGTCTCATCCTGTCCTACCTGCCCCATCCCCACCTGTCTCTTCCTGTCCCTCCCGCCCCGCCATCCCACCTGCCCTGCCCCACCTACCCCATCCCATCCCATAGTAGTAACGGTGCTTGCTGTCCTCCGACCCAAAGACCTTGATCACCATGCTGTAGAGGTGCAGCCCCTCCACCAGCATCCATGCGAAGGCACTCAGGAAGAAGTAGTGTAGGAGCACGGCCATCACTTGGCAGGGGGTCTAGGATTTAACCAGAGATGGGAAGTGAGACAGCTCTGGGGTGGGCCCTGGGCGTGGCTATGATCCCAGCCTCCCAGTATCCATGTCCTGGGTGGTCTTTTGGTCATGTGACCATGTTTCTTCCCAGGGTATCTTCCTGTTGCTCAAGCCCAGGGATTTGGGTGTAGCGCTTGACTCAGGGCTAGCCAATTACAGCACCATGTTGCCCCCAGGGATGGTGATTGGTTCAGGAGAGGGCACAGGACTCAGGCCCAACCAATCAGCAAAACTATCCATTCCTTGCAACAGGATTGGCTCAGGGATGGGCACATGACTCACCTGGTCCAATCAGGGTGGATTCTGGGGCTAAGGCAGGGACTATGGAAGAGTTTCCCTCCCTTCAAGTGAGGACTGGAGCAAGGAACTTTGGAAGCCACGTGGCTCCCAGAGAGGTGTGGAGCCTGCCGCCTGCCATGTGGCTGAACCCTACATGCTGGGACTTCTAGTTCTAACTAAATTGACTGCAGCTTCCAAGTTGTAGTTACCCAGAACTGAAAGGGGCTCAGGCGACCATGCTGCTCCATAGGCTTCCCCTCAATAGGGCTCAGGGACAGAAAGGCAGGGCCTTGGGAACCTCTCCATTCCTTGCCTGGGGCCTGGAGGCCCCAGGTGCCCAGGACGGAGAGAGTTGGGCCCTGCACAGTGCAGCCTCAGATCCTCCTGGGGCTCCACTCCTCTGCTCCCTGTGAGTCCAGGTGCTGGGAACAGCCAGGGCGTGTCCCTTAGCTCTAGATAAAAGGTCCAGGAAACCAGAGCCCAGGAAGGAACACAAACCAAGGACCCCAGGACAACCCAGCTCTGCTGGCGCTCCAAGTTCTGTCCTTCAGATACGCCCAAGGCAGTTAGTTCTCAGAGAAGAAATGTACAAGCCACTAAATGTGTTTCTTGTCATCATGATCTGTTATATCTAGATACAAAATAAGACATACCTATTATTTTTGTTGGCTCAGCAACCCCTGGCCCTGTGTCTTCCAGGACCAGCTGCCCCTTTTCCTTGGGGAGCAGCCCCTTCCTACCCCAGAGGCTCTGGTGGGACCAACCATTACAATCATCCTCTCCCATCTGGGCACAAAGGTTTACCCTGTAGGCATATCACTCAAACAGGACCAACTGGAGCCCTTCCCTGGGATTCTGACCCAGGTCTCTGGGAGAGCGGGACCCATCAGAGCCCTTCCCTGGGATTCAGACACGGGTCTCTGGGAGAGCGGGACCCATCAGAGCCCTTCCCTGGGATTTAGACACGGGTCTCTGGGAGAGCAGGACCCATCAGAGCCCTTCCCTGCGATTTAGACACGGGTCTCTGGGAGAGCGGGACCCATCAGAGCCCTTCCCTGGGATTTAGCCACAGGTCTCTGGGAGAGCGGGACCCATCAGAGCCCTTCGCTGGGATTCAGACACAGGTCTCTGGGAAAGCAGGACCCATCAGAGCCCTTCCCTGGGATTCAGACACAGGTCTCTGGGAGAGCGGGACCCATCAGAGCCCTTCCCTGGGATTCAGACACAGGTCTCTGGGAAAGCGGGACCCATCAGAGCCCTTCCCTGGGATTGAGACACAGGGTTCTGGAGGAAAGATGCTCTCCCAGTCCCCTAGGGCCACCAGCTGGGATTATAGACACCTGGAGCTGCTGCAGACCTGCCTCCCCTCCTGCTGCCAGCACACAGTGGGACCTTGCTCCCCAGTATGGACTTGAACAGGCAGCGTCAGCATCACCTGAATGATTGATAGAAATACAGCATTCTGAGCTCCACCCAGAGCTCCTAAACCAAAATCTGCACTGTAAGGAATCCTCATGGGAGGTTTCACACCGGAGCCTGAGAAGCGTCCAGCAGGAGAACATGAGGCCAGTGCACACCCCATCCATTCCACGGTGCATCCAGGAACTTCTCAGATGCTCCCGAGTCTGAGGTGGGGTGCCCTGTGAGGGAGGTGCTTGCTGCCACATGAAGGTGGGTCTGTCCATAGGCAGCAGCCCCAGGACATGCATGGGGACAAAGGGCTCTGCTGGGCAGTGAGGAGGAGAGGCTCTGCTGACCCGCTAGGCATGGGATAAAGCGTTCATCTTCTGTTGGCCAATCCTGATTGCACCCTAAGACCACAGGCTTATCCTGCTGGGTTCCTAAGAGCTTCTGCCAGAACCAGCTCCCTTTTTCCTCCCACACATGGAGCAGGCAGCCCTCTGTTTTTCTCTTCCATCAACTAGCTTACAAGCCCACATCATTCCACTGCTGGGTCACTTCAGAGAGTCTCAGCTCTTTGCCTTCTGTGAGGTCTAAGACTTCTTAGGGCCCCAGAGAACCCCCCACTCCATGCAAAGGGCAGGGAAAGATGGCATCTAGGTCTGCAGGTCTGCTTCGCTGAACAGAGGTGGCACAACTGTTTGCTGTCAAGCAGCTGATGAAGGGCACAGCCTGCAGCCAATAAGAGTCTTGGTCTGCCCACACCAGGCCGTCAGCTTGGCCAAGGACTGTGAGCCCTGTGCCCCAATTCCTTTATCTGTAGGCTGAGAGGATGACAGCTGGTTAGAGGGTGACATGGCTTCACAGATGCAAGCCCTTGTCATGGTGCCTCGCGCGTAGCTGGTGCTAGGCAGTGTGAGTGGGTGGCGGCAGCGGCAGCTTTACCCGAGGCTGGCGTGCAGCACAGAAACCAGCTCATGCACGTCACGATCTCTGCTTCCCCCGAGAAAACCACAGCCCTGGTTGTCTGGGGAGATGGGTTCTGAAATTTGAGTTGAAAAAGCTAGCAGAAGGTGCCACCCGGTGACATCCGAGGAGGCAAGGGAAGGACAGCGCAGGAACACGGAGCTGCGCCCACTCACCGTGCCCGGCTCGAGGCGGAAACTAATGAGCAGCAGGACCTGGGCCACCAGCACGGCGAAGGACAGGTTGGCGTGGATGTGGTAGCGCTGGTTCCGGATGGTGCTCACGGAGCTGAGGACAGAGGCAGGGTGTGAGGCCTGGGCCCTGCGCCGACCCAGTCCCCCAGGCTGGGCTCCCTGGCCCCACGAAGTCCCTATATCCATTCCTCCAAGAGCAGCCAGAGGGGTTGCTGTCACTCCCTGCTGTGGACCATCGATGGCTCCCTATTGCTCTTGGATCTGACCCCAGCTCCTTCCATGCCCACACAGCCCTACACAGTCTGACCCTGGGCCATGGCTCTGCTCTGAGTTCCTTTCTTTCCCAGCTCATGTTCCTGCTTCTCAAAGCCCCAGCTTATTCCAGCTGTGGGGCCTTTGCATAGCTGTTCCCATGCAGTAAACCCTCTCCCAGGTCCCCGCATGGCGGCCCAAATGTCTCCCTCAGCGTAAGCTTCCTGACCACTGCTGGGACCTAGCTGCACCCCTCGCTCTCTGCCCTGCTGCCTCGTGGCGTGATCACAGTGAAGATGTTTGTTCTCGCTTTTGTTTACTTGGTTATTGTCCAGCCCCCATCCAAGCATGTTCTCATCTCTCTTGGGCACAGTCGGGCCCTCAAAGCCGACCACACGCCTGTGCTGAGGAACGTGGGAGCGAGAGTGAATATCTGAGCACAGGGCTGAGGTGTCCCCAGGCCCATGGCCATCCCCTTTTGCCTGGCTCGGGTTCCACCAGAATTCCTGTGCCTGGGCTGGGGGCCTTTCCAGACCTTTCCAGCTAAGCCTGGTGCTCTTACCTCCACAGCCCCTCCCCTCTCCCGTGTCTCTTCCATCTTGAGATCTGGGTGCAGGCAGGGGCCGAGAGACTGTTGGGTGGATTAGAAAAGGGGACTCACGACAGCACGGCGAAGGTGACCAGCGTGGCCACCAGGCAGAGCACGGAGAGGGAGCAGCCCACATAGCTGATAGACGACAGCGCCACCTGGTGTCCGCGTGCAAGCTGCGGGGAGCAGAGCAGAGGCGTCAGCAGCAGGCCCAGGCACCCCATCGGAGCCTGAAGCTGCAGAGGGCCCAGGTGGGTGCACAGCTGGTCCCCTGTGAGTGTGGTGCTGACCACCAAGCCTGCCTCCCAGCCCAAATGTCTGTTGCTGCCACCGACAGAGGCCGGTGCTGGGGTTGCAGCCCTGGTTCTGTGCGTGCATGTCCGGTGCCCCGAGGTGCCCTACAGAACACTGAGGCTCCCTCAGCCACAGTCTCCAGACTGTGGCTGCCTGGCCCGGGCAGGCGCTGAGCCTCCTGTCTACACTGCAATACACAGGGCTGCAGACTAACAGTCAGCCCCAGAGCCAGACCTCCCGGGTTCAAGTCCCAGCTGGGCCACGTCCTGGCTGACAATCTGGGCCATGTGACACTCGGCTGTGAAATGAAAATAATGACCCCTCTCCATTCCCACAGTGGCCGCAAGGACTCCATGAATTTACAAACATAAAGTGCTGGAGCAGCTAGGGAAGAGCTGGTTACCGCCCCGGCCTGAGGCCACGACCCTCCCAGTCCCCGCACAAAGTAGTGCTAGGGAAGAGCTGGCTACCGCCCCCGCCTGAGGCCACAACCCTCCCAGTCCCCGCACAATGGCTGCCGCCTGCACACTGTGGGCCTCAGGAAAGCTCTCTAAATGGACACGGTGGTGATCGCCAGCACCCGTGTCTGCTGGGTCCCAACACCTTGTGGGAATGAGGCAGAACAGAACACACCTGGGGATTAAGCGGCTGCAGGGCCACAAAGGATAGAACCGAAGCCGCAGTTCACCGACCGCACAATCCAGACGGCGCCCCCTCGGTTCTGAAGTCGGGGCCTCAAGCTCAGACACATGTGACCCTGCGCTCCAGGAGGCTCCGGGCTCCTAAGCCACAGGCCTGGAAGGGCAGCCTCCCAGCTGCTCACGTGCAGGAGGGCGCCACGTGCTTCCTCCTGTGGCCCATGGCTCTTGTCAGAGGCCCAGCTGAAGCCTGAAGCCTGCATCATGCTGTCCCTGTCCGGCACTGAGGCCCCAGACCCCAGACCCACGTCCCCCCGTCCTCCGAGACGCCTGCCTCCAGCTTCCTCCTGTGGCATGCGGGTAGGGGGAGTCTAAATGCCTTCTCCCCGATCACCAGGACAAAGGAACAAAAGGAGGCCACTCTGAGTGTGTAAGGAGCTGTTGGCAATGAGGGAGGAGATGCCGCAGGCCCAGGGGGCCCCAGCTCAGGGTGAGGCAGGTAGTGCACTGGACCACGGGGAGCAACCTGGGGCCAGGGGGCCATGGGAAGCCCGAACACTCAGCAAGCACCGCCTTCAACTGTGATTCACAGCGGAGTGGGCTCACGCCCGAGGGGCTACAGACGTGCTAGATTCCTGGGTGCGTGGGGCTGGGGTAGGGGCAGCCTGGACGCCACAGCCTGTGCCTCCCATTTTAGCAGGAGCTCATTTTCACCCTGCAGGCCCTGGTATCTTCTCTGAGAACCAGTGCTTGCAGAAGGCAGGGCCTTGGCCTGGCCCCCTTCAGGAGTGAAACAGCTGTTGCCATGACACCAGCAGCATTTCCCCTGGAGGGGCCCTTTTGTGCTCTCCGGCTCAGGGACAAGGCAGAGAGGCTGAGGGCTGGGCAGAGCCACCTGTGCTGAACGCCGGCTCAGGCCTCAGCAGGCAAGGACCTGCGCACAACTTCCAATTTCCCAGGGGCTGGACTTCCCTCTCCACGGACGTTGTGGCTATCACGGGAAAGGTGGGCACTGCGTGGCCAGGGCCAGGGAGACGGAAGAATCCCCCTTCCAGGTTCATGATGCCCCAGGGAGAGAGGAGGGGCAGTCACAGGGGAGCCCATCAGTATCCCTGAGGATGAGAGGGAACTTTGAAGAAATGGGGCCCCCGTCCCCTCAGGAGAATGGCTGCGGTTTCTTGTTCTTGTTTCTGGTTATTGCAGAATCATGCAGTTAGGGGTAGGAGAGCCCCACTACTCCTTCTCCCATGGATAAACCTTTTTCCTTCAACTCCTGGGCCTGGCCTCCCATATTTGAGAAGACCTTCAGGCTGTTGACCTCTGACCCCTGGGAATCACAGCCATGCCCGTGGGCTTCCCTGCAGCAGGTGCCACGATGTCCCCTGGGTGTGTGCCTCCATCTTGGCTTCCCCTGACCCTCATGGGCTCTCCTGCACTGGGCTTGAGGAACTCAAGGTGGAGACTTTGGTGAACTCACACCGACTCTGCCCAGAGCCCACTCCCTATCGCTGCCTGGCAACACCCAGGGCACCTGGGACGCTGTGGGCGAACAGGGGCCTCCCGGGGGCCCGAGGCTGCCCAGTGCTGCCCATCTCTGCTCCACCAGGTGGGAGCTGAGGTCACAGGCATCTTCTGCCAGCAGAAGGGGCCTTGTGGGAGGGGTAGGCACTCATCAGTCACCTGCCGAGTATGTTTGGCAAAACAAGTTCCTCAACAGGCGGGTGCTGCCAGTGCATTCCCACCGCAGCATTCTCGGCAATGGAAACAAACATCTCCACCTGCAGACCGACGGGCCAAGAGCTACTCCCATTAATCGCATAGCCGCGGTGGGTGAAGGGAACTCAGTTTCTAGGCCACATTCCCCACGCTAAGTGTGTGACACTCCAGTTTCCGCATGACATTATTAGCAAATTGTCCATGAAATGATGTTTCTGCTTTCAGATAAGTTTGGAAAAAGCTCCATTCTCTGCACCCCTTAAAAGACTTTTTGGATGAATATAAAGCCACTTAAGAGTTCTGAGGATTCTGCAGGTAAAATAAACCCCCCTGTTCAGCTATGTTCAACTTGGCATCTCTTAAACTCTTTGGAGGAGGAAGGGAAGAGACCCAATGACAGCAATAGAGATGTGGTTTAAGAAGTGCTGTTTTAGAGGAAGTGAGATGTTTCAGAAACTAAGAATAAAACCAAATACAGGACACACTGACATTATACTGGATATGCAATCTTTCTAAGACAACTGAAAAGTCTTGTCTCTCACACTGATCTCTGCCTAGAGATGGAAGTAAGGGTCAGTTACAAGAGTTTTGGGCCTCAGCAGAGGGAATGGTTCTTGGAAACGAACGTCCAGCTCTTCAGCAGTTACCAAACTGAATTCAGTTAAAAACCAATGGAGGCCAGACACAGTGGCTCACGCCTGTAATCACTCTGGGAGGCCGAGGCGGGCAGATCACCTGAGGCGAGGAGTTTGAGACCAGTCTGGCCAACATGGTGAAATCCCGTCTCTCCTAAAAATACAAAAATTAGCCAGACATGATGGCCCACACCTGTAATCCCAGCTACTCAGGAGGCTGAGGCAGGAGAATCACTTGAACCCGGGAGGTGAAGGTTGCAGTGAGCCGAAATCGTGCCACTTGCACTCCAGCCTGGGCGACAGAGCCAGACTCCATCTCAAAAAAAAAAAAAAAAAAAAAAAAAAAGAAAGAAAGAAAAAGAAAAAAAATAAAAGAAAGAAAAGAAGAAAAATCAGTGGAAACACTGCTAGTAAAGGAAAGAAAGCAGTGGTGTCCAAAAGCCTGCCTGGCCCACTGCCCTGGGAAGCCCCCCAAGAGATGCACCCCACACAGGTCTCCACCCCACAAAGCCCTGGCTCCTCCCCACCCCTGATCATCTCTGCTCTACCCAAGTCATCTCATGTCCCACCAGAGGGATGCATATCACTCTCGGACACCATAGCTGCATTTCATGGGGCATCGTCTCTCCCCCAGGGACACGGGAAGCCCTGAGGATGCATTAGGGAAGCTTTTCCTACCTCATCTCGCAGCTCTAAGAACAGCAGTGAGCAGTACTGGGAACAATGGTAACCAGAGGTATTTGCTGAAGGCGTCAGGGGAGAAAGAGCCCTCACATCTACCCATCTGACTCTGCCACTGATTCAACAGACAGATTTCCTAAATCTACATCACTGATTAATATCTTTTAAATTGAGAAAATAAAGCTTTAGCTCATCTATTTGCAAATGCAGTGAGGTTCCAGTGGGCTGACATGAGAGTTCGCTGCACACTGGGCTGCAGTTGGTCAGCCAACTCTCTAAAACATCTTAATCTCCGTTCTTGGCCACCCATTCTACTGGGAGTTTCTGACAAATGGGAGTCTAGCCCTAGCCCCAGACCCACACCTACCCACTTATGCCTTAAGCCTTCCAACCATATTATCGATCAACCTTATCGCCAACCAACCATGCCATCAACCAACCCATTATCAATCAACCCACCATCAACCAACCCATCATCAATCAACCTTACCATTAACCAAGCCTACCATCAACCAACCTTACGTTCAAACAATGCATCATCAGCTAATCTGACTATAAACCAACTCCACCATCAACCAACCTTAACATCAACCAACCCATCATCAACCAACTCCACCATCAACTGACCTTACCAACAACCAACCCATCATCAACCAACTTCACCATCAACCAACCTGAACATCAACCAAACCGACCATGAACCAACCTTGCCATCAACCAACCCATCATCAACCAATCTACCAGCCAATTCCACCATCAGCCAAACCCACCATCAACCAACCTTACCTTCAAGTAATCCACTATCAACCAACTCTACCATCAACTGACGCATCATCAACCAAACTCATCATAAACTCACCTTCAACCAACCCACTACCAACTAACCTAACCATTAACCAACCCATTAACCAAATGCATCATAAACCAACCTATCAATCAACCTGATTATCAATCAAACCCATCATCAACCAACCCATCATCAACCAACTTTATCTTCAGCCAATCCTACCCTCAACCAACCTACTGTCAACCAACCCTATCTTCAACCAAACTTACCACCAGCAAACCTCACCATCAACCAACCCCACCATGAACCAACCCCACCATCAATCAAGTCTCTTTATCATGTACTTTTATCAAACCCACCCAAAGCCAGCATCATGCCAGGCACAATGGGGAGTACTAAAAAGAAAGACATATGGCTCTTCCCTTGAACTGAGCTAATAGCCTGACCAGGCAGCCTTGAAATGATTGTAAGAAACATAAGGCCAGACATATTGGAGGGTCACATGGTACATGGTGCTTGAGTTATAAGGTGAGCCCATAGGTAAAAATGATAGATGATCAAAATGACCTTTGAAAACTCCTGAGATCTCCCATAAACTGGAGTCTCCATGGCTTCTGCATGTAACGTTATACATTCTTCTTCCACACAATGGTCTGAATAATGAGGCCGACTTCAGGAGGGATCAAGAAGAAATGGCATGCACACGTCAGGGTCTGCAAACCTCACTGCTTCAACACAGCTTTCAAGTCCACAGAGTGGACTGAGGCAGAAGGTGACAATCTAGGTGATCCTGATAGTGGCTCACTGCCTTCTCTTTACTACAGGGACTTTCTAGTTGTAACACACATTCAGCCATGGATTTGTCATTGTATTACTTAACCCTGCAACCTGTGTTAAATGTTGACTCCACCACGACCTGCACACAGCCTTAGGAAACTGGAAGGGAGGGAGGGTGATCTGAAGGAGGGGGAGAGAAATACTGAGTGGGCGTTAGGAGGGAGAGGGCTTCACACAGGCCTCAATGCTTGGGCAGGAACCTGACAGACAGGACAGGAGACAGCCTTCTAGACCAGAGTGATGTGAGCTCTGACGGTAAGTTCCATGAAGACAGGTCGACTGTCTTGTTTAATTCTGAATCCCCGGGGCCCGACAGAGGATCTGGCAAACTCTAGGCATCATGGAGAATCACAGAAGAGTGGTTGGAAATGACAGAAACGAGGCACCTGCTGCTTGAAGGCATCGACTCCTCAGAGCAAGCCTGTGAGTGGACAGCATGGTTTCCCTTTACAGATGAGGACACTGAGGCAGCCGCAGTAAATGACTGCCCACCACCATGCAGCTGGCGAGAGGCAGGGCTGGGGCTGACCCGTGATGGCCCCTGCTACAGCAGCAAGCATGTATTCAGCACCTACTGTGCACCATGCACGGAAGTCTCATTGCAGTGGGGAAGCGGGTGATGAACAAAGACGTGGATGTGTAAACGTGAATAAATACCTAAGGCTGCCAGTGTCGTGTTGATGAGGCTGTGATGGAAACACACAGGGGCGGTGGCGGAGGTGACTGCAGAGGGAAGAGGGATGGTGGCCCTCACACGGCCATGATCTGAGAAAGGCCCTGACCCAGGCCCTTCCCTCTCCCTTGGAGCACCCACCTCCGAGTCCTGCTGGCTTCTCACCACTGGCCATCTGTCCCAATCCTCTTTCTGATGGATTTCTAGAGCCTCTGCCTTGATCTCTTCAGCCTCCTGGGCTTCCCTGGTCTCCCCACAGCACCAGCCCCATCCTCTACCATGTCCCTCCTGGCTTGGGTTCCGCTGTACACTGGAGCCTCGTCCCTCATGGCTCACCCCCTCCATAGCGCCTGAGTCTCAGACTCAAACCCCCATTCCCCCACCATGGCTTCTGAGGCCCCGCATGCTCCAGCCCCAGCCCGTGCCTCTGACCTGCCTCCATCCACCCTCTCCCTTCATCATGGGAAAGCAAGACCCTCCCCGCTCGGGATTGGACTTGGGGAGCTGGTTATGAAGGTGAGGGAAGCCCTGAAAAAGCAGAGAAGGCAGTGAGGCAGCCCAGACAGCAGCCACTGCGGGAGAAGGAAGTGAGGCCCAGACAGCGGCCACCGCGGGAGGACAGTGGGAGAGGGGACAGCAGCAGAGCCAGGCCGGGCCACCAGCAGAAACTGGAACCAGACCAGCCTGCCCAGGTGAGGCTGGCGCGGGGGTGCAGGGGAGGGTCTGCATGCAGGCGCTGGAGCCACAGGGGGACGCCCATGCCAGCAGGAGCCCAGGCAGGAGGCTGGCCCCTTCGCCCACCCCAGCAGCACCATCTCTCCTTGGTTGGACTTGGCAGGAAGCCAAGCGTAGGGCAGAGAGCAGGGTGAGCAGAGGATGGGCTCCCGGGCACAAGAGCAGGAACTCCGGGCTAGGTCCACACTCCACCCCCACACCAGCCCTTGAACCAACCATCTGCTCCCCAACCTTTGACGCCCACCCTGTCCCGGCCAGGCTGGCTCCTGCCTGTCTCTGGTCTCTCCGCGGCTGGCATCCAGGCTCTCACGGGGCCTGTCTCCCCTCAGGGCAGCCCTCAGCCCCTGGCTGGGCTGCACTCCTGCCCTTGGCTCCTGGACAGCACGAGTGACCAGGCCCTGGCGGATCTGTGACTCCAGGCATCCCTGGTTTGGCGGCCATCCCTGGCCGTAGGCAGCCGTAGCATGTGCCAGCAGCATGCAGCCAGCCTCCCCCGGGCTGGGTCCAGTTGCTGGCACATTTCACGTCCACTGATGGAAATGAACCGACAGCCCGGGGACAGGTAGAAATGAGCTGCTTGGCCACTTGAGGGGTGCTGCAGGACGGGAGAGGACTGGCCACAGGCAGGAGATCTTCCCCGAGGACCCAGCTGGGCTGCTGTGTGTTTGAACAGATGCTGGGACTGGCCTGCCTCGGGTCACAGTGACCTTGTTGAAAGTGTCAGCTGGGGGGACCATCACCCTCTTGTTTTCCAGACCAGGAACCCTGGGGGCTCCTGCTGTCTCCCCTGGCCGCACAGCTTGTGCATCAGTCTGGGGCCATCTGGGAAAACAGAAACCACTCCAGCCTTTCAAAGAGTGGAACATTTGACTCAGGGAATTGCTAACCCTCGGGAGGGGAGAGAAAGGGGGACCTCATAGGGGTAGTGAGGTGGCCCAGGAATGAGCCTCGCCACAAATCCCCCCGTGGAAGCCAGATCCATAGACTGTCCAGCAGGGCTGCAGCCACAGCAGAGGCGTGGCCACTGCCCAAAAAGCCACGTGTAGGGGCGAGAGAAGAGCTGCTGGGCCTCCTCCCCTCCCATCACCTGCCCCAAGTGACAGACCTGCAACTCAGCACAGTGGTCGGCCGTGGGAGGCAGAGCCGGGCAGCAGGAGGCAGGTGGATCTCAGAGCAGAACCCAGGACTCAACATGACTGGGAACTCAGGGCTGAGTCCCCACTGTGCCCCAGACGATGGCTGCTTTAAACAGTTGTGGCGATGTAAACCTGGACTGGCAGTGCCCCACGGGAACCCATCCTCACAGATGGAGGCGGGATATAAAACTGGACCGGCAGTGCCCCACGGGAACCCATCCTCACAGATGGAGGCGGGATGTAAACCTGGACCAGCAGTGCCCCACGGGAACCCATCCTCACAGATGGAGGCGGGATGTGTGCATAGGATGCTGGTTATTTGCTGCGGCCAAAGACCACCATGACTTCAGTGTCCACCCGCGGGAGAGCTATGCAGTGGTTAACACGGGAGATGTGGCTCTGTGTACCCTGAGAAGGAGCAACCTCCAAGATACGTGCATACATTTTTTAAAGTGTGCTATCTTGCCAGGCATGGTGGTGCACACCTCTAGTCTCAGCTGCTTGGGAGGCTGAGGTAGGAGGATCTCTGGAGCCCAGGAGGTCAAGGCTGCAGTGAGCCAAGGTGGCGCCACTGACTCCAGCCTGGACCACAGCGTGCAACCTTGTCTCTAACACAAATAAATTGTAAATAAAAATAAAGGGTGCAGTCTTTATGCTTCACTACCCTTTGTTTAAAGGAAGGTTTGCATCCATTGAGGTACAGAAAATTTTAAAAACAAACAAAAAAAGAACAAAGAGCAAAGCGGGGCCCCAGGCTCAGCAACTGCGTCTGGAATGACAGAAAAGCAAGCGCGTGTCTAGGCCGCTGCTCTGGGCAGGGCCGGGAGGCAGGAATGGTGGCCGTGACCCTAAGCCGCTGCTCTGGGCAGGGCTGGGAGGCGGGAACGGTGGCCGTGACCGTCAGTTTCCACACTCTGCCTTCTGTGTTCTTGCATTTTCCCACATGCGTGTATCATCTTTACAAACAATTCAACCTACAGAACCCCTCTGTCTCCTGACACCCCAGCTTCCTGTATGTCCCAAAAAGAACCCTCGAGCTCCTGTCCCACTCCTAACACGGGGGCTGGCGGCTTCTCAAAGACGGCCCACATCCCCACTCTAATTCCCAAGATTCAACACACTCATGACAAAAAATACGTGTTGACCAGAAACCTGGCCTGCTTCAGACGTCAAGCCCTGACCACAGCCTTGCAGCCCACAGCTGCCCCGCAAAGCGACCCGATCCCTCGGCCGGGCTATGCGTCCATCTGCCCTGGGAACGTCCAGTCTGGCCCCTGACCATGTTCCCAGTCCTGGTCACCCGGCCCACCCTCAGCCCCACAGAGTAAGACCCCAATTCTGAGGGTAGCCCCGAAAGAAGATCCCCCAAGACAGGACCACCCCAGAGGCTGCTGCAGCTCCCTCTGCAGAGCGGCTCCAGCCCAGCACACTCCAGAGCAGACACTTCTTCAGGAGAATTAGGGAATAAATGAAGCAACATATGCTTCTCCTCTAAAAGGAGCAGCCTGGGTCTGGTTGGAGGAGGCAACGGCAATTGAATTTGTCAAGAGGGGCAGGGGTGGAACCCTCAGAACCTTGAAGCTACGTCTCCCTGCCCCCAGGACTGCAAGGTGCCCAGGCAGGGCTGGGGCTGAGCTGACAGCAAAGCTGAGTCCCGGCAGCAACTGGCTGCTGCTCCACCTCGAAGTGCAGGTTTTTACCTCTTAGGCCCATTTCCCAATGTCCCAGGTGGCCAGCAGCCTGAGAGTCGGGGGGACTGAAGGGAGAGATGGGGGTGGCAGGTGTCAGCCCTGTTCCCAGGGCTCACTCAGCTCTCCACTCAGAGAGGCACAGGCCACAGGGTACAGGGGAGGGCCCTGGGGGCTGAGAGGGGGCGTCTCGAGGGAGACTGGAGGGGCATGGGAAGGGGTGGGTAGGGCAGGAGACGGGAGGGGGTGGAAGGACGCATGCCCCTGCGCCTCCCCCGGGTGAGCTCCCAGCTCCCATCCCCAGCCCAGCTCTCAGCAGCCCAGGACAGGGCTCAGGAAAACTCATCTGTAAGGCGGGGCGGGAACAGCGTGCACCCGTGCACCTGGAGGGCTTGCTGGTGGAATGGTAAGGAGCCCATGCAGAAGGACCCAGCAGGCTTTGCCCACCACCCTCTCCTTCTGGAAGAACTGCACAGGCTGGGAAATCAGAAGGGATGGTGACAATTTTCTGGGTCTCTAAGAGGATGGTACTGAGGATGCATGCCCTCCCCACTCAGCCAGAAGACACTGGTGAACCACAGTATTGCTTGGGGAGTCGGGGGGGCGCTGCTGAACAAACCAACTTCCTTGTTACTCCTGGGCAAGGCAGGACCCTCTTCTGCCTCCAGGATTAGAGGGGTCCAGGGATGGGTGGAGGGGCCTCTCCTTGGAGCCCCTCCAGCCTCCACAGTTACCCCCACCCCCATCAACAGGGCAATAGACCGTCCTGCCCCGGTGCCCACAGCCACAGGACTGAACCTTCCTTATGAAGAGTGAATGGAAGGAGACTTGTGGCCATGAACGGGTCAATGCTGGGATGGCTGCAGTCCCAGGTGCAGTAGCCAGGCCTGCTCCACCCCACCCCACTCCCACTCCACTCTCAGGGGTCCTCAGGGCCAGGACATCCCTAGGGACCTCATACTCATGGCTCACTGTGACTTCACTCTGTCAGGCAGTGTTTGGGGCTGGGTGCTGAGGCTGGGTACTGAGGCTGTGTACTGAGACTGGGTGCTCAGGGCTGGGTACCGAGGCTGGGTGCTCAGGGCTGGGTGCTGAGACTGGGTGCTCAGGGCTGGGTGCCGAGGCTGGGTGCTGAGGCTGGGGACTGAGGCTGGGTGCTGACGCTGGGTGCTGAGGCTGGGTGCTCAGGGCTGGGTGCTGAGGCTGGGTGCTCAGGGCTGGGTGCTGAGGCTGGGTGCTGCTGAGGCTGGGTGCTTGGGCCTGAGCTGTGCTTACTTCTGCCTCCTCATCACCACCACAGCTCCACAAGGAAAGGGTCCCACCCATGTCACAGCGGGGAAACTGAGGCTCAGAGCAGGCACCTGCCCAAGGCCACCTGGCACATCACTGGGAGGGACCTGTGTGTCCAGCTGGCTGGGAGGCAGAGGGGCCACTACTAACCCCAGCTGCATGCAGGAGGTGTTATTGGGAGGTGGTCTGGCTAACATTCACACAGAGACCCCGTGGAGGGAGCCTGTTTCTGACTTGAGCTGTACATGCTGCGGCTGCCGGCACTGCAGTTGGCACAGTCCCGCCTGTGACACACCCTCGGGACCGCAAATACAGCTCAGAGTGGTTCTCACAGCTCCCAGCAACACCGTGTAATTCAGGCCCCTGCCACTGCCCGCCCTGTGCCCTTCCCTGGAGCCAGGGCCCATCTGAGAGGCTCAAGGCTGCACCTGGCTGGGTAACCGCGGGGCACGGGGCCTAGAACCATGGGTCTGGGCGGAGGCTGCACTGCCGTTCCTGCCTCAGGAAGGCGTGGTGTGCCCCCACGGTGCCCTTCCTTTCCCACCCATAGCTAGATTTAGAAATGCCCAGAAAAGCCTGCAGTTGGTTTCAGGACACGGACTCCTCTGACTCAGAAACTACAACCTCAAATGCCTCCTGAGAGGCAGGGCATCAGCTCAGGAGGCCAGTGGGGGCCTGCAGACATAACCACCAGGTGGGACTGTGCTGCCAAAACAAGCATCCTCCCTCCCACAGTTCTAACCCAAGTCCTTCTCAGTGCATATGTCACTTTCCCACCAAGACAAGAGCAGGAAGCATTTCACTGTCTCCTAAAAGCAGAAGAGCGATGCGAACGTGATGAGGAGGGGCAGCTGCTTGTGGTACGGGGAGGCCATGGGGACCGGGGGGCCCTGGGGACCTCGCCCTGAGTGCAGGGGTGGTAGCCACTCGCCTCCAGCATCGTTTCCAGCCAGAGGGGGAAGCCCAGCGTGGCCACATCTTCCTCTTCTTGTTTTATTTAAAAAAAAAAAAAAAGAAATCCCAAATTTTAGATAAAATGTCTGTGTTTTGGAATACTGACAACCAATTTTTAAAAATTTAAGCCTCTGTGGGCTAGGAGAAGCCCAGTCACTGGCCAGAGTCAGCCTTCAGACCACGGTTCATGACCGTCCTATTGAAATGCTTTTTCCCTGTGACCACCAGGCCCCAGGAGCGGGTGCTCGGGGACTGGCATTCCCAGGTGCTCCTGTACTGGCACAGGGCTCCTGCACCCCCCAGGTCAGAGCCACCCCAAGGCAGGTGCCCATGCCTGGGACGCTTCCCATGCCTGAAGCCTGGGAAGTGGCCGCCTGGGAGGAAGTGGCCACCTGCAGGAAGAAAGAGCGCACCGTGGCGGGCCCTGGGACTCCTCCCAACCTCCCACACGCTCCTCGACCACTGCCCTTCCCACTGGGTGCAGCCTTGGCAGGACTGTCTATCAATATCGGGGGCTCTCCCACCTTAGACAACCAGACCACCTCCCTGGCCTGCACACCCTGAGCGGGGAACACAAGCGCCAGGAGTAGGTGCAGCTGAATTTTCCCTAAGGCCAGGCCCAAATGCCTTCCACGGCACCAGTCCCCATGCCCAGCACCTTCATTGGGTGTGTGGCTTCAGCAAGAAACGCTGAGTAGTGCACGCCTGAGCCCTCCTCTCGGTCCCTGGCTGAGCCAGCCCACACCTGCATCCACCCCTGTGTTAACCTCAGGTCCTCACTCCCTCGCACCCTGCCAGCCAGTCCTTAGGGAGGACAGAAAGTTGAGCTCCCACCTACCTGCGGCAGTACAGACCAGTTGTGCCAGCATGACTGGGATCCACCGACTAAACCAGCACGCATGTGGCATTCTGGCCTCCAAGGAGAACACATCTCTTTCCCTAAGTTCCTCTCCTCTTGTGGAACAGACTCACTCCTCCATACCCTCATTCATACAGCAAACACAGGCATGGGCGTGTCTCAGCACCCGGACATCAGGAAGGCGCAGTGAACATGAAACACCACCCCTGGGTAGCAGGCCTCAGAAACACCTCTGCCAGCAGGCTGACTTTACTCATTTGATCATATCACACAATTCCACACAAATACACACCTGGGTCAGAGCCCACAGGCTGGTGTTTACAGTCCTTTCTCTCCCCAGCTCCTGCCACTGCCTCACCTCTGTGGCCCCCTCCTCGCCCCGGCCCACTAACAACCTTGAATGCACTGCCCGTGCCTTTCTGATAATCACATACCAAGATACAAATGTTGCATATTTAAACACATATACAGAAACACACCCACGCATAGGGGATTTTGGCGTGGCTTTACAAAAATGGGATATGTATCACTCTAGTCTACGTCTTGTCCTTTTCACACAATGTTACCTTGGAAATCCCTGCAAACGCACTGGCATGGTGACAACCCCATTCTTTCACAGTTACACCGCGTTTCGTGACTTCATCATTCCTCTTTTAGTATAGAGATGAATAATCTCCCTTAGCGTGGATGTATTAGAATTTACACAATCATTAGTGTTATGTTTATTCATGCTTCTGTTATTTCTACTATAAATAATGTCAATATTCTGATTTTATACTTTTTTATGTCATCTTACTTGCTGATTCTTTTAATTCTCTGACATAGATTCTCATGGGTGTACTGAGAAGTTACAGGGTCTGTTCTGGATGAATTCTCTATCTGTTCCAATGGCCTACTTTTCTAGGATAATTTTATCCAATTAAAAGAAAAACTTGCCTTCTCTGGGTTCTTACTGGATCTGGGGTTGCTAATTTCAAAGGGGCAGAAATCAGGCCTGGGGAGTGGAGCAGTTGGGGTGGTGAAGGGTGGGTCTGGATGCAGATCTACTGGACAGCCCAGGGGTTCGTTCCCCTGCTTGAACTGCACTCAGCAGGAGAAGTTAGAAGCACCCAGAGATGACGCCATGTTTCTGTGACTCACATGTAAAGCAAAGCTACCCATTCTTGACCCTGGCTGGAGGAGCAATAAATTGGTACACGGTTCCCAGAGTGCAATGCGGCAATGTCTTTCAAAATCAAAATGCCTGTGCCCTTTGCCCACAGATTCACCTGCCAGGAATTTATTCTAAAGAAGCATGTGCAGGGTCATGCACTCCGGAACCACTGGAAGTCGCCAGATGCTGGAAGCCATCGCAGTGTCCATCAGCAGATGCCTTGACATGGCTCCTCAGGGCCTGGGCCCTAATCACCATGTTGACAGCAGCATGCAAAGACAGAGTGTCGTTTTGGGGTCTCCCTCCCCTGGACAGCAGCCCTGGAGCCCACCCCAGCTAGGTCCAGTTCACTCAGGTGAACTCTGTTGTCTGATAGGCTTTCCACAAAAAGGACACTGCCCACTTAGGAGGAAGAGGGCTTCCCGAAACAACCGCCAAGGAGGAGGCTGGATATGGAGAAAAGCCAGGGGAAAACCTCGGAGAGAGAAGGGACACGATGAGGATGTGAGCTCCTGAGCAGAAAGCCTGCACCAGGAACCCAAAGACCAGCAGTGCGAGCCCAGGGCCCCGTGGAAGACATGACTCCAGGTCACAGAAATAAGGTCACTGGTGCTATTTTTATTAATTCTCTGAGTATGCTGCAAATTTGGTTTCTACTTATGATATCAGCCTTAACTTTTTTTAATGTTGATGAGAATGTTCATTTTTAGCACAGATAATTTTAAACCATTTTCAAATCAACCTTTTCTGGCAATGAATAGATGCGATTTGCTCCCACGAAGACACCCACAGACTGTCAAAATCCAGTGTCACTGAGAGGGAACGGTGACGGATCGAGACCGTAAGTCGTCTCTGTCCCAGGTTTTTTACTCGCTGGACTGGGCCCTTCCCTTCCTTCCTCTACCACAAACACACAACACACAAAAACACAGTTTTCAGCTGAAAGTGTAACTCCCCCTCTCTCTGGCCATGCCAAGAAGGAAGTCACACTGGGCTTTAGTTCTCAGCCTATAGAGGATCCAGAGGAGGAGGCTCTGCTCCCAGGCAGCTGATGCTCCAGAGCATGGGCACAACCCCAACATTCGGGATTTGGCTCAAGGCTGGGCTCTGCCCCCTGATGTGACCTCAGGGAATCACCTATGACTCTTGTCTGTGATGGCCACATGACAGCACCTCACTCGTGTGGTGTGGACTGAAGGAGAGGGCAGGCCTGAATGCAAGCCCCAATGAGGCAGGGAGCATCCACAGGCAGGGAGCCCCCATAGGCAGGGAGCACCTTCCAGGCAAGGAGCACTCACTGGCCGGGAGCACCCATCAGGTAGGGAGCACTCACTGGCCAGGAGCACTACCAGGAAGTGAGCACCCACTGGCAGGGAGCACTTGCAGGCAGGGGGTATCCAACAGTTAAGAGCATCTACAGGCAGGGAGCATCTGAAATGGTGCCTGTTACTGTCTTCCCCTTACTCCCAGGTGGTCGGCTGTGTGAAGGCCACAATCACCAGCCAGCATTCAATAAATGGCTCCCGGCAGCCAGTGGGGCCGGTGCCCACTCTGCAGAGCTGTGCATGAAGGAAGACGTTCCCCGTTCCCTGAAGGCAATGCCTGTGTCCAGAAGCCCCGCCCACTGGCCCTTGGTTCGGGCTCCTTTTTAACCCATGGTCTATTTCTTTTGTCTCTGAATCTTCCAGGTTCTCTCTTCACTCACTTCCAGGCTGAGGACCTGTCTCTCCAGTTCCCCCCTCAGCTCCTGCGACAAGGGAAGTTCTTCACATGCCAACGAGCACACATGTGGGGCCGGACTATCCATCCTCAGATTTGGTAACAGTTGCTGCAGCCGGGTCCCATGACACGAACAGAAATGCGAGCTGATGTTTGCAGACTGGGCGCCTGTGCCTGGGGCTGCTCAGAGGGTGGTCTGGGACCGGTGGGGCCTCACTCCACCCGGGCCTTGTCGGAAATGAGGATGCCAGGCCCCACCCCAGACCCCCTGAATGTGGGGTCTGCATCTTCACAAGACCCCAGGCGTCTGGTCAGCACACAGATGACCTCTCACATATGGCTCAGAAGTAATAACTGACGACACCTCTAACAGTCAGAAGATTTCGTGGGAGAAACAGATCGCCAGCTTTCTTAGTCGAAGATGGGGCAACCCTGGTCATCTGCAGTGGGACTCGTGCCCCTCCACCCCCGCCACACCAGCGGGCTGCCGCTTCTCGAGTCACCGCAGCAGCCTCCGCCACCTCTCCTGCTCCCCGCCTCCTGCCCCTCACGACCCCTGGGCCTGGAGCCCCTGCCTCCGCCCTGGCGTTTCCCCGAGGACCACCCCTGGCTGCTCCCTCCTTGCCCTCCGTCCCCACCCTGTCCTCTGCCCGGACTGTCCTTGCTCAGGGCCGGGAGGCTCCATCCTCTCCACCCTGAGATGTAAAATCCACCGCCACCTTCTCAGGCAGGCCCTCCTGGGCTTCCGTCTTTCAAACAGCTCCGGCATCACCAGGACTGCGTTTTAGAGCCTAATTATCCACAAGTCATCCGACATGATCTCCCGCGTGGCCCTTACGGGGCAGGACGTGGCGTGCACTGACTTGCTGTGTCTCTGTGCGTGCCACAGCATCCTCACTGCCAGGTCCCCATGGCCCGGGTGCTACCTAAACAGCCCAGGCTCTACCGGTAATTCAATAACACGCTGTTGAACGACGGGCGACCACCAGCAAGCGCCCCCCTCTCTCTGGGGCTCAGTTTCTCTGCTGGTAAGACGAGCAGCCTTGGCCACAGCACCGTGCAGTCCGCCCATCTCCAGGAACGAACAGGTGCTCTCCATGGGGGCAGCTCTGCGCCTTCTCCCCTGGGCTGCTCCCTACGACACCACGAGGGAAGCCCAAAGGGAGCCCTGTGGGCCGGGCCCTGGCGGGAGGGGAGAGGAGAAACGGAGCCCGTGGGAGGAGAGAGAAGGCGTCACGGCCGTCCGCAGAGGACGGTGCTCCTCAAACTGAGGCCTGGTCCATGGCAAGAAATTTAAACCCAGGAACTGTTTCTACGTTCACCGCCCTCTGGTGTGGTTTCATTTACTCTGTTTAATTTTCTTTAAATTGCCGCCAATGATCCAGGTCATGGCCCTCCCCAGCCGCGAAGGGCCCACCTCCACATGGAGGCTGTGGGGTCTGCAGGCCAGGAGAAGAGGGGCCACTGGGAAGGCATGGGGGGGGCGTGGGGACTGGGAAGGGGCAGTCGCTGGCGGGGCAGCTGCTCTAGGGGAAACACTCCTTAAGGAACATCCCCTCGGGATTATCTGGCGGGTCACAGCTGCCTGCACAATATTTACCACTGAAGGGTGCGGGCAACGGGTGGGCTTGGGTCCCACCAGCCTCACAACAGAGCCGCCCCTTCGGAACCTCTAAAACCCCACGGCCCTGAGCCGGAAAGCCCCGGCACGCAAGGGCTTGGCAGTTCCACTTGCTTCGTGGCCGGCCCTTCTTGGGGGACCCTGCGGCATGGAAGCTACTGAGGAGGCTGCCGGTCCCCTGTCACCTGACATTTCATCTCACGCAGCGCCAAGGGCTCCTGGGTCCAGGCTCCAAAGCACGTAGGTCTAGGATGCTGGGTGTGTGTCTGTGCACGAGGGACCCGAGGGTGAATGGTGCCCCCTCCTATCCACTTAAGATATGTCTCAGAGCCTGGGCCACAAAGTGAGGCCCCATCTCTACAGAAAATTAATACATGCACATAAAAAAGCTGGTGCAGTGGCTCACACCTGTAATCCCAGCACTTTGTAGGCTAAGGTGGGAGGATTGCTTGAAGCCAGGAGTTCAAGACCAGCCTGAGGAACATGGTGAGAACCCATTGCTACGAAAAAATTTAAAATTAGCCAGGCGTTGTGGCATGTGCCTGTAGTCCCAGCTACTTGGGAGGCTGAGGTGGGAGGATAGCCTGAGCCCAGGAGTTCAAGGCTGTAGTGAGCCATGATCAAACCACTGCACTCCAGCCTGGGCAACAGGGTGAGACCCTGTCTCTAAAAATTAATTTATTTAATTTAATAAAAATAAAATATGGCTTGGACATCTCTCTGCAGTCTCCATAAGTAATTCACAGTGTGACATCAAGCATGCATTTTGTGAAAAGAAAGGGCCTTCTCTTTGGAAACAGGAATAGCTGTTTCCCTCTGGCGTCTTCTGCAGAGTGAGGCTCATACGCGCTCACGTGAGCAGCTGCCCGTCGGCCAGTGAGGCCGGGATCACACTGGCTGCAGGTGCCACGTGCGTCTTTCGCCCTGTGAGGGGCTGCAGCTCAGGAGCATCTGCCATTTTATTTTCCATGGAATTTAAAGATGAGGTTATCTCCATCTGCCCCAGCAGCATTACAAGTCACTTCCAAAAACCAGGGCCCTGTCTCCATTGATCTGAGAGTTAACTGTGGTCCATCAGGCCTCTGCACACAGAACCCCGTGGCTTAGGTTTGCTGGTGGTTTCTGTTAGGGAGCGAGGGGCGCCTGGGCTGAGCGCTGGATCCGTGACTGTGTCGCAGTGGACTCGTGTCCTTCCCACAGCACCCCTGGGAGGCTGCATTCCTGGGCCCTCTTTCTGGAATAGGAAAAGTCTCCCAGGATGGGAGAAGGCGAAGCTAGGATTCTGCCTCCGTTACACCTTGAAGAGTTCTGTCTCCTGGTCAACAGGACAGTGGAAGCCCAACCCATTCAACACCCCCAAAACCCACACAAAACCACGCAGGACACGCGGGGCAGCATCACCCTCTGGCCCAGTGCAGACACTGCGGACGCTGGTGGATTCAGGTAGATTCTGCCTGTCCACAGCCTTGATAAATGTGACCACAGAGGCAGGCAGTGACCCAGGCAGGGACGGGTGTTCAAGCCCTGGTGACAAAGTGCCTGCTGGGAACCACCTGAGCTTGGTGCCCCCTCCCGGGAGCTGCTGTGATCAGAGACATCCTGACTCCTCCCAAAGCCACCCTGAAGAGCCCTAGACTGGGGACGAGCCTCCAGAAGTCAGTGGCCACGATGAGCACATGAGGCTCTAAAAGACCAGGGCTCCGCACGGAAGATGAGTCTCGTGACAAATCTGTCCGGGAGACGCTGGAGGCGTCACTGCTTCCCTGCCTGACTTACCCTCCAGCCTGGCCCTCTCTCAGGCCCCAAAATGCCCAACACCAGCCACAGGTTACAGCCCAGCATCCAACAGATCGCCGTTTCCCAACACATCTGCCAAACCCAGCCTGGCTCGGAGCAGCCACATCTATGCTGTCCAAACCAGCCCTTCTGTGAGCGCAACCGACAGACGTGAGTGTGGGTGTGCAGTGTGCAGTGTCAGCAGCAACACCTCCTTCCACTCCTGGTTTCCACCTACATGAGCGTCTACGTGCCCCACCCCAAACCCAGGGTAGCTCAGACCAAGCTGCTCCCAGGCACAGCTCTCCAAAGGCTTCGTATGCATCTAGAATGAAACTCACGCTCCTCCCTGAGGCCTGGATGCTGGAGCCGAGCCTGCTCCTCCCTGCCTCCCGCCTCCCCAGGGCCTTGGAGCTCAGGGTGCTCCATCCACGGCCATGCCAAGCCCCTTCCTGCCCCTTGTCCTGTGCACTTGCTGTTTCCTGGCCTAGAACATTCTGCCCCCAGGCCTTCAAGACATCAGCTTCCTCTGGCCATTCAGACGCCACATCCCGGAGACACCTCTCCTCACCGCTCCGTGAAGACGCCCCGCTCCCCGCTGTCTCCTCACCACTCCGTGAACACAGCCTCGTTCCCTGAGGTCATCTTCTACTGGGCTGTTCTCTTCCACTTTCTTCCTCCACTGATTCAAAGTGACTAATTTATCTGCTGGTTTGTTTATTATCTGTCTTTCCCACTAGAACACAAACTCCTCAAGAGCAGGACTGTGTTGTTTTTCTTGTTTACAGCGGAGCCCCCAGCGCCCGGCTCCCAGCAGGCGCCCAGTGAGAATCTGCCAGAGGGACAGATGGAGGGATGAGGGGTCCCTCCTTGGATCCCCCCAGGTGCAGTCTGGGCGTTGCTGTGCGAAGCACACCACACTGGACTCGATTTACACAATCATGGGCTCCTCGGATATTTGCTGGCACCCAATACATGCAGGACCCTGGACTACAGAAGCCAAGAGAATGGATTCCGTCTGTAAACACAGGCCCCATGGAGTAATGTGCCCAGGGCCCGTGGGCACTGGCGGGCAAAGCATCCTCCCGCCCCCACCTGCAGCCTCATGGTACGTCCCCCAGGTCCCGCGACCCCTGAGGCCTGGCTCTTACCTCCAGCGGGACCACCTGCATGAGGATGGCAAAGTTGGTGAGGTGAGTGCAGCGGCAGACGGAGTAGGTGAGGTTTCCTCTCGTGAGCGCACAGCCGTGGTTCGACCAGACCCCTTCTCCGGAGCTGAGGACACAGGAGAAAGGATCAGAGGAGGTAGCACCGCACCCTTGGCAGGCAGGGGACTGAGAGCAGCACCCCCCATAACACATGGCCCCGTGAACTCATGGCGGCGCCCACACCTGCCACGCCAGGAATGCACACCCAGACCGTGGTGTGGGGGTTGGGAGGAGAGATTCTGGCCATCAGGCTGGCGAGAGCTGGAGAGTGTCTGCTGCTGGTCAGGCCACAGGAAGCAAGGCCCTCCCTCTGGGACAGGGAAGGGGGAGCTGCTTCGCACAATCACCCTGAAAAGCACCTGGACCAAGCCCAGCACAAAATGAAACGCACATGGCCCACAGCCCTGCGCCTAGAGAACGGGCAGCGGCACACGCCAGGGACCACATTCAAGCCCAGTCACTGAATCATGAGTGACGGTAACATAAATGCCCATCGGGGGAAACGGGTGAGTGCAGTGTGGGAGAGAGAAATATGATAAAAGACCTCGCATCGGTTAAAAAGAACATCCTTGACCAATGTGCACTGATAAGGATAAAATACCAAAACACAACGTACAGTGACTAACCACGACGCAAGGCCCGTGGAGCCAACAGCACCACACACTTCCCACGAACACAGCTATGACCGGCACAGAGACTACAGAGAAAACGCTCACACAGAAACTCCCCACGGTGTTACCGCCAGAGACAGGGTGGCGAGATCAGGATGAGACGTAAAGGTCTAAGGAGACCCTTGCTTTTTTATGTTTTACTTTTTACGTGAATAACGTGTGGATATATTACTTGCGTAACTTTATAAAATATAAAGCCAGACAAAAATGACTGGAAGCAAACGTGCTCTCGGTTAACTGTGGTTAAACCTGTTGGTGTGAATATTGGTGAATATCATTTTCTTCTCTACATTTCTCTATATTTTCTTTTTTGTTTGTTTGTTTGCTTTGAGACAGGGTCTCAATCTGTTTCGCAGGCTGGAGTACAGTGGTGTGATCATAGCTCACTGCAGTCTTGACCTCCTGCGCTCACGTGATCCTCCCACCTCAGCCTCCCAAGTAGCTGGGACTACAGGTGCATGCCACTGTGCCCAATTAATACTTTTCTTTTTATTTTTGTAGAGATATAGTCTTGCTATGTTGCTCTGGCTGGTCTCAAACTCCTGGGCTAAAACAACCTTCCTGCCTCAGCCTCCCAAAGTACTAGGATTATAGGCGTGAGCCACTGTACCCTGTCTTCTATATTTTCAAATTAAAAAAAAAAAAAGATTTAAATGGTTCTTCCCTGAAGTTGGAACCTCAAGTTATCAGTAAAGACAAATCCTTACTTCAGCCAAAGGCAATGGCCCTTGGGGGAAAGCATTCATAAAGGCGAATAAATTAAAAGGCTCTAGTTTGTATTTGCTTTGAATTCACTTTCAACTGCGGTGTCAGCATGGATGTGGCAGATGAGAACTGTGGCTGTCCGATGGCATGACCGATGAAGACCCCAGCTTGTACCTCTCTGGCCAATGTCTACCAGATGGAACACGCACCAGCAGCCTCGGGCAACGGTAACCCTGCGTTAGCCCTGGGCGACGTGGAGCGCGAGGGAGGGGTTGGGACGGTCTTTCCGACATGACCCAGGGGTGGCTCTGAGTTTGAGGATGGAGACTCAGACAGCAGTTCAGTGGTGATTTTCATGATTAATGATCTGCTCTTCTAGGGGAGGGAGAAGGCATTTAGCAGAGAGCAGAGGACAAAGCGAGAGCCACTCAGACGTACCAACTGAGAGGAGCAAAACCCCATTAATAACTTCAGAATTGATGGGACTTAAAGACAGGGTCATGTCCTCCTCCTCTCCCTCCCCACCCCTTTTGATCTAATTTTCCCAGGACCTTGGAGGGAGTCAGCAAAAACCAGCTGTTGTGTTATATATTGCGCCTTTGTCTGTCAATTGGCTGCATAAGTACCATACTTCAATTTGAGGGGGGGGCCTGAACATTAACAGGCATTGGATTAGGTGAACGTAGCCACGGGTATGAGCTGCCCCTTCTGCTTACACAAAGGGTAAGCTAAACAATATGAAAGTCACATCGCTCAGATGGAGCTGCAAAGGTGTGACGATGACCTAGTTAGCCAGAGGAGTAGAGCCTTCAGTGGCATCAATGAAGATCTACTTCCCAGGGACTCAGCGAAAACAAAGAGGCAGGCTTGCAGCTTGTGCATAAATAAATCTGCTATGGAAGCCAGATGAAGCAGTATCAATAGCATTAAAGATATGTACGGCCCTATGACCCAGGAAGTCTGCATCTAAACAGAAAAATGTTCAGTCATGCATACATAAAATGTAACATGCATAAATACGGTAAAAAACATGTGTGTCCACACAGGCAAAACACAGAAACAAAAGGTGGAGGAAGGATGGAAGACACATTGAATTAAGCAACACCATATATTTCCTATGATTATAAATATAAATTATATATAAATTATTGAAAAAACACATAAAAAACCCTCCCACCGTGGTTATTACTGGGGAAAGGGGTGGAGATCAGGATAAGAGGTAAAGATCAAAGGGAACACTTGCTTTTCTATAATGTTTTACTTTTGAACAAAATAATATATTGATATATTACTTGTATAATTTCTTAAAGTATCAGTCTAGAAAAAAAGTGGCCCAGAATTCTAAGCCCAATGAAAATCTTTCAAGACTAAAAGAGAATACTTTTTCAAATGGTAACTGAATCTATTGCCAGTGGACCAGAACTGCAAGAAGAGTTAAAGGAGTATGATACTAGACAAAAATCTACACAAAGAAATAGAACAGCTGGAAGTGGAATAAGTGAAGGTAAACAGGCAATTATTATTGTCTTAATTTTAATTGCTCTAGAAGATAACTCATTATCCGGGGGAAAAAATACTAGCAATGCATTGCGTTTATGGTGTCTGTACAAAGGTGAAATGTACTACAACAACAGCACACAGAACGGGCAGGAGGAAGTGTGAACCTATTGTTACAATGTCTTAGAATATATTTGGAATGATATCATAGTACTTGAAGGCAGGCATGAATGAATTAGACATATATACACTGTAAGCTTAGGTCAACCACTATCAAAAAAGTTAAAAGGATGTATACATTAGAAATCATTTATAGTAGAGATAAAATAGCATCATAAAAGATATCCAACAATCCAAATGAAGTCAGAAAAAGACAACATTTTAAAAAGATAGAAAAGTTAGAAGACATCTAGCAAAATGGTAGATTTTAATCCAGCCACACCAATGATTACATGAAATATAAATTGTCTAAACATGTCAATTAAAAACAGAAATTTTAGGACTGGATTAAAGAAAAGACACGACCCAGCTACATGCAGTCTAAAAGAAACTCACTTTAAATATAAATATATAAATAAGATAAAAGTTAAATTATGGGAAAAGATACAGCACTCAAACACTAATCAACAAAGCTAGAGTAGTTTTATCTAAATTAAACTAAGTAGACTTCAAAGTAACGCATATTTCCCAGGGTAAAGAGGGACATTATGTAATGATAAAAGGGCTAATCTTCCAAGAAGACATAACAATCCTAAACATACATGCACCTAATAACAGAACTTCAAAATTCATTAAAGAAAAATTCATAAAACTAGGCCGGGTGCAGTGGCTCACGCCTGTAATCCCAGCACTTTGGGAGGCCGAGGCGGGCGGATCACGAGGTCAGGAGATCGAGACCATCCTGGCTAACACGGTGAAACCCCGTCTCTACTAAAAATACAAAAAATTAGCCGGGCGTGGTGGCGGGCGCCTGTAGTCCCAGCTACTCGGGAGGCTGAGGCAGGAGAACGGCGTGAACCTGGGAGGCGGAGCTTGCAGTGAGCCGAGACCATGCCACTGCACTCCAGCCTGGGTTACAGAGCGAGACTCTGTCTCAAAAAACATAAAAAAAAGAATAAAACTAGAAGTAGACATAGGTAAATCCACCACTAAAATTGGAGAATTCACACTCCTCTCTCTTTAATTGACAGAACAAGTTGACAGAAAAGTAGTAGTAAGAATATAGAAGACATAATCTTAACTATCAATCGACTTGGTGTAATTGACATTTATAGAACACTCCACCAAGAATATACTTTTTTTCAAGTGCACATGGGACTTTCATCAAAGACTGAACATATATGGGGGTGTCATAAAAACTTTTAACAAATTTAAAAGAACTAAAATTATACAAAGAATATTTTCTGATCATAAAAAAACTATTTACAAATCAACAGCAGAAAGCTCTCTGGAAAATTCCCAACTATTTGGAATTAAACTACACACTTCAAAATAACACATAGGTTGAAGAGGTTGAAGAGGAAGTCACAAGGAAAATTAGAAAATATTTTAAATTTAATCAAAATAAAAACATATCAAAATGTGTGCAATGCAGCTAGATCAGTGCTCACAGAAAAAATATAGCATTAAATGTTTATATTAGAAAATAATAAAGCTTCATAGTAATAACCTAAACCTACATTTTAAGAACTTTTAAAATGAAGAGCAAATTAAACTCAAAGAAAGCTGAAGGAAGTAAATTAAAGACAAAGAGGATAAGCCAATGAAATTGACAACAGAAACACAAGAGAGAAAAATCAATGAAGCCAAAAGTTATATCTTTGGAAAAATATCAATAAAATTAATAAACCTATAGTAAGAGTGACTCAGAAAAAAGAAGACACAGATTATAGATAAAAAAGTGAAATGGGAACATCACCACAGACCCTTCAGGCATGAAAAAGGCTAACAACGGAATACCACAAAAAACTCTGTGCCTATAAATTAAACAACTTTGATGAAATTGATGAATATTTCAAAAAAACATAAACTGCTTGAACTTATTTAAAAAGAAGTAGACGACCTACATAGTCCTGCATCCATAAAAGAAACTGAATGTGTAGTTGAAAACCTGCCAACATTGAAAATGAAGGCTCAGGTGACTTCATGGTGAATTCTACTAAAATGGAAGAAATAATATCAATTCTATACAGACTATTCCAAAGTGCATCCCAAAATGTAACTTTTATAAAGGTATCATTACCTCGATATAAAAACAAAGACATTACCAAAAAAAGAAAACTGCAGACCAATATCCAACATGCACGTAGACACAAAAATTCTCAACAACTGTAGCCAATTAGATTTAGCAGTATACAAAAAGATAATACATCATGACCAAGTGTGGTTTACCCCACAAAAGCAAAGCTGGTGAAACTTCCAGCTTTAATCATAATGATCCCACTCTGAAAACTACCCAAATGTTCCTCTACTCGGGAGAAGATAAATAAACTACGGTACATCCATGTAACGGAATACCCCCTCAGCAGTGAAATGTGAAAACAAGATGTTGATATATCCAACAATACATGTGTGGTGACGCTCAACACACTATGCAAAATTAAAGAGGCTAGACTCCAAAAGGCTTCCTGCGCCATGATTCCATCTATGCACACTCTGGCAGAAGCAAAACTATATAGGAACAGAAGACAAATCGGTGCTTGCAGGAGCCGGACGTGAGAGGAAGGGATGACTGCAAACAGACACGGGGGCATCTTGGAGGGTGATGGATTGTTCTAATCCTGATTACGGTGGTTGCACAACTGTATTCATTTGTCAAAACTCACAGAACTGTACAATCATCTACAAGTGTGGATTTTTCTGAATATCAATTATATAATAATAAGTAATAATTGCACAATGGACAGGAAGGATACAGATACTATATTCATGATGGTGGCTGCCTCTAGGAATTGAGGGAAAAGAACAGAAGGAGGTGGAGGGTTCGTTAACATCATCTGTGATGTTTTAGTTGTTTCATTCTTAAAAATACAAAAATATAAACATGCTAATAACTATAAATTTGGGGCAATGGGTACCTGCATTTGTTATATTATTCTCCGTACTTTTCTATGTTCTTAAAATTCCTTCAAAAATAAGAATCAACATGCCAATTTAGTTCTTACCAAATCCCATCCCGTTTTCTAGTCATAATTTTTTTCTCCAAACAGTGCCCCGGAATTGGAATAACTATTTCTAGGAGCACATGCTTCCAAATTTTCACAATTTACAAATAAAGGAAAAAGAGCTGCAACCTGCTGAGCCTGACCAGGGCAAAATCACTGAAATTACAGAGCATCAATCCACATTGCAGAGGCATGACGCCAACGGTCATAGCCAGACGCCGACGGCCATAGCCAGAGTGAGGCATCCCGGGGGTCAAAAATGTAAGCAGTGTTTGCTGGAGGTGACAGGAGCTGGGCTGCACTTTCCTCGCTGTTCACAGAACAGAGATAAAGGGAGATTATGCCGACCTGCTGCTGCACCCCCAGCTCAGCGTCTTGCAATCTCCTGGCCCTCTGGGTGCAGGGAGCAGAGACGCTTTCTCTGACGGGGACCATACCAGCAGAGGTGGCACAGCCTGTGTGGATCCTGCCCTGAAGCAGCAGGAGGAGGGAGCTGGGGAAGTGAGTCCAGGCACAGGAAGATGCCCAGGTGTTGGGGAGCCCTGACAACATGCAGGGTGATGGGCCACTAGGCAGGGTGTGAACTGGATGTCCCAGATGTGTTCCAGCTGCCTGTGCAGTGTTTTAAACATTGGGACAGTTCATATAATAATCTAGCCATAGCCAGGCACAGTGACTCACACCTGTAGTCCCAGGACTTTGAGAGGCACTTTGAGAGGCGGAAGGATTGCTTGAGCCCAGGAGTTTCAGACTACATTGAGCTAAGATCACACCACTGCACTCCAGCCTGGGTGACAGAGTGAGACCCTGTCTCAAAAAAACAAAAACAAAAACAATATCCAGCCATGAAAACTGATGACCTGGCAACACAGGACCTGCAACCTGCATCCCACATGGAACAAGCCCCAGGGGCCACAGCTGAGCAGCAGCTGAGGATCCGGAGGCCCCACCCCTCCCTCCACTCCCCGGCCCTGCGGGGAGCTGAGTTTTCAACACCGCTGTGACTGTGGGAGCCATTCACGGTGGGCTCACGTCTAGAGGAGAATTGTGATCACAGCGATGGTGGGAGATCCCCCAGACATTGGGCAGGTGAGCCGTGGAGGCGAGCTGGGGCAGGGGCTAGGAGGGCGGGAGGAGACTGCATGTGACAGGTGTGACAAGTGGACATGGGAGATGCTGGGGAGGACGTCCCAGTCAGGGCCCAAGTGGCAGAGGCTGAGGCCTCAGAGTTTTAGGCAGGCCTGATGGTCAGCCTGCTCCAGTGGAGCCGGCAAGGTTTCAAACAGGAAAATGCCAACGTGGCTAGTCAGAAGCCACTCCCCCAACCCCCTTCCTCAGCTGCTCCAAGACCCTCGAGGGGGACAGCCAGGGCTGTAGGGCCTGCTCCAACGGACAGCATCCTCCAGCTCCCCCGAGCATCTGCTGCACTGGCTTGAAAGTTGCCCTGGGCATTCAGAGGCTTTGTCCAGACACATCGTGCAACAGCAGGCCCCTCCTCGCATGGTCTGGAGGGGAGGCCTCCACCCAGCACTGCCACCAGGCCCTGCCCACATCTCCAGCATTTCCAGCATTTTCGCATAACGCAACCATGTCAGCTGCAGAAATGGGTGACCCAGATCCTCCCCTGGGCTGGCATGGGGCGGGCCTGGGCTTGGACACCTCATGCCCACCTGCTCTCCCCTGTGCAGAGGGTACCTGAAGTCCAGGAAGGCGCAGTACACGAAGACTCGGTTGCTGCTGTTGGTGGCCTCACTGTGCTGCTTACGTGTCTGAAATGAAAGAAAGCAAACACGATGCATGACGCTGCTGAAGAGGCCCCTGGTTCTCAGCACTGATGTGAGAGCGAGACCCTTACAGCTGGGCGACCTCAGGTAGGGACAGGCATAGCCACTGATGTCTATCTCCATCCATTGTGGGTGTGGTCCCACATCACCTGGCCCAGGTCATGCTGCCCTCTGCTCTGCCCTCCCCAACCCACCCAAGGGCCCTGGCAGGTGCCGGGCCCTCCCTCTAGGACACTCCTCCTCCTAGGACGTGCCTCCCCATAGGGTGCTCCCCACCAGGCAGCCACAGGCTCCCTCCCCACTCCCCACCAGGTAGCCACAGGCTCTTCCCCACTCCCTACCAGGCCTCTGCAGGAGGAGCTCCTCAGAGAGACCTTCCCTTCCCTACCTGTTCTAAACAGCACCGGCACCCTGCCCACTCTAGCTCCATTCCACTCACTGATGTTTTCATAGTCTTGATCACCATGTGGCATATTACATATCCACTGTCCACTGTGTGTGTTTGCTACCTTCCCCTCTACAATATCCACTACAGAAAGGATAGAGCTTCTGTCTCATTCACGGCTGCATCCCCAGGACCTAGAGGGCATCTGGCATACAGCAGGTGCTTACTAAATATCTGTTCAATGAATGAACAAAAGAATCAGTGAACAGGTCCATGAGACCACCTTGTTCCGGAGACTGGCGTTCTCTCCTGGGCTGCTCCTGGGTGCCAGCTCGGAGGACTCTGCAGCTATGCTCTACCCTAAATGAAAGGCACAGACACCTTCAGGAGCCATAGTTGGAGGCTCAGGAGGCCAGCGACTCCACCAGGACCCAGGGCTGCTCAGAGGTGGCATGGCTCCGGGATAAATGGTGTCTGATGGATTCCCAGTCAGTCAAGTCAAGCATCTCTTATTTGTCCGATGCCTGCTCTGTTCTGTGACCCATTCCTGAGCCATCATTGCTCCAATGAGACCCTTCCCCCATTTCAGGGTGACCAGCCCTCAGGAAGGCACTGACTTGTGCAGGACAGAGCCACGAGGGCAGCCCCCCTCATGAGCGCCATCCTGGCCTCGACCAAAAGCCCCTCCTTTCCCAGGAAGCAGCAGCTCTGGTGCCCCTGACAGGCACCTCGGACCCCACTGCAGAACCAAAGGACTCACAGGGCTATCATCGCAGCATCTGTCTGACAGCTCCTCCAGCCTCAACCCAATTATCCTAGTGCTGTCTACTACTAATGTTTTGGCAAAATGGAACGTTTACTCTTTTTGCTTTGTCCCCCACCCCTGCCGCCCCGTATCTTAGGGTTATTTTAATCCATCACAGGGTCTCTTAAAACCGCCTGGAAAAGACATCTTCTCCTCTGTCTTCCCAAAGCCACAGCCTGCTGTGAACTCTTGCACAGACAACAGAGGGCCCTGTGTCCTGCAGCCACCAGGACCACAGAGGGGCATCAGCAGGAAAACTGCAGCACCAACCTCACATAATAGAAAAGATGAACAAAAACCTGGTGGCCACAGCCTGGTTCTCGGAGGGGTGTAATGAGGCTTCCTTGGGCCCAGGCTACACCAGGGCCAAAGCCTCCAGCAGACAGCGTTATATGTAATTTTTTAACAAGGAGGCGTATTTGTGTGTTACCTGAGTAATTTAAAGGAAATTTAAAAAATAAGTCGGTGACCTGGGGAAGCCAGCAGCCAGACCCATACACATCAACACGTGGCAAGGCTTCTCAGGAGTGAGGCGACGCCTCTTCCCATCACCCCCTCACCCAGTGCCAGCCCCCGCCTCTGCCCCACGTGTGGAAGCGCAGTCCCAAGGGAGCAGAGAAGAGGCTGCTGTGGCCTCTGGAAGTCCTGACACTCTGACTTCAGATCTAAATCACTCTTCAAAGGAAATGTAGAAAACAGCCACCACCGCAACAAGCCAAGCATGTGTGTGGTCGGAGGGTGGGGAAGGCAGCTAGCTTCCTCTTGGATCTGGAGCCAAGATCACGCCCTGAAACGGGGAAACTCCCTCCCCTCCATCGTCAGAGGTTCCATCACAGCCTCCACTCCTGGGATGAGAAAAGCAAATTGACTCTTCATGTGTGTGGAGTTCCCCACTGACTGGGAACAAATGCTCTCAGCAAGTCTCCAGAAAAGGGGGCCTCCCGGGCTCCCAGGGGTGTGACGTGGGGTGGGTGTGTTTTTGATATGGGAGTGTGGTGGTGCCAGAATGTAAGTCATCTGCATACAGGCCCCATCTCATGCAGAAATGTGGGAGGTGCTCACAGCCCACGAGCCTCCCTGAGGCCTGGGTGAGGCACAGAAGCCAGTTCAGTTCGTCACCAGGTGGCTGGGGAATGGGAATGAGGCGCTCCCTCCCTGTGGAGTCTTCAACAGTGTTGGGGGACAGCCGCATTCACCTGAGCGTCCTCCTGAAACCTCAAGCCAGGGGCTGCTGAGCTCTGCTGGACAGAAGTGAAGGCCTCCTCACAGGGCCGGCTCCATGGCAAGTAACCTAATTTCCCACTAGACACACTTCACTTGGGTATGTCTAATGGGGAGTGCCTGTGAGCCCTCAGGAATATCTCCCACAGGATCTGAGATGTGCTCCAACAACCATCATGATCTTTCCAGTCAGGGAGAAGCAAACGGGATTAACCAACTGCTTGTTTATTGCCTACTGTTCATGAGCAAGGTACACCAAAGTGTCTCCTTCTAGGAGATACATGCAGAGAGAAGAAAAAAATTTGATACTCATGATAGCCTGTTAATGCCCCTTGTTTAGAAATGTGCTGGCTTTTATGTAAGTATTGCTAGGGTTTGACTGTGTCCCCCAAAAGCTCATGTGTTGGAACCTTAATTCCCAACGCAGCAGTGTTGGGAGATGGGGCCTTTAAGTGGCAACTGGGTCATGAGGGCTGAGCCCTCAGGAATGGATTAATGTCACTGTTATGGGAGTAAGTTAGTTCTTGCAGGAGTGAATTTGTTCTCATGAAATTAGGTTGATACAAAAAGCAAGCTCGACTCGCTCTTGCAGTCTCTTTCACTCACACTGGCTTTCCTTTCCCTTTTCCACCAAGAGGTGAAGCAGCACAAGGTGTTCACCAGACACGGCTGCCCGAGCTTGGACTTCACAGCCTCCAGAACTGCGAGCCAAAATAAACTTCTTTCCTTTATAAATTACCCAGTCTCAGATATTCTATTATAACAACAGAAAATGGACTAGGTGTACAGTTTTACCTGTAAATAATTTGGGGAGCTACGTGTCCAACATTGTCCCAAGCAAAAGAGAGATGGCACCATGGTCCTTAAATTTGATGGTAAGTAAAGCAATATAAGGAGCCGAAATACTGACCCCAGAGCAGTGGGTCAGGTGCAGGTGGATCTCAGTGGAACATCTGGGGCAGCCCTCTGTGCCACCCTCTTCTCCAGCCCATCTCACAACTAAACAGGGTTCAGGGCTTTGAATGCTTGAAATGTCCCACCTTTAGGGAAATCAAGGATAACAGAAGTAATGGGAGAGATACGACAAGGAAAAACCTTGAACCAGCCTCTATCTCTTGGTGCTTTCTGAGGTTTCTTGCTTTCAAAGAGTCATAAGACAGTCCAGCATGGATGAGGCAGCCACAGCCTGATAGAGGCTAAGACAGGACTTTCAGAACCTGGTTCCAGCACAGGAAGAAAAAGGTGGGAGGTGGGCAGGACCCTGAATGAGGCATTTCAGGACAGGTTGATGAGCTGGGCCACCCCAGTGCTGAGAAGGAAAGGTTAGGCCAGGTGAGACCCTGGGACAGATGGCCCAGTAGAGCAGGGGCACATGGTGGGGATTTACTACTCTGCCTTCACCCCACTAGTGCCATCTGCATGTGGGCCTGTCTGGTTAAGTCACTCTCCCCAGTGCTGGCTCCTGGGCAGAGGTGAGCAGTGCCTTGGGGCGCCAAGGATACCCACAGATGCTGCTCAGACCCTTAGGACATCCCACTCAGCCCAGGCTGCTTCAGAAACCAGAGGCATCCTTCTTCCAACATGTGATCAATCCATCTGAGGACAACAGCAGAGGCCCTGGAACATGACACCCCCAAGTCTTCCCTCTCCAGGCCTCCCAGGCCCATGAGCCTGCAGAGATCTCTTTGGCATTAAGGCAGCTTGAAGGGGTCTGTCCTTTCAATGGAATAAGTCCTGACCACAGAATGCAGGCGCCACCCCCCACACACATGGTGCTGACATGTGCACGTCCTTATTTTGAGATCATGGGGCCAGATCTCAATCCTAGAGAGCAGCCTCCCCAACCTCACAACCTACTGCTTCCCTCTTCAAAGGCAACTGAGCACAGCCAAGAAACACCAGGCAGAGGGGTAGACTTGTGCAGACAAGCACAGCCCATGGCCACCTGGGACGCACCAGGGTCAGAGAGACCCACCGATGCCCCCTACTTCAGAAGACCCCAGGAAACATGGTTTTTGCCAAAGACCAAGAAGCTTCAGTTTGCTGTCTGTTCATCGTCAAGGTGGGATGCTGGTCTGGTAAGAGACCCACCATCCAGTGTGAACTGGACTCTAAACTGTGTCCCTCCCTCCAAGGTCCCCAAGTCCCTGTCTCCTCTGCGAAACCTCAGGAGTCCCGTTTGAGAAGAAAGGGGCCCGCAGACACCTGATTCTCACGCTCGGTTTGTGCACAGGTGCCAGCCTGCAAGCCGGAGAGGCATGCAGAGAGGAAACTGCATTGCTGTTTCAAAACCCAAAGAAAAGAAAGTACTCTGAATTGCGTGGGGATCTGGAGTTAGGGCAGCTTGCCCCGAAACTGAACAGAAAGTGTTTTCACATCACCCCCTCGCCCCAGGTAGCACCCAGTCACGCGGCTCTCAGTGGAAAGCGCGGCACACGAAGCCAGGCCGGGACCCACAGCCCAGGTTCTGCATTTGGCATTTAGCAGCTGCGATGTCTCCGAGAACCCTGCAGAGACGGAGCCCACAGAGGAGGGTACAGCGTGGACCAGAAGCCACCAGAAGCCGGGCGAGGCGGCTGAGTTCAGTGCTGTCAGCCAGAGGCTGGGGAGGGAGCACCCTGGTGCCCGCATCCCTGGTGAGCCTTGAACCCGGCATCCGGGTCTCCACTCTCTCCTTCCTCGGGCCTCCTGGACACATAGGACCCGCCAGTGCGTGCACAAGTTGCCCTCTGTGGCCCAGCAGCACTGGGGTCACCTGCACTGTGGCCATGGTATGTGTGGAGAGGTTCCATCCTTGGGAAAGAGGTCCTGAGTGTCCTGGGAGCCAGGAGGAAGAATCTCCAGAGACAAACCAGAGAATTAACCACAGGGACCCCGCCCCCTTAACTCCACCCCACTCACATTACCCTTCCCACTCACATGACACCTTCCCACTCACATGGCTCCTCTTCTCCCAGTGGCCTCGCCCCACTCACTTAGCCCCACCTTCCTTGCACATGGCTCCACCTCCTTTCACTTAGCCCCACCTCCTTGTACATGGCTCCACCTCCTTTCACTTAGCCCCACCTCCTTGCACATGGCTCCACCTCCTTTCACTTAGCCCCACCTCCTTGTACATGGCTCCACCTCCTTTCGCTTAGCCCCACCTCCTTGCACATGGCTCCACCTCCTTTCGCTTAGCCCCACCCTCCTTGCACATGGCTCTACCTCCTTTCACTTAGCCCCACCTCCTTGCACATGGCTCCACCTCCTTTCACTTAGCCCCACCTCCTTGTACATGGCTCCACCTCCTTTCACTTAGCCCCACCTCCTTGCACATGGCTCCACCTCCTTTCACTTAGCCCCACCTCCTTGTACATGGCCCCACCCTCTATCAAGTGGCTCCAGCCTCTCTTACATTCCCCTGATGGTGCAGCCCACAGCCCCTTCTCAGGCCCACTCTGACCCCAGGACTCTTCTCCACCATCCTGGATGGCAGACTCACCCGACTCTCCAGGACGTCCCGTGCAGACACTCCATGACCACATGGGCAGGGCACTAGAGGCCAGCCAACCTATAAGGACACAGCCTGAAGTCACATGTACTCCACAGTCCAATCAGCTAAGGCTGTGGGTGGGGCCAGGAAGGTTCCGCCCAGGATAGTGCTGTGGGTGGAGCCTTGCAGTGATGGACACGCCCTCATCTCCGTGGCAACCAGCTTTCCTCCCACCTCTGCTCACTGCGCACCTGGCTCTCCTCTCACCTGGATGACGCAGCAGCCTCCACTCGTCTCCCGCACCGAGTCCCCGCAGAGCAGCAGGTCAACTTCTAAAGCGCGTCTCAGACCGCCTCTCCCTACAGAAGCCCCAGGGGCTCCCAGCCTCCGAGTACAACACAAACTCCTACCCACCTGCAAAGCCGGCGCCTCGTTTTCCTCCTGAGCTGCGGTCACGAGACCCTCCCACTTCAGAAAACAAAAACGCTGTCGCTGCCCTTCGTCTCTGTCTGTATAAGCGGACTCAGCACCAGGGGGTATTTGCGGGGGCTGCGGAGCTGCCTGGAGACCCCCGCCCAGCCACAGAAGGCTCTGGAAGGAGGCGGCCTCTGCTGAGGGCCTGGTTTTGCGGTCATCCCCTAGAATGCTGGAGTCTCGCCTCATACAGGTCGCGAGCCCGTGGTCACCCCACTCGGGTGTGACAGGTCCCCCAACGCTAAGCAGAGATGTGGCCCAGAAGGGCTCCAAGGACCCAAGGGGTGCCCAGGGAGGCTCTTCCCAGAGGGAGCATTTTCTCTCTGGGACAGGATGTTCATGCTCAGGACAGACCTGCACACGGACAGGCCTTTGCTTGTGGCTTCATCTCCGTGGGAATAGGAACCTCCACATCGGATCGTCGTGGATGAGTGACACTGAATTTTCTCAGGCCCATGTTATTGGAAAGCAAGGGACTTTGGCATTTCTATCGCAACAAGGCGACCTGTATTCTTTCATACATGCAATAATAATTAACACGTTTTAAATAATTTTCACTCATTAGGCTACTCAAAACGTTTTTATACAGTTGTCTCATTAGGGCTTATTTTTGGCCTGCCCTTTTTGTGCCGAATACAAAAATGATATAATAATACCATATAAGATATTTTCTAAGACCTTGGATTTTGTCTTGTTTTCATGACTTCACTCTGATACATTGTGCTCCCCTTATCCTTCCAATAAACTACCTTTCTGCTCAGGAGAACCAGAGTCAGCGTCTGTTGCTGGCATCCAGACATCTCTAACACCCCCTCACAGGCTGCTAGAAGCCTCCACTGAGATCATGTGTGTGAGCCCCTTGATGGTTCCTAATGATGGCAATAGTTAACCTTTTCCACGGACCTGCCCTGCGCCTGGTCCTGCTCTGTTTTACATGAGTGAAGTCATTCAATTGCTCAGCCCTTGCCAGCTGCGCACACTCTTGCCCCACTTTACAAATGAAGCCACGAAGCCACATGGTGGTTGGAGGACTCACGGCAAGTGACGGAGCTGGGAAGGGGCCAATTCAGGACTCAGGTCAAGACATCCTGGTTCCAGAGCCCCACCGTGACCCACCATGTTACTCAGCACAGGTGAGTTACACTGATCTTTATCTGTCTTTTCATGCCCTGGAGATGGAATTTTCCTAGAATAGCCACTGGCTCCCCCGCCTGGTACATCATGGACTCGTAGTGCATGGCCCTGCCCTCAGATGCCTGTGACGTCAGAGATGGAGGATGGGCCTGCTGGGCTCTGTCAGCTCCAGGAGCCTCAGGGTCGGGGGGACGATCCACAGGAATCCACGAGCCTCCCAGAACATGGAAGGCCATGGCCCCAGAGCATCCAAATTCCATCTAATGGCATCTTTCAGGAGTAAAGAAAGAGGCAGAACAGAAAATCCATATAGCTGCTGTGCTCGGAATGAACACGTTTACCTGCCGAAGGGCACTACTGCCTAATCTCAGTGCTGCAGTCAGTCCAGAAAAGCAATACCTATAAACGTCTATAAAAGTGTTACAGCTTTTCAATTTGGCTCCTGGGCCATGGCTACTTGAAATCTCAGCTAGAATTTAAAGGTTGTTTCTTTTTTTCTTCCCTTTGTTCTTCTTGTCATGAAGTTGGCCAAATGGTTTCCATCAAAAGATCCAATCCATTCATTATCCTTTTATTTATTTTGTTATAGCTGGCCTCTACCCAAGAAGAATTTTGGATGACTTACAGAAACAAGGGGAAAGCATTGCTAATGCCAGAGTGTCTTTAAACTTTCAGGAGAAGCAGATATGCTGTGGTTTTTCGCATGAGAATAGTCAGGGGTTCATAGAGGCCTGTATGTGGAATCATGTCAAAATCAGTGCGGAGTCAAACAGCCTCAGCCACCTGGACCCTCCTCACGTTGGAAAAGTCATCATGGTACCAAGGCCTGGAGTGGCCAAGCTCATCCCACTCCACGCCTTCCCTCCCCGCCCCTCTGTCTGGTGGGGAAGATGAACATTCTTTCATTCCTAGTAGAATATCTGAGATTCTGGTCTGTCTAATGTTGGGCCAGAGGCAGAGAAAAAAACCCAAATGCCCAGAGTTGACCATTCCAGCGCCACCCATGAGACACAAGCGTGCATCATCAAACCCAGCAACACGGGTTTCCAGAACAGAGCAGGCTGAGGTGTGCAGCCACTCAGCCCCACTCGGCCCCAGACCTCTGCCTGTCCGGGATTCCAAGTTTCCATGGGGTTCTGGAACCAGCCCCTGGTCCCCATGGTGACCGATCTGGTGGCCTCAGGAAAGTGGCTGAGGTCTTTAGAGCTTGGTGGGACTTCTCTGAAATCTCCCTCCAGAAGGATCAGGGGCACAGCGATCAGACATACAGGAGGCAGAGGGCAGCCCCTGCTCAGAAGAAGGATCAGGGGCACAGCGATCAGACATACAGGAGGCAGAGGGCAGCCCCTGCTCAGAAGAAGGATCAGGGGCACAGCGATCAGACATACAGGAGGCAGAGGGCAGCCCCTGCTCAGAAGAAGGATCAGGGGCACAGCGATCAGACATACAGGAGGCAGAGGGCAGCCCCTGCTCAGAAGAAGGATCAGGGGCACAGCGATCAGACATACAGAAGGTAGAGGGCAGCCCCTGCTCAGAAGAAGGATCAGGGGCACAGCGATCAGAAATACAGGAGGCAGAGGGCAGCCCCTGCTCAGAAGAAGGATCAGGGGCACAGCGATCAGACATATAGGAGGCAGAGGGCAGCCCCTGCTCAGAAGAAGGATCAGGGGCACAGCGATCAGACATATAGGAGGCAGAAGAAGGATCAGGGGCACAGCGATCAGACATATAGGAGGCAGAGGGCAGCCCCTGCTCAGAAGAAGGATCAGGGGCACAGCGATCAGACATATAGGAGGCAGAGGGCAGCCCCTGCTCAGAAGCCAGGTCTGGAGGAGGCCCAGAGAGGCCTGACAGAGCCAGGCACACCTCCTCCAGGGCCTGGGCTGACCCTGATGACGCCTGACCAGTATTCTTTCTCCAGTTCTTTCTCACTAACAGAAGCAGTTTTTTGCTCGGGGTGGCAACGTGCCCAGCTAGACAACTGCAAAATCTGCATCTCCGTCCTCCATTCTAGCTCCAGCTCTACCACCACCAATGCAGCTTCCCCACCTGGGCGTCCACAGGCCTCCCAAACGGAGCATGTCCAAACCTCCCTCCTGACCTCACTCCCAGCCCTGGACTGTCCCAGAGTCATGCCCTTGTCAGTTAGTGGCCACTCTGTCCTTCAACTTTTTGAGCCCCCAAATCCTTGACCCTGTCAGCAAGCCCCCCATAGCAGACCTGAAGCTAACATCCTCCACTCCTATCCTGAGCCTGGCGGCAGCCCCGTCTACCTGCTCACCCTGCCCTGTACAGGGTTTGTGAAAGCCCAAGTCCATCGCTTCGTCCCTCTGCTCAGACCCTCCGGGGGCACCCACCTTACTCAGGGGAAAGCCGAGGCCCTTAAAGTTGCCCCCGGGCCCGGAAAGATCTGCCCGTAGCCCCTGACCTGCCTCCTCCAGCCCCTCGGCCTCCTGGCCGCTCCTCAGACTTGAAGGTGTGCCCCCGCCGCCAGCCAGGTGTGTGATGCCTCTCCCCCGATGCCCCACGATCCCCCCATCCACGTGGCCACTCCTCAGGGCAGCCTCCTGCCAGCAGGCCTCCCACGTGCTGCTCCTTGGGATCTGATCTTGCATGTACCTGTCACTGCCTGTCTGTCTGCCTGCTTGTCACCTCCCCAGGTCCCCAGCACTGGGATGTGAGAGTCACAGGGCAGGATTCGGTCTGTCTGGCTCTGTCCTCTCCCTCACAGCCTGAACGGGGGCAGGCATGCAGGGGCACTCCGTGAACTTCGGTGGGATGAACCCACACAAGGTGGCCTGCGGTAGGGAGGGTACAGGGGGCCGAGGACAATGGCCCAGCCAGGCATCCCTGCTGGGAGTGAACGGACAGGGCCACCGCCCCACAGCCTGGAAGGTGCTGACAGGCCACCCGAGCCCTAAACATCCTGATGGAGTCACCCCTCGGAGTGAGCAGCAGGTGCAGATGCGTCGGCGGGAAACCCTAGGGAACCAAAGCCTGCGGTGCTTGCAGACGTGAGATCACATCCTCCGCCCTCCCCGTGGCAGAGGATGAGCGGCCAGGATTATTGTTTTCTAAAAATATTCAAATCTTGTAGCGGTCACAATCCTATTGTGGCTCCTATGACTGCTGGAGTCAGGGTTTATTTCTTTACTGCCTGCTCATGAGTCTGGAGTTGCCCCACAAATTTGCTTCCAGTTTGGCTCAAATGGACTAAGGGCCCCTGGCCCGGCCCTGGGGCTCTAAGGTTTAACCTCAGCCTCACCCCTGCCAGAGTTCACCACAGAGACATCAGGTGTCCCCAGAAACTCCACAGGGACTGGGCAGCTCAAAAGGTCCCCAGCGTTCCTGAGAGGCCCAAAGACCAGGGCTGAGCCAGGTCTCTTCCTCCACCCCCGGAGAGGGCCCTAACCTGGGAGATGGGGGCTTCCAGCCAGGAGCAGAAATTCAGAGTCTGTGGTAAGCAAGTCACAACAACTTTTATCCTACCTTATGTGGGGAAGAGAGAGGCAAACCTCTCCCTCATCTACTGATAAAAATACCCCCTCTCCTTCATGCGCACAACTAACAACCGAGGAATCACACCTTTAAACACACCTGGCCTCTGGCAGGGGCCTTCCCTGCACTCTGACCCCCTCCCTCCCATCACAGACTCCAGCCTGGTCTCAAAAGGGACCCAGAGCCTGGGTGCCTCTCGCCTGAGATCCGTACAAGGGAAGCTGCCCAACCCAGGACAGATCCGTATCAGGAAACACAGACAGTGACAGGCAAGGGCCTGTCTCTGACGCCTCCTCCCACGGGACAGGGGTGACTCCGGTTCTGTCTCCAGAGGGAGTGGGGTCCTGGCACTGCATACCAGCCTTGGTCAGCGGCTCCAGCAGACAGAGCCGAGGGTCCACGCTGCTACAGCAGGGCCCGAGCGTTCTCATGATGGTTTGCTTTTCAGACAAGGTTCACTCTTGTTCAGAAATCAAACCTGGCAGGAGCAACACCAACAGGTGTGTTTTCACTCTGGTCAATCGCTTCCCAAGCCACCCTGTCACTCCGTTTTCTCTCACCTCTACTGAGCCACTCACCTGGTACAGAAAAAAATCAACCCTGAACCCCCGGCACCATTTAAGATTTGCAGAGCAGATGTTTATGGCATCAGTGTGGGGAATGGGATGGCCACGTGGCTTCTACAAGGACCAAGGAAAGATTTATTCGAAAAGGACTTCTGAGAGTGGAGAAGGGAGTAGAAGGTAAATACATACAAAGAGAGAGGAGAGGGAGAATCTGATGAATGAGGGCTGAGATAACAGCCTGCCTAGTGCTGCTCATCCTGTTCAGTAGGTCTGGCTCACTAGCTCAAGAGCTGGGCAGTTTGATGGAATTAATTTACACATCTATGCATCTAGGCAGGAACGCTCACCCAGACCAGTGTACCCAAAAGGAGCATCTCAGCACTTGAGGATTCACTGATTCCCAAAGAAAACTCTCCTTTCCCTTTGCTTTCTAAAACAACATATGAGAGTGGGGAAAACATTAAGGTTTCTCTGAATTAAGATAAACTCACTTGAGTAGCGAAAGGGTCTTTTCTATAGAAGATATGGGATCCTCAATTGAGTCATTTCCTCCATTTAGAAAATGTGCTCCTTAAAGAGACCAAGTGCCAACACTTTTCCTTACAGTGTTTCATAAATTATGTGCCCATATATTCACATGGCCCATGAAGCAAAAGATGATAGTATTCTCCTAATACACAGAATGAAGATTTAGAAAGAAAATGCACTATATAAATATAGCCCCAGTCTTCAATTGGAATGCTGTGGAATACAAGGCTGACTCAATACTTGAAAATTAGTGTAATTCACCATATTATCAGGCTAAAGAAGAAAAATCACATGATCATATCGAGGCAGAAAAACCAACAAAATCCAATATCTGTTCATGATTAGGACTCTCAAAAAACTAAGAATAAAGGGAAACTTCCTCAAATAACGGACACCTATAAAAAACCTAGAGCTAACTTATTAGTCGAAGACAGAATGGTTTCTTCCTAAGACAGGGAATAAGCAAAGATGTCTGGTCTCATTACTGTTGTTCAAATAGTACTGAGGATTCCAGCCAGCACAGAAAGGAAGAAAAAGCACACAGATCAAAAGGAAGAAGTGAAACTGTCCCTATCTGCAGATGGTATGAGCATTTATGTCAATAATTTCAAGGAATCCAGAAAGAAACTCCTACAATTATTAAGTGAGTTCATAGTCACTCAAAAAATGTACATTTAGGTGTAAATTTAACAAAACATGCATAGGACCTGTATGCCAAAAACTACAAAATACAGATGAAGAAAACCAAAGAAGATTTTAAATAAATGGAGAGATACGCCATGTTAATGGATTGGAAGACTCAACACAATAAAGATATAAATTCTCCCAAAATTAATATACAGTCTTAATGTAATTCCTAGTCATCCCAGCAAGAATTTTTGTAGACACAGAAAATCTTACTCTAAAGTTCATCTTTAAAGGCAAAGGAACTAGAAAAGCTAAAACAATTTCGTAAAAGAAGAATAACGTGATATGAATCATGTGCTCAAGCTGATTTCACTCTACCTGATTTCAAGACCTACTACACAGCTACAGTAATCAAGACTGTGTGGGACTGGCACAGGGACAGGCAATTAGATCAATGAGACAGAGCCGAGAACCTGGGAACAGCCCCACACAAGTACAGCCAACTGATTTTTGGCAAAGAAACAACAGCAATTCAATGAAGGAAGGAGAGTTTTTTTCCCCCTCAACAAATAGTGCTGAAACAGCACCTCATACAAAAAAATTAATTCAAAATGGACCATAGATTAAATGTAAAAAATAAAACCATAACACTTTTAGATAAAAACAAAGGAGAAAATCTTTGGGACCAAGAGTTTGATGAAAAGTTCTTAGTGATGACACCAAAAATATGATCCACAGAATTAGAAAATCAATAAATTGGACTTTACAAAATTTAGAAGCTTCAGCTTTGTGAAAAACTCTTGTTAAAAGGATAAAAAGATAAGCTGCAGACAAGGAGAAAATATTTACAAACCATGTAGCTGACACAGGATTCATATCTATAATAATCCAGATCCATAACTCATATCTATCTATAATATCTATAGATTCTATCTGTAATTCATATCTATAAAATAGAAAGAATTCTTAAAATTCAATGATAAAACACAAAAAGAATCCAATTAGAAAATGGGCAAAAGATACTAAGAGACATTTTATTGACGAGAATATCCAGATGACAAGTAAGCACAAGAAAAAATTTTCAACATCACTCATCATTGGGAAAATTCAAATTAAGACCATGATGAGAACAACTAAAATAAAAAATAGTAACTATACCAAATGCTGTCAAAGAAACTAAATCACTCATACATTGCTCATGGAAATGTAAAAAGGTACAGACACTCTGGAAAATAGTTTGGAAGATTTTTTTTTAATATTAAATATATTTACCACGTGACCCTTGTATTAGTTCATTTTCACCTTGCTAATAAAGACATATCCGAGACTGCATAATTTATAAAGGAAAGAGGTTTAATGGACTCACAGTTCCACATGGCTAGGGTGACCTAATGAGGAGCAAAGTCCGGTCTTACATGGCGGCAGGTAAGAGAGAGCTTTCGCAGGGCAACTCCCCTTTATAAAACCATCAGATCTCAAGAGACGTATTCACTACCATGAGAACAGTATGGGGGAAAGTGCTCCCGTGATTTAATTATCACCATCTGGCCCCCCCTTTGATATGTGGGGATTAGTTCAAGGTGAGATTTGGGTGAGGACACAGTCAAACCATATCAGCCCTGTAATAGTACTCCTGGGCATTTGTCTCACAGAAACGTAAACTTATGTCCACACAAAATGCCGTCCACAATTGTTCACAGCAGCTTTATTAGTAATAGTCAGAAGCTGGAAACAACCAAAACATCCTTCAGTGGGCAAATGGTCAAACAAATTGTGGTTTGGTCAGGCGCGGTGGCTCACGCCTATAATCCCAGCACTTTGGGAGGCCAAGGCAAGCGGATCACAAGGTCAGGAGTTCAAGACCAGCCTGGCCAACAGTGAAACCCCGTCTCTACCAAAAATACAAAAATGAGCCGGGCTTGGGAGGCTGAGGCAGGAGAATCGCTTGAATCTGGGAGGCGGAGGTTGCAGTGAGCTGAAATTGCACCACCTCACTCCAGCCTGGGCCACAGAGTGAGACTCCATCTCAAAAAAAAAAAACAAAAAACAAACAAACAAAAAAATCAAACTGTGGTTCCTCCATTCCATGAAATACCACACTAAGCAATGAAAAAGTATAAACAACTGACCTATACAACCATGGGCATTATGCTGAGTGGCAAAGTCCATCTCAAAAGGTCACTTACTGTATGATTCTATTTACAGACCACTGTCATAATGACAAAATCATAAATACAGAGAACAGAACACTGGTTGCCAGGAGTTAGGGATGGTAGAAGGAAGGCAGGATAGCAACGAGGAGATCTGCTGGCTGGTAAAACGGCCTGTATCTTCATTTCAGTGGTGATTCCATGAATTTACACCTGTGTTAAACTAACAGAACTATATACATACATAGCACTGATGTTAGTTTCCTGGTTTGACATTGCGCTGTATTTCTCTCATTTGTAATCACTGGGGGAAACTGGATGAAGGGTGCACAGGACTTCTTTGTAATTATTTTTGCAACTTCCTGTGAATCTATCATTATTCCAAAATAGAAGTTTAAAAAAACAGTTAAATCAACATCAGATCAACTATAAATGAGTCAAGATTTCTAGCTGGGGGAAACACAAGCGTGGGCAGGCGAGAAGAGGATCCTACTATTAAGCCAGAGGCTTGAATATTTACGTCTCATTTTGATTTGCTGAGTTCTGCACAGGAACAGGGAAGTCAGTGGTAAGCCTGTGACGGGGACGGCAGGTGACAGCTGGCTACTGATCCCAAGAGGACCCATGACTAACGTTCTCACGAAGCCAGGTCAGATGGGTTGTGGTCCCTCCTCCCCTGCCTTCAAGGCATACTCCCAGCCTGAGTCACTGGGGGTGGGAACACAGGGACTTTTGGGGGCCATAGGCATCACCTTGAGAGGCTGGGCGGGGCTCCTGACTGCAGGTCCTGATGTTATAAGCCTCATTATACTTATACCGCTGACCTGCAGGATTTGTTCTGAGGCCTGCAGTGGGGGCTGGGGGAGGGAGAATATGACGCCCTGCATGATCCTGAGCTCATTCACAGGGATGAGTCTCACGGGTGTCCAGGTCTGAACAGTGTTACGTAAAATGCACCCCAGGAGGAGGGACCTTCAGGACTCTGTCCACTCTGTTCTCCATCCAGGTAACATGGGCGGGGTGGACTGAGCCCCTGGGAGGCCAGAATTACCACAGCCCATGAGCTTGGCCCAAGGGTCAAGGAGAAGAAGGGTTGCCTGAGAATCCAGGCAATGGGATCTCCAGGCAGTGAGATCATAAGTGATTTTACATTCCGCATCCCAAAGTTTTTGATCAAAAGAATCCAGGGGTAGCTACTGATACGTGAGGGAAGATGGAAGACACAGAACCATCAGGTGTCACAGGCAGGGGTAACTGACTCTGATGTTGTTGGACAAAGAGTAAGAATCAGAATCCAACTCCTCTGGTTTAGTGGTACGGCTGCTGATGCCCCTGGAGAGGCTGCTGGTGTCCGTAAGGCCCCCTTGGCCACGGCCTCTGTCACCCAGGACTGACTTGGCCAGTCTCTGCATGGTGTGACCCAGCCAGCAGTTAACAGCCAGCATCGCTCTGACACAGCATTGTCCATGCTGCTGGGTCTTTTGAACATGACCCCTGCTGTCGCTGCCTGCGTGGATTATTTGCCTCCTGAGCTATTTGATCTGATATGTCCAGTAACCACAGAGGACCAGGAAAGGGGCCACCTAGACAGGCAGTAATTAGCTACTCCAAATACCACGGGAGAAAGTGTGGCCCCACCCAGCCTCTATGAGCAAAGGCTGAGTGGGTATCAGGGCTGTGGCGGATGCCCCGAGCATCCCCAGGGAGGTGGCACTGGAGAAGACCGAGTGTGAAGCCATGGGGAGAAGCAATGCGGGGCATCAGCAGAGCCCTGGGGGAACCCAGTAGCCATGCGGCACCCAGCCCTCACCAGGACTCCAAGGGACACAGAGCAGGCACTCGGACTTTCACCCCCACGCCGCAGTACTGCGGCACATGGCCCTTCCCAGTGGTGGGTATCAGAGAAGGACTGCTAAAACAGATTTAAATAAGATCCAGAGTGTCATAACATAATAACCAAAGTGTCCAGGATGCAACTGAAAATCATTTGTCATACCGAGAACCGGAAAAATCTCAACTTGAATGAGAAAAGAAAAACAACAGACATCAACACCAAATGATGCAGACAGTGAAATTAACTGACAAGGATTTTTAAAACAGCCATCATAAAAATGCTTCCATAGTTACAGACACTCTTGAAACAAATGAAAAAGAGTCTCAGCAAAGAATTAGAAGTGCTTCCAATTTTGGACTTTTTCAGATTTTGACATTTCTGCATTATATGTACCCGGCTGAGCATGCCTAAGCTGAAAATCCAAAATCTAAAGTGCTCCAGTGAGCAGTTCCTTTGAGCGTCATGTCAGCGCTCAGCAGATTTGGAGTTTTGAAGCATTTCAGATTTCAGATTTTCAGATTAGGGATCCTCAACCTGTATAAAGGAAAACCAAATGGAAAATTTAGAAGTGAAAAATAGAATAACTGAAATCAAAATCTCAATGGATGGGCTGGGCGTGGTGGCTAACGTCTGTAATCCCAGCAATTTGGGAGGCCGAGGGGGGCAGATCACTTAAGGTCAAGAGTTCAAGACCAGCCTGGCCAACATGGTGAAACCCCATCTCTACTAAAAATACAAAAAAATTAGCTGGGCATGGTGTCTATTAGCACACCTGTAGTCCCAGCTACTCAGGAGGCTGAGGCACGAGAATCACTTGAACCTGGGGGGCTGGCTGCAGTGAGCCAGGATGGCGTCACTATACTCCAGCCTGGGTGACGGAGTGAGACTCTGTCTCAAAAAAAGAAAACAAAACACCTCAATGGATGGCTCAACAGCAAAAATAAAAATAGAGAGGACAGAGGAAAGAGTAGTGGACAGAAGGATAATTTGAAGAAAAACAACATAAATTACCCAATCAGAACAACAGAGATAAAATAGATTTTAAACAATTAACAGAGCCTTGAGGACCCGTGGGACAACAACGAAAGATATAATATCCGTGTCACTGCAGCCCCATAAAGAGAAGAGAAAGGGAGTGGGGTTGGAAAAACAGTCCAATGGCCAAAATTTCTTAAATTTGGCAAAACATATAAACACACAGATTCAAGCAGCTGAGCAAACTCAAACCGGAAAACCTGAACAAATCACTGCCAGACACATTATAGTCAGACTTCTGAAAACCAAAGACAAAGAAAACAAATTGTTGAAAGCAGGGAGAGAGAAAGGACATCTCACCTACAAGGCCAGACAATTAGAATAGCGTGGATTTCCCATCAGAAACTGCTGAGGATGGAAGGGAGCGGCCTCTCTCAAGAGCTGGAGGAAATGAACTGTGCACCCTGAGTTCTATGTCCAGCGAAAATACCCTTGAGGGATGAAGAAGAAACAAGAACGTTCTCAAAGGAAAACAGAGAATTTGATGCCAACAGGCCGGACATAAAAAATGTCTAAAGTACATTTCTGGAAATGGAAAGGAAATGATAAAAGAAGGAATCTTGAAACATCAGGTATGAAGAAAGATCAGTGGAAAATAAAAATATGGTCCCAGCCTGCAAATGTGTACGGTGGTACCTTGCTCAGCAACTCAAACCCAGCACATTCCAAACAGATCACTGAAAGGGCATGGAGGTTTCTGTTAGGCCAAGCAGCCGACCCGCCCTGGGTCACATCCTCTTGAGGAGCTCCACTGACCCAGGACGCTCACGACGCTTCCCTAGAATCCAGCAAGCAACAGACACAGCTACTGAAAATGTGTTCTGTAGGATCTGGAATCTGAGCCCTCTGGAGGGATGCTATGAAATAAAAAACCCAGACTCTGCCATCAAAGAACTTCTAGTCTCATGGGGAGGGCAAGGCCAGAATCCATGAAAAAAATATTGTCAGAAATGAAAAGCACAAAAGAGTAACCTCTGAAACCCCTCTTGCTCTAAACTTCTGGATCTAGGAAGTTGCTGTCTGCTTCTCTTAATACTTATTTCCCAATAAAGTTACAAAGGTTAAAATAACAGAAGCTCATTCTCCCTGGTGCATAGACAAGGAAAAACATGAACAAGAAAGAAGCGAGATGAGCACGAAGACGGCTGCGGTCAGTCCTGCAGGAAAGCACATGGGGTCCTTGACTAGGGAGGTACCAGTGAAGGCAGAGACATGCAGACCCATTTTCTGCCTCATCCCAGCTCCACCTGTGTTGTGGGTTGAACGGTTTCCCCACAAAATTCATGTCTCCCCAGAACCCTCAGAATGTGACCCTATTTGGAAATGGGGTCCTTGCAGATGTCATTAATGTAACGTTGAAGATGAGACTGTGCTAGATGGGGACGAGCCCTCAGTCCCATCTGAGTGTCCTCGTACACTGCGGGAAAGGACAATGACACACGGAAGAGGAGGCCGTGGGGAGACGGGGCAGAGACTGGAGTTGGCTGCCGCAGGCCAGGACTACTAGGAGACAGGCAGGGGTGGACGTTCCCGCTGAGCCTCCAGAACGAACTAGCTCTGCCAACGCCTTTGTCTCAGACTCGTGGACTCAAGAGCTGCAGGAGAACGGCTTTCTGCTGTTTAAAGCCACTAGCCATTTGTCACGGTGGCCCTAGGAAACGGCCACAGCAGCGCAGACTCGGCTCCGCTGCCATCTGGCCCCTTTTCTCCACCGTTCCCCTTCCAAGCATTCTCTGGTCCGCGGCGTGTCTCAACACATTAGGAACCACTGATGCCATCCAACCCAGCTTCAGGGGTGAAGCACAGAGCTTCTCTCAAACACCAGCAGGCGCTCGCCAGGCAGCGTTCCGTGCAGTTCTTCAAACCTGTTTATCACAGCGGGGGTAGCCTGTGATTATTTCCTGCAACAATTTCCTCCACTTCAAAAATTACACCCAAGTCGTTGCCACAAAATCATCTCTCTAAATTTTATCCCGTTACTCTAATCATTGTGGACAATGCTACCATAATTAGTAATTATCCTCCCCCTCCTTCCCAGCATCCTAAATCTCATCTATTTGTCGAATGTCAACACACGTGAGTCCAAGACCCACGGCACAATCAACGCCTCCACAACTGGCTCCTGGGACATGGGTGTCTTCAGTTCTCCCCAGGGACATGGCTTCCTTCGTCGTCCTAGGGCCCTGGAAGCTGTATTAACACCTGCTTGCATCCAGAAGCGTGTGCTTTGTTTTCTCTTTCCAACACAAGGATCTCTTGTGTGGTCCACGCTAGAACCAGGGGAAGTGATTATCCCCACGGGGTCTTCCGCCCTGTGTCAGGTTCCATGGTCCACCCACATCAAAGGTGCTGGCTCTGCCTCTAGGTCTCTTTCCAGACTATTTTTCTTCTCAGATGCCTCTTGCTCATGGAATATTCATGTTATAAATTATTTTTCTCCAGACACTTGGTTAGAATTTTGCCAAGTTCTCCACAACTTCATGTTAATGTTATCGGTGCTGTGATATAGCACAGTATCAGAGGAAGAAAAGAGAAGCCTAGCTTAAAATACAGCCTCAGCAATGATGGGCTCCATGTTTCCCAGAGGAACCCTCCACCTTGGCCTCTTGTCCCCGAATTTTGACAGAGTCAGGGCCCCAGTGTGGCTAGACCTGAGCTTTAGGAGAACATTCTTTATAAAGATCAAAAGAATGGGCAGTGGTCCTTGCATTGATCATTCTCACTGGTTCCTGTTTCCAATGCCGCAACTTGGGATTTTCCCCTATAGCCGGCAAACTTTCCTCCTGGATTGTAAACTAAAGTACAACCTCTAATGTGTGTCTGAAAAAGCGTTTACGATCAGAACAAGTTAACACTGCCTCTATGCATATCAGTGATCCTCAACCAAGAGGAAAAAAATAATATTTTCATAACACAATCTACAAAACAGGACTCTCAATATATTCCTTCAGGGTAGAAGATTTCAGATGATGGGAAAATTTCCATCATAGGTTTGCCCCCAGGGGACCATATCAGGAGCTCCCAGGGGTGTAATCCTCACTCCTGTGAAAATAATGGTGTGGGTTTCAAAGTTTGTAAAATTCTGATCTATTTTACAGCCTAGCTCTGTGGCTGTTAATAATAACCGGTCATGTTTGTGGTCTTGAGCCCTCTGATATGCCACATCAAAAATGATGTTATTTTCCATGAAAGATGAGTGGTTTTACTTAGAAAAGAATGGGGGAATCTGACAGCCCACAGTTTGCTTCTAGAACCGTCTAAGGAGAGATATGCTCTGTGAAGCTCTGTGGCTGTCCCCAGAGTCTGTGCTCGTTCATATTTCTGTTCGTCTGCTTTGTCTCACAGTTTCCCTTGTTTGCTATGCTACTTTGTAAGTTCACAAATGAAACAGTTTAAACCAGGTTTTCCCAGGCCTGGAGCACACAAACGCACAAGAACTCTGAAGTCAACAACATAGAAAGCCTTCCCCTTGAAATTCTCCCCCACATATTAAAGGATAACTTTTAACAAGGTAAATCGTGACTCTCATACAGAGATAAAATGAACACACATCAAAGATATTATTTAACGTGTTAATGGGCAAGGGAACCTGTGAGATGTGACCGTCACTTCAAAGGGAAATTCAAAGAACCATATGTACATGAGCCCATCCCGAACGCTGAAGTCAGTGTGCTTAATAGACACAAAACTGGCAGAACTTGATGTCCAGGGAGAAGAATCAACTGAATCAACCAGACGAGACCTACATGTCAATGGCCAAGGATCACGTGAATCCGTGGGCACCCTGTCACTCACAGGGTTGTGAGGTGGCTCAGGGACATGGTAGGGAGCACAGACTCCCGAGAATCAGGTAACCCAGATAACACCCACTTCCCATGAAACGCATTCAGCAATCTTTTTGGTCTATTTCAAAATCTTCCATAATTTTTCCCTCCACAAATTAAGCGTATTTCTTAAAATCTAACTTTCCAAACTAAAAAGATATGGCCAAGTTCAAAACTTAAATAAAATTTCCATGCACCAGAAACAGGATAGAAACATAAAGTAACAAGCTCAGTCGAGACTTGTGCCCAAGACAGTGTAACAAGACCGGACTCACCGCCCGTTGGCACCAACTGAAACCTAAGGTGAGTTTGTGAATTTGTGCCTTTCACAGCACTGGACATCCATCAGGCAATGAAGGGGAGGGGTGCATGAGGGACAGGAAACAGCGCAGAAGCGAGCTCTATAACTGCCCCGGAGCTCAGCCTTGAGACAGTTCCCAGACGCTGCAGCAGCGAGGGGAACCTAGGCAAGACCCGGCAGAGACCCTGGTGCTCAGATATCCAAGACCAGTGACCGGAGAGGAGAGAGCTGCATGGAGTGGAGGGCCCCTCGAGTTCTCAGCGCAGCAGAGACTGGCACATGCAGGAAGGAAGCGCCCAGAACAGGGAAAGAACCACCCAATGGATTACAGGGAACCGAACTGGAGCTCACACAGGGCCAGGAATAGCCTGAGTCCACACCTGCCGGCCTGGAAACCTTGGAACTTCTAGGGCACTGGGTGGAGCGCACAGAAGGGTCTTGGCTCGCTAGTCCAGTAAGCAAAACTGGACTTAGCTTGACACTAATGGCTTAGCAAAACAATAATGCTGAGTGGAAAACGCCAGGCCAGAAAAGAGTACATACTATACAATTCCATCATACAAAAGTTCTAGAAAATGCAGATTAATCTATGGCGAAAGAACAAGTATTAGCGGTTGCCTTGGGACAGGGGAGGGAGGTGGGAAGGAACAGGGAGGGGACAGGGATTACAAAGGGGACCCAGGGAACTTTCGGGGTGACACACACGTTCATCGTCTTCACCATGGTGATGGTTTTATGGGTAAATGCTTTGAACACTTTACACATGTGCATTTATTTTTTTGCCAGTTACACCTCAGTAAGTGTGTTTTTGTTTTTTTTATTGTTTGTAACTGTGCAGGTGAAGCAGCTCTAGGCCTGGGGACTCTGATACAGGTTTGGGTTCTTGTGGTGAGGGGTTAAAACCCAAGGTGAGGGGAAGCAGAAACTGGGAGGGAGACAGTAAATGGGACGGGCTATAACCAGGTGAGAGATGCTCACACTCACAGGTAATCAGGGAAATGCAAATTACATCTTCAGTGAGATCCTGTTTCACACCAGTGAGGGTGGCAAGACTTTACGTCTACTACACTGGTGGGCTATCGGTGCTGCTCTGGACAGAAATTTGGCAAAAATCAGCAAAACTGAAGTGTTTCTCACCATGTGACCCCATTCCCAAGCACACCCCCTAAGTAAACGACATGAATAACCATCAGTAGAGTAACGGCTGAGTCAGTGGTGGGGTTGTCGCAGCACACTACCGCCCTCCCACTTTGGATGTTTGTCTTTGGGTTTACTTTCTTGAGATTTATCCATGTTGATTAGCACCATTCTGGTTCATTGACTTTGACTGATGTTATGGAAAGTCTAAAATTCTTAAAAACAGCCCTGTTTATGGGGTTACTGTGGGGTGATGGCCGATTACTTCTGAAATGATCACCTGTCATTCTCAGGCCACAAAAATCATGTCAGGTCCTCTCTAAATCACTATGTTTGCTTCTACAGAAAACCCTTTACTTAAAAGATACACATTTTCCTGATTTAGCAGAGCACTTCAGCAGAATTAAGCAGCCTTGATCGAATGAAGACGGGTTTCCAAGAAAATAAAACATTGACAACATGCCACAGCACATGCACGTGAAGAAAGCAGGGTGCAAATGTTCACAGCACAGGAACGGGGCAGGGAAGTGGAAGCAGACAGCAGAGGGCCCAGGCCATCACCAGCCTGCACTCCGTCATCACAGTGACTCTGTGGGCACTGTCAGAGAAAGAGCTACCAGAAGGACTGTAAATTATGCTTTAGAAACCAGCATGCCACCAGGAGTGACTTGGGAGGTCCCAGTGCCCCGATCTGACCGAGAAAGGCCCAGGCCTGTGCAGAAAGGATCATTTGGCCCCACTGTATGGCAGAGGGAGCTCATGTTTTCTGGATCAGGCAGAAAAACAGCCATGGACATATTCTGTGCTATAAACTGGGGCTGAGGTGCCTTGGGACCCAGCTCTTGAATGCACCTGGCAGACAGTGTCGTGTTCTCCACAAGCAGAGATGTGGGACTGGCTGGCCTTCAGCAGGTCTAGTGGCAGATGCTCCCACCTGCCCTCTCCAGGGTCCTCACCCCTCCAGAGCTACCTACGGCTCCTCAGGGGCTCATGAAACCACAGCATCCTCTTGGAGTCAATGCCATGAGGCCAACAGGAAGAAATGGAGTCCTAGAGGTGGGTTGTTTTGGCTACTCAGAAGCTACTCACACTTCTGTCCATTTAACCCTAATTTAATTTCACTCTAGTGAGCCTCTCATTCCTCCCCCACAAAGACCACTCCCCATTCCCTAGGTCTAAGCCAATCCGTGCATTTTATGCCCCCCCGACTGCTCCTGAATAAAGCAGACCGTGCCAGCCCTGGCGGAGGCAGATGCCTGGTTGCAGACCTCCAGGAGAGCCCTGGAAGCACCTTTTAATTCCTCAGTGAATGTGAAGCAAGAGCCCTCAGGAAGAACAGAGCTCTTGCCCTGAATGTTCCAGCTATAGAAGAAGAGCTCGCTTTGGGGACTGAGTTCGGGAACAGGTGAGAAGACGAGAAGTGATGGTGATGTGGGCACAAGGTCGGAGTGAAACAGCAGGAAGCCAGCAGGTGCCCACCCACGCCAGCCTCAGGACACGGCCCTGACCAGGGTGGGACTCGGTGCAGGGGTTCTCATCTCAGAGAAAATGAGCCCCGGGAGTGGCTCGCACAGCCCAGTGTTCCCAGGCAGAGCTTTTCCAATTTGTGGAGCAGCAGCAGCCTCCCCTTAGCTCGGCTCCTGCAAGCCCTTCTCTCCAGGACAACCTTCTTGGGGTAATAAAGGAGGGTCCCGTGCAGGCCCCAGGAGGAGCTGGAAGTTTTCAGATCAGAGCTCACCATGCAGGGTTATGAAAGATGTGATTTCTGAAGCAGGAGGAGGAGATCTCAACATAAGCCATTTAATTAAGAAACACAGAGCAGGGAGATGCGAGTTTGGAAACATCCTTTGAAGCAAACTTGATCCTCTCCATATGTATGTTTCAATTCATATTCAATTCAATTCAATTCAATTCTCCACCACTCTGGAAACAGAATGTTTTCTCCTTCTTTAAATAATTGCCTACTGGTAGAGAAATGCTAAGAAAGTGTTAGGAAAACAGCTATCGCCTGGGCGCGGTAGCTCACACCTGAAATCCCAGCACTTTGGGAGGCCAAGGCAGGTGGACTGCCTGAGGTCAGGAGTTTGAGACCAGCCTGGTCAACATGGTAAAACCCCGCCTCTACTAAATATGCAAAAAAATTCGCCTGGCGTGGTGGCGGGCACCTGTAATCCCAGCTACTCAGGAGGCTGAAGGACGAGAATAGCTTGAACCTGGGAGATGGAGGTTGCAGTGAGCCAAGATATCGCCACTGCCCTCCAGCCTGGGCAACAGAGTGAGACTTTGGCTCCAAAAAAAAAAAAAAGAAAAGAAAGAAAGAAAGAAAACAGATATCCACTGCTCTCTCAAGGATCTTCTCCTCCAGAACATTATATGTTGTTCCTGAGATTCCCAATTTGTTTAAACAGGAATTTTGATGGAAAATTACCATTTGAATACAAACACCCAAGTTCTGTTTCAAATCAAACAGCAGAAAAGAAGGAAAATGAAGCAGGCCATTGGCTATTGTTGATGTCAATCAAAAGAAACAAGGAATCGTTCCTGGGGCAGCATAATCCTGAACTTCCCACAAGCACGAGCACCCCGGGACATGGGCGAGACTTTGTGCATCTTCCTCCCCCAGCTGGGCAGGACAGTGCCCGTCTGAGGCAGGACGTGGTTCAGATCTGTGTCCCCACCAAATCTCATGTTGAACTATAATCCCCAGTGTTGCAGGCGGGGCCTGCTGGGAGGTGACTGGATCATGCGGGCGGTGTTCTCATGAATGGTTTAACACAGGGGTTCCCAACACCCGGGCCGTGAACCGGGACCAGCCCGTGGCCTGTTAGGAACCGGGCACACAGCACACAGAGCGGTGGGCAAGCAGGCATTCCCACCTGAGCTCCCCTCCTATCAGATCAGCCGGGCGTTTGATTCTCATAGGAATGCAAACCGACCGTGAACTCTGCTTGTGAGGTATCTAGGTTTCAAGCTCCTCATGAGAGTCTAGTGCCTGATGATCTGAGGGGGAACAGTTTCATCCCGAATCCATCCCCCACCCCATCCGTGCAAAAATTGTCTTCCACGAAACCAGTCCCTGGTGCCAAAATGTCTGGGGACCGCTGGCTTAACACCATCCCTCTTGGCACTGTCCCCACGATCATGCGTTCTCGTGGATCTGGTCGCTTAAAAGTGTGTGGCACCCCCCACCTCTCTTGATCTGCCCATGTAAGACGTGCCTGGTTCCCTCCACCTTCTGCCATGACTGTAGCTCCCGGAGGCCTTCCCAGAAGCTGAGCAGAGGTCAGCACCATGCTTCCTGTTCCCCCTGCAGAACCGTGAGGCAATTAAACCTCTTTTTTTAAAATAAATTACCCAGCCTCAGGTATTTCTTATAGCAATGAACAGACTAACACACAGGGCAACACACGAGTGGCTCGTGATCTTGGGAAATTTGGGCTAGAAAAACACAAGTCAAATTTTAGTTCCAGCAACTCCAGAGTACTTGGCCTGCCCAACTAACAGCACTTCCTGGCTATGAATAGCACCGGATGTCCTGACTGAGAATCTCATTGATGATGATGATGATGATGACGATGACGATGGTGATTTCAACTTGAGACAGGAAAATGTGTTATGTAACAGGCCACCAAGAGGCGATGAGGTTTGTGCTGGCCCAGGAGGACACACTGAATTCCCAGCTTCCTGCACGCATTCCTGGACCCCCGTGTATCCAATCTATGTGCCAAGCACTATGCAAGAGAAGCATTCGTGCCCAGTTTCCCAGGTAGAGGGCCAAGCCCAGGCAGAGGACTCTTCCTGGACCACCAGGGTGACATCTGCAAGCCACAAACAACTGTCCTGCTTGTCCAGGTTTTAGATGCTCGGTTCCCATCTTTTCCTGCTGTGTCTCCCCCGACGCCCTCTCCAGCCAGAGACCTTGACTGGGAGTGGCTCCGAGTCCCCCACGGACCCCACTCACAGGCACAGCTGGTCCTGCTGGACGGCTGGGCCCATGCTCTCCCCCGCTCCAGGAAAGCCATTCCTAAAGGCAGCCCCACTGCCCGGCCCCAAACCTGCCCTCACTCTGCAGCCTACACGGCCGCCCCTGCTCGCACCCCAGACGGCAGCACACACTTGAAAGCACATGGTTATGATCCTGTGGGGCAGCCAGGGAGGCCGGCAATCCCATTAACCAGTGCTCGCCAGGAGACAAGTCATGAGGTCACTGCTGATCTACAAGGTCACTCTGGGTGGTGCACGGATGAGCACTTTATTTCAGTGACATGTGCATTCTAAGGCATATTAGGAAGTGACATAGTCAACACTCTGTGTCCAGAATCTCTGGCTATAATGGCTTAGAGTGAGGGAAAAGTAGGCATGGAGATCGAAAAGACGTTTCTCCACATCGAGTGGAGGAAGTGCATGGGGCATGAGTGTGCAGGAGGCACACAGGTGGGGCGGGAGTGAGAGGAGCAGAGGACGGGTATCAGGGCCATGCCTGACAGCGCAGGGCTCACAACCTGCCCCCCAAGGCCAGGTCCCACCATATGTGCGGCATGCAGCCCTTGTGCCAGCCCTGGGCTCAGACAGTATCCAAGGCCCCGCCTGATAAGGCAGGAAGCTGAGACCAGAGACCCCAGGGACTCGGTCACAGTCACACAGCTAATCCACAAAGGAGCAGGCACCTGAGCCTGAGGGTCCAGCTCCAGAGTGCTCGTGACGTACAGCATATGAAGTATCATCCGCTTTTCCAAACTCCCTTCCTCGGCCTTTGGCCTCGCCCTCTCTCCCATCCCTTAAAACCCATTCTCACCCTCTCTCTCTCTCTCCCATCCCTTAAAACCCATTCTCCTTGTGCTTCCTTTCTTTCTTCCTTCTCAGACCCCTCCTCTTGCCCTGAGTGTCAGGAAGCTAAGCAGGCTTCTTCCCCACCAGCTGGAGGCCCTTTCCCTGCACAGTCTCGGAGAGGGGAGACAGCAGGCCCTGCCGCCCAGCCCTTCAGGAGGGACCTGGCTCCTGGAATGTGGGTGTAGCCCCGTGGTGCACAGGAGGGCCACGCCAGCATCTGAAAATTATCCCTGCCCTGCCCACAAATGAAGACTGGTTTCTCAGAACACAAGAGTATTTCTGTGAACTATAAAAAGCTACTGGATCGACAACCTATTATCATTGTGGAAGAAATTACTGATCTGCACGTCAGCTGGGAGGGTGCCTGGCTGGGCCGTCCGCCCCGCAAATCCATGGAGCCCCGGATCACCAGAGACTCCCTCGGTGGCCACGCCCCACATGCACACACCCATCTCAGCGCTTCCCGTAGGCTGTGGGCTCAAACCCGGGAAAGATGGGCAGGCCCCTCTGCACATCTGGGCCGCCCCACAGCTGTAGCAGCGGGGGTGCAGGAAGACACCCGAGGATGGGCGGCTGCTTCCAGCTCTCCACGACAGACATAGGTGCACTCCTGGCCAGCTGCAGGATGTGTGAAAGGAAACGTGCTCCCTGGGGAGTGCGAGACTCACAGATGGTGCGGGGCTGCCCACCCACCGTGCCGTCCGCTGCTGGATTCACAGTGTCAGAAGCACTGCTGGCCCCGGCTGACCCTGCGCCCTCAGCCTTCCACTCAGCACACTGTGTGCATAAGCCCCAGTGCTGGGGCAGGGCCAGAGAGAGCTCTGTGACCGACAAGCATCTGCTCTCCCTGTTTCAGGGTTGAAGGGCCTTTGACCACCAGCAAGTCCAGCTGGTGAGAGGTCAAGAGCACATGTGAAGCCCCCAACCCCCTTCAGGGGAGCCGACACTCTGCCTCTGCCACCCCCATCTCACCCCTGTGACATGGGATGTGGAGATGACTGGCAGAGCCCCATCCTGGGCTTGGAGGAGAAGGGGCTGAAAGTGGGGGCCAGGTCCACAGGGCCTGGTTCTGCAAGTATCAGATGTTCATCTCAGACCCTTACTTGAGGGAGAAGCAGGCCATCAGCAGGGCTGTCATTCTTTGGGGGTGGCTGTTGGTGATGATGTCTTTACGCTGAGCCAAGCCTCCTCCCACTGACCCACGTCTTCCAAGAAATGCTGAGGTGGGGAATTTATGGCTTCACCCAACCCCCAGAGCCACGCACAGTCGTGACGTCCCTGGCACTGACAATGGCTGGCTAACTCTTGTCTGGAACGGTCACAGCCATGGAGGAGAGTCCCAGCCCCAGCCCGGCAGAGGAAGTGTCCCCACGTGAGCTCACAGGGCGGTGCAACTGTCCTCACATTGCACATTATGTCACTGCCTCTATGGCTCCTCTCACCAGGCTGCTGACCTGACTCTGTATCTGCCCCTCTCCTCCCGACAGGGGGCTCCCTGGATGGCTGCGGAAGGGGTGCAAAAGGGGGCCCGGGGCTGCCTGCTCCTGGAATGCTCCCACCCATCTGCCCTTCAGAGCTGTCCCCCCATTGTCCAGGCTCCAGGTGCGGAGGACACCGGAGCAGTCTCCAAACCACAATGTCTCCTCGCCGTGGATCACCTGACTCCCCTCCTCCAGGCCAGCACACAAGGACAGAGACTGGCCACACCCAGGGCTGGAGATCTTCACAGGACTCGCCCCTGCCCTCAATGGGCTCCGTCCTCCCTGCCTTAGAGACAAACCAGGGAAGACACTGACCAGGAAAGGAACACTGATTAGGGGGGACACTGACCAGGGAGGCCACTGACTAAAGAGGGAGCAGTGACCAGGGAGGGAGCACTGACCAGGGAGGAGCATTGACGAGGGAGGACACTGACCAGGGAGGACACTGACTAGAGAGGGAGCACTCACCAGGGAGGACACTGACCAGGGAGGGAGCGCTGACCAGGGAGGGAGCATTGACCAGGGAGGACACTGACCAGGGAGGGAGCACTCACCAGGGAGGACACTGGCCAGGGAGGGAGCATTGACCAGGGAGGGAGCACTGACCAGGGAGGACACTGACCAGGGAGGACACTGACCAGGGAGGGAGCACTCACCAGGGAGGACACTGCCCAGGGAGGACACTGACCAGGGAGGACACTGACCAGGGAGGGAGCACTGACCAGGGAGGACACTGCCCAGGGAGGGGGCACTGACCAGGGAGGGAGCACTCACCAGGGAGGACACTGCCCAGGGAGGGGGCACTGACCAGGGAGGACACTGACCAGGGAGGGAGCACTGACCAGGGAGGACACTGCCCAGGGAGGGGGCACTGACCAGGGAGGACACTGACCAGGGAGGGAGCACTCACCAGGGAGGACACTGGCCAGGGAGGGGGCACTGATCAGGGAGGGAGCATTGACCAGGGAGGGGGCACTGACCAGGGAGGACACTGACCAGGGAGGGAGCGCTGACCAGGGAGGACACTGACCAGGGAGAGAGGACACTGACCAGGGAGGGAGCGCTGACCAGGGAGGACCCTGACCAGGGAGGACACTGACCAGGGAGGAGCACTGACCAGGGAGGACACTGACCAGGGAGGGAGCACTGACCAGGGAGGACACTGACCAGGGAGGGAGCACTGACCAGGGAGGGAGCATTGACCAGGGAGGGAGCACTGACCAGGAGGACACTGACCAGGGAGGAGCACTGACCAGGGAGGACACTGACCAGGGAGGGAGCACTGACCAGGGAGGGAGCATTGACCAGGAAGGACACTGACCAGGGAGGACACCGAGCAGAGAGGGAGCACTGACCAGGGAGGACACTGACCTGGGAGGGAGCATTGACCAGGGAGGACGCTGACCGGGAAGGACACTGACCTGGGAGAAGTGCTGACCAGGGAGGACACTGACCAGGGAGGACACTCACCAGGGAGGACACTGAGCAAGGAGGGAGCACTCCCCAGGGAGGACACTGACCAGGGAGGGAGCACCAACCAGGGCGGGAGCACCACCAGGAAGGATATGGACAAGGCAGGGAGCACTGACCAGGAAGGATATGGACAAGGCAGGGAGCACTGACCAGGACGGGCGCTATCACCTTGGTCACATCTCAGCCTGTGCCCGCCCTGAGGACCGCAGGGCAGCTCCCTCGCTGGCCGCCTGGTGCCGGCAGCTGTGGTGCTTTGTCCCCCAAGGAGAAAGCATGATCTTCGGAATGAGACTCAACTCTAATCCCAACTCCGCTGTGGATTTGGGCAGCATGGTGACTTCCCTGAGCCTCAGTTTCCCCAACTGTAAATCCCCACATCCCTCTCAGCTGTTGTAAGAAGGAACCCGGTGGGCATGGGCGTGATCCAGGTACAGCCGTGTGCTGAGCGAGGCTGGCCTGTGGGCCGGATGTGCCCGGGCAGGGAGGCGGGGGTGGGGGGGGGTCCCTGTACAGCACTGCCCTGCCGCAGCTCCCGGGCGTGCGCTGACAGAGGCTGCCCCGCTCTTCTCCTCCTGGAGCCCCTTGTGAACAGAGTTTCAGGATCCTCCTGTCGCCCTCCCTGCCTGGGGCTGATGCCCAGAGACCAACATGATGGCACCAGGTTTCGGGAGAAGACGAGATCCCTGCCTCCCGAACACTGTCCCGCCTACGGCGTCCACATGAAGCAGTGCTGGACGGAGGGCTCAGCCCACATGACGGCCGCGACCTGGAGACCCACAGGTCCTGCGGGCTGCCCTGGGGACTGGGGGACGAGGGCCAGGCTCATCCACGCTCTCCCGGATTTCGGCATGCCCAATGCGCCCGCGGGTGGTGTGGGAGGCGTGTGCCTGCCTGGAGGCCCCCTGGACAGCAGCCATTCGCATTCGGATCCGCTCCTGGCGCTGCAACACCACTGCGTGGCACACGCCGCAGAAACCCACCGGCACGCGCACCACGGCCTGCGGAGAAGGCGCTCCCGAGCACCACGCACGAGGAACAAGAGGGCGAAGCCTGAACATCGGTAACAGAGCGGCCCCGCAGGGACCAGCCACACGAACCGCGGCGCAGCCACGCGGTGGAATACGGCGCGAGGCGGGCGTGCTCTTCGGGTTTCGGTTTCATTTTTGTCCTTTAATGAAGTAGCTCTGTGTGCTGGAAGGAAGTCTCCCAGAGCGCCGCTGCGGCTCAGAACCACACTGGCAGCGTGATGCCGTCGTGTGTGTGTAAAAAGAAACTCGCACACCCAGAGCTTTCCAATGGGTGCAAATCTAAACACGAGGGGAAATCTGGAAGGACAGCCGTGGGAGGGAGGGCAGCGGGGTTCTCAGGGGAGGGGAAGATAAACCAGGCCTGGGAATCGTGGTGAAAAGGACACTGCCAGCATTTGGAATGTTTCAGGTTCTTAATGGAGATGTAATTATGTTTACAGAATTACAAATAAATATTTTCAGAGGGCCACTTTTAAAAGAAAAAGGGTGCAGAGCCAGTCCTCTGAGACCAGGAGCTGCGAGTCTCTTGTGACCCCACCCAGGACCGGTCCCCTCAGCCCCCTGTGCTTCTGCCTCTCCTGTCAAGGGGGGAACTCGTGGGTGGACGGGTTCCTGGGAGCCGGACAGCAACACGCGCGGACCCAGCTCTGCAGACACAGCGTGGCCTCCTCGGCCCCGATGCTTTTGTGCACACAGGACACAAGGGCACCCATGTGAGGACGGCCGCTTCATCCTTCTAACAAGACTCAGCGATCATTAAATGGTCCTAACACCACTTCCCACATAGCTAGGACTTCACAGCTGCCAGTGAGAAAGCGATGCTTTATCAGAACCTGTTCTAAGTCCCCACAGAGGTGTGTAGAGATTCAGTTCACTCTATGGAAACCCAATTAGAACCTCTATTTCTTGTTGATGGAGTTCCTACACGGTGTGAGGCCTGAAGTTAACACCCAGTCTTCCCTGCTGTCTTGACGCCTGGTAGAACCAGGGAACCTCTAGTGGCCCGGCCAAATGCTTCCCTCCCAACTCTGCTCCTCAGAATAAGGTCCCCAAAAGACCCCCCTCCTCATGGGGAACAGGTGCACTTCCCACTCATCCCAGGGTGGTGGGTTTCAGTCCCACCCACCTGCAGAATTATCCAAGAAGCCACTCACATCCTCCCGAGGGAACCAGGGCGCCCCGCCCTCCAGTCACTATGCCCTCCGGTCACTACGAGCCTGCTCCCCAGCCGCACGAGCCCGTTCCCCAGCCCTGCGGGTGCACTCTGCCCCACGTGCATCCCCGTGTGGCCCTGTGTGCGTGCGCAGGGCCCTCCATCCCGGGACCCGAGCTTTGGCGTCTTCCTCTGTCCAGTGCTGGGCACCCCATGGCCCTCAGGCAGCACTGCCTCCCTCACCAAAGGGTGTAGAGAAGGAGAGCCAGCCTCCTGCCCACACGCAGCCTGCAGGGGAGAGGCCTGCATGGTGTCTGCAAGGACAAAGCCGTGCGTTCCACACGCCCACAGCCAAGTCATGTTTTGCCAGGGCAGTGAGCGTGGCTGCTGGAGGAGCCCAGAGCTGGTATGCACCCAAAGGGATGGTTTTCACCCCTGTCAGTCCAGGGGCCCAAAGATGCGGTTCCTACTCCCGTTTCCAGTGCTTAGTGGCAGGTCTGGACTCACAGGACCTCCACAAGTCTCAGTTTCCTCATCTGCAGAAAGGTAGTAAGGCCTCTCCCCAGCTCTTCACCAGAGCTGTGGGAGGAAGCAATGAACCCGGACAGGAGGCCATCTGAGAAAATGCACGGCATGCTCAGCCCCGGGCCGGGCTGCTCCAGGGTGCACAGGACCCTGGCCTGTCTCGCTCCCAACCCCACCCTGCACTTTGCTCTTTGCTCAGCTTTGGGTTGATGTACTTGAGGCCTGCAGGCTCCCAGCTGAAAGCAGGGGCAACAACTCACCTGCCCACAGGGGCCAGGCTGGGCCCTGCCCAGGAGGGCACAGGTTGGCAGGGCCGCAGGGCGGGGAGGGCCGCAGCCTCGCATGGGCAGACACTCAGCTGCGGACAATCCGACAGTTACCACTGGGGAATGCGCCCAGCTGTGCCCGCAGGCCCTAGTGCAGATTTCATGTGAAATCAACCAATTCGTAACTGTTGCCAGCTAAATCAAATTATTCTGCTGGCCTAAAGCCATCAATTTCAAACTCTGGCTCGAATGCTGCTCCCACACGCTCAGGAGGAACAGCCTTTGTGTTGCAGACGCCATGCCGGGGTTGGAGGTCGGCGTCCCCCTCCTGGCTCACCTGGGCTGCGACAGACAGAGCCGCAGCGCCTGTGACCCCACCGGGACCGAACACGGAGCTGGGAGAAGCCAGCAGCAAGGCTGCTACCTGGTGGGAGTTTCCTTTAGAAACCAAACATCTGAGCTGGGAGAGTGACGAGTCCTCAAGGTTTTCAAGTGGAGGACGTATAGACATGAAGTCAGGAGCGGTGTCTGCTGGATTTTCTTTAACTCACATGTAATTTCTTATGTCTACTTCATTCATTCATTCAACAAATATTTACTGTGTACCATGAGGCTGTTTCTGGAACATTCCTCTTGGCTCATCAGTGTCGGGGCAGCAAGAACGCGGCTCAGGGGGCTGGGGGTAGCGCTGGGCAGGCTCCGGAACCTGAGGCTCACTGGGGAGTGGGAGGCTTGTCGGGATGATGCCAACCAAGGGCTCTGGGAGGTCCAGGATGTGGCCCCATGGAAGGGCTGGGTTTGGCCTGTTCAGCACTTAAGCTGTTTTGAATCACTTGCTAACATTTTAAAAATTGGGACAGTTCATAACTTTACCAAAAAAATCTGGATCATCAGTTCTGTAAAAAAATATCCCTGTGGGCAAGTGGCAGCTGGGGCGCAGTGGCCCCCTTTCCTCACCTGCTGGGCAACTGCCCCGTGCAGGGGCCTGGGGCGCAGCCGATAATAAAATGTCCAAGGACACATGGTGCCTTCTCCTCGGGGACTCGGATAACAAACCCGACTGCGAAGGAACCCTAGGTCATCGGCGCCTTCTCCTCGCAGGGGGACTCGGATAACAAACCCGACTGCAAAGGAACCCTAGGTCATGTCAATGTCAGCAGTGGCATCTAGAAAAATAACCCAGGAAAGGAGGACCGTGGGGAGGGAATGTGACGTGGGCAAAGACCCCAGAAGAGGGAGAATGTGCTTCCCAGGCGGGTGCAGGCAGAGGCGCCAGGCAGGGGGAGGCTGCGGCAACAGCGTGCAGTGTGTTCCCCGGGAACTGCTCCCTGATTCATGCATGACATGTCCACTCTGGCACCTGGTGTCCCTGAGTGGATGGCCAAGCCCCTGGGTCTCTGCAGAGCCTCATTAAGCTGCACACCTTCCTCTCCAGCTATAACTGGATGTTTGCTTTCCTGTTTCTTTGATTCTGAATACATGCTGTCCTGGCCACCACAGTCTCCGTCTCCCTGCGGAGGTCACAAAGTGGTCTCGGTCTCGGTCTCCCTGCCAAGGTCACTAGTTATACCCTCAAGGGTGGGGTGGGAGGCAAAAGCCGCTTCAGGTGGCTGGGTCAGCTCCCCATCGAGGCTTTCCACTGGACAGGGAAAGGGCGGACCTCTGCCCTGTCCACACCTGCTCTTCTTCTCCCCAGACAACTTCCTCCTTCCAGGGCTGGTATCCTCTGCAGCTCCTTTGCACCCACATCCCCCACCCACACCCTCCGGCTCCACAAGATCATCCAAGAACCAGGCCCTGGAGGATCCTTCTGGGTGCCTCCCCACATTCTCTGCGCCAGTGGCCAGCACCAAGACCCCCGATTTTCTGTGCTCAGTGAAGTCCCTGCTACCCTTTCCTGGTAAGAGCATCGAAACATTCACCCCAGGACAAGTGAGGGCATCAGAGAAATGGTGGCATCATCACCACAGGTCACAACTCAGATGTCCCCAGGGACCATCCAGGTGGGGATGATGGCAAACTCCGGGGGGGCCACCATTCAGCCCCACTGTCCTGCCACACAGCAGGTCAGACCTGCACCGCGAGAAGTTCAGGTTTCAGGAAGAAGCTAGCAATTCTGATGCTAAGGTAAGAATCGTCTGATGTAAATATTGGCCACTGTCTTGAAACTGAAACAGTGTTTGGGTCACCTGCAGGCTGAGTGGTGCAAAGACCACTGCCCGGCAGGCTCCGGTCCAAGAGCGAGCAAGCCTGCCGTTTCCCAAATGACTGTCGCATGCGATCTGGCAGCCAGCAGCCCCTGAGGCTGGCACACACAAGGTTGTTCTATCCCTGTCTTACAGATAACAAGGCAGCTCTGGAGGGCGGGTGGTTTACCCCAAAATCACAGTTCACCTAGGTGTGCACCTGGGGCTGTTTCTGAGCTGCCCGGCCCAGGCCTCTATTAGTTCCCTGCCCTGGCTCAAGGGGCAGGCTGCCCACGGTGGTGCTCACAGGACGATCCTAGGTCCCTGCAAGTATGAGAAGCGTGTGAGTATTTTGTTTAATAGTTAAGTATATAATGCATTTTTAAAAGGGTGTACCAAACACATGATTTTATGGAGATTACTGCTTAAGACTTTGCCCTTAAGAAATAATATACATTTACTTTAATGTATAAACATATGTAACCACACATCAAAACCATGATTCACCCTGTGTTCTTTTTAATAAGAGAATGTCAGCTCCTTCTGAATAAGGAGAAGAAGGGGAGGATGAAGAGCAGGAGGGAGAGGAGGAAGCCACTGACTTCTCCGCACCAGTTGCACGTCTGGTTGACAAAACACCTCAAATCCCTGTCCTGTTAATGACAAACCCCATTCATCTCCTCCAGACTCCTGGGAAAAAGCATCAGAGATACAATAAAGCGGCCCCTGGGAGCAGGAGCCAGTTCATGGGTCTCAAACTCAGGCTCCTACAGGGGCCGGGAAGGTCATGCCTGAGGGTGCCGCTGGTGGGGTGGGGCTCTGGAAACAGAGCAGCCAGGTCCCTCTGTGGCCCTTGGTGTCTGTTTTGTTCATAAAACAGGGACAGAATGATCCTATCTGCGCCGGCCTCAGGGACCGCCGGCAGGGCCACCAGCACAGCTGGCCGGCAGCACCTTCTCAGATCCTCTATTTGCCAAGGGAACATAGAACTCCAGGTTTTTATGTGGCATCTCCCAGCTTTGAAATGTCTGCAAGTAATTCATTATTTTAAAGCAGAAAGCCCTGTTTGGGCCCAGCTGAGTCTGGGCCCTTTCCCAGCGTGAGCCTGGGCTTAGCGGCAGGGGCGTGGACCAGCCACCCTCCTCCAGGGAGTGCCACCCCAGCCAAGGCGCCCCAGGGTTGGGTTCGGGTGGGTGCGCCCCATGTTTGAAACGGCAAAGCACTCAGAGAGGAAAGCCTTCAACAAACAAGTGACCCCCTCAGAGTCCACACAGCCAGCCTCCAGGACCAGATGTTCAGAGCTGTCCCTTGTCAGAGCTCCCTGCAGGGAACAGGACTCATTTGTCTTTGAACAATCTTTCCATCTCAGGCACGGCCATCGTGAACTCTGTGTGACTTTTTCACAACTTTCTGAATAATGACCGAAGATGGTCTAGACCGGGAAATCTATTTTTATGGAAACCCTCCTCTCAGGCTGAGCTGGCTTTTCCCCCATTTCCCCGGCGTTGAAAGGGTCACCCCGTGAGGGTCCTGGTGGGACTGGGGGCTGAGCTGGAGCCTGCAGGGGCCAGGAGCACAGGGCTCTCCGCACCGTCCCGGCTCAGCGGGCAGTGGCTGGAGGAGCACAGGGCTCTCCGCACCGTCCCGGCTCAGTGGGCAGTGGCTGGAGGAGCACAGGACTCTCCGCACCGTCCCGGCTCAGCGGGCAGTGGCCTGGAGGAGCACAGGCTCCATGCGTTCCTGCTCCGCACACAGCTCGGGGCCTTCGACAGAGGACTAGACTCAGCAGTTTCCTGGCCTCTCCCGCAGGCAGTTCCCTCTGAGCTTGGCCTGGAGAGGCTCTGGGGAGATGACCATAGGCTTCCTCCTCCCTAGGGGGACAGCCTTGCTCCCTCCTCCACTCGAGGCCGTAACCACCCTGCTCCATCTGCCCCAGGTGTCGGCCTGCGACCTAGTCTTTTCCCTTTTATGTTTTGCAATTATTTAAAAATCAGAAGTTTCAGGCAAACAGTTCTTCTGGGAAAATCAGCAGGTTGGGGGACAGGACGGGTCTAGGGGACCCATCACATCAGGTTTGCTTCTGACCCTGATGTCAAAGGTCAGCCTACCTGTCACTGCCGTCCCCCTCACCTGCACCCCGGCTGTGCTCTCGTGGCAGAGTCAGAGGCAGGTTGCCCCTCCATCACCTCTGCCTCCAGCCATGAGGAAACAGCCCGTGCTGATGAGTGTCCACCTACCCCACACTGTGGGCCACTCCAGTGGCTGAGCCCCAGGGGCATTTCCACTTGCCATGTCTGCCCCCCGACTGTAGTATCGGCCCCTCTGTTGTCTGGCCCCAGTCACAGAGAAGAAAGATGCTCTCAGCTGGATGGGCCTGGGTGGGAATAAGCAGGGCTCGTTCCCTTGTGGGAGGAGTGTCGGCTCTGCGATACCAAACCAGAGTGGATGCCTAACAACCCGGAGGTGGCAGGCAGGCGAGATGCAGGTTTGAAGGTTGAGAGGAATTCTAACACATGGCTGCCCTGCGCCATCTGCCACCTGCCCTGGCTCAGCGCACAGGCCCTCCCGGCACTGTGGAGACACTGGGCTATGTGGATGGGGGAAGTCCAGGGCTTCCAGACTGCTGGGTCATCTGAACCCCTCCACAGGGGCCTGGTGATGGTCCCCACACGTCTCAACAGTTAGAGCAAAAATCAGCAGAAAGGGGCCAAACCCCCAAATGATGCAGTGAGTGAGACCCAGTGTAGTGAGTAAGACCCAGTGCAGTGAGAACTGGTGTAGTGAGTGAGACCCGGTGCAGTGAGTGAGGCCTGGTGTAGTGAGTGAGGCTCCATGCAGTGAGTGAGACCCCAGTGCAGTGAGTAAGACCCAGTGCAGTGAGTGGGGCCCGGTGCAGTGAGTGAGGCCCCATGCAGTGAGTAAGATCCTGGTGCAGTGAGACCCGGTGTGGTGAGTGAGGCTCAGTGCGGTGAGTAAGATCCTGGTGCAGTGAGTGAGACCCGGTGCAGTGAGTGAGGCCCCATGCAGTGAGTAAGATCCTGGTGCAGTGAGTGAGACCCGGTGCAGTGAGTGCGGCCCCATGCAGTAAGATCCTGGTGCAGTGAGTGAGACCCAGTGCAGTGACTGAGACCTGGTGTAGTGAGTGAGACCCAGTGCAATGAGTAAGACCCAGTGCAGTGAGTGAGACCCGGTGCAGTGAGTGAGGCCCCATGCAGTGAGTAAGATCCTGGTGCAGTGAGTGAGACCCGGTGCAGTGAGTGCGGCCCCATGCAGTAAGATCCTGGTGCAGTGAGTGAGACCCAGTGCAGTGACTGAGACCTGGTGTAGTGAGTGAGACCCAGTGCAATGAGTAAGACCCAGTGCAGTGAGTGAGGCCCGGTGCAGTGAGTGAGGCCCCATGCAGTGAGTAAGATCCTGGTGCAGTGAGACCCAGTGCAGTGACTGAGACCTGGTGTAGTGAGTGAGACCCCAGTGCAGTGAGTAAGACCCAGTGCAGTGAGTGAGGCCCGGTGCAGTGAGTGAGGCCCCATGCAGTGAGTAAGATCCTGGTGCAGTGAGTGAGACCCAGTGCAGTGACTGAGACCTGGTGTAGTGAGTGAGGCTCAGTGCAGTGAGTGAGACCCAGTGCAGTGAGTGAGACCTGGTGTAGTGAGTGAGGCCCCATGCAGTAAGGCCTGGGACAGTGAGTGAGGCCCGGTGCCGTGAGTGAGGCCCGGTGCAGTGAGTGAGGCCCGGTGCCGTGAGTGAGGCCCAGTGCAGTGAGTGAGACCCGGTGCAGTGAGTGAGACCCGGTGCAGTGAGTGAGGCCCCATGCAGTGAGTAAGATCCTGGTGCAGTGAGTGAGACCCGGTGCAGTGAGTGAGGCTCCATGCAGTGAGTAAGATTCTGTTGCTGTGAGTGAGACCCAGTGCAGTGACTGAGACCTGGTGTAGTGAGTGAGGCTCAGTGCAGTGAGTAAGACCCAGTGCAGTGAGTGAAACCTGGTGTAGTGAGTGAGGCCCCATGCAGTAAGGCCTGGGGCAGTGAGTGAGACCCGGGGCAGTGAGTGAGACCCAGTGCCGTGAGTGAGGCCCGGTGCAGTGAGTGAGGCCCGGTGCAGTGAGTGAGGCCCCATGCAGTGAGTGAGGCCCGGTGCGGTGAGTGAGGCCCGGTGCAGTGAGTGAGGCCCGGTGTACTGAGTGAGGCCCCGTGCAGTGAGTGAGGCCCCGTGCAGTGAGTGAGGCCTGGTGCGGTGAGTGAGGCCCGGTGCAGTGAGTGAGACCTGGTGTAGTGAGTGAGGCCCCATGCAGTGAGTGAGGCCCAGTGTAGCAAGTGAGGCCTGGTGCAGTGAGTGAGGCCCGGTGCAGTGAGTGAGACCTGGTGTAGTGAGTGAGGCCCCATGCAGTGAGTAAGGCCTGGGGCAGTGAGTGAGACCTGGAGCAGTAAGACCTGATGCAATAAGACCCTGGTGCAGTGAGTAAGACCCAGTGCAGTGAGTGAGGCCCCATGCAGTGAGTAAGGCCTGGGGCAGTGAGTGAGACCTAGTGCAGTAAGACCCGGTGCAGTGAGTGAGGCCCAGTGCAGTGAGTGAGACCCAGTGCAGTGAGTGAGACTCACTGCAGTGAGTAAGGCCTGATGCAGTAAGACCCGGTGCAGTGGTTAAGACCCCGCCTCCCGTGAATGAGACCCCCTCCAGTGAGTACAACCCCCTCCAGTGAGTAAGACTCGCTGCAAGGCTGAACCCTGCTGTCCCCATGCCTCTCCAGGGGCCTGATATAAAGGGGCCAGGAACAGGAGCAGCCTCACCAAAGTTAATTTCTTTTTATTTTTAAACCCAAATAAGCTTTGTTGTTTTTAAAGCAGGTAAACAAAAAGGAGACCAGGAGAACCTTAGTAGTGGTATAATGTGACTCGGTTTTGGCTTGGGTGTGAATCAATCTCCAAGCAATCATCTTGCCTTTTATAGATATAGTGAAAATAATTAACTAGGAGAATAACATTTTTATCTACATTATAATTTCCACTTATAAAACGTTCATGTCTGTGTGCATAAGGCATAACAGGTCTATATCTAGGAAAATGGATCCATTTTTCTCCTTTTGATTTGGCTCCTATTAACATTGTTATAATACAGTTTCTTCGATAAATAATAACAACATCATACTATGTCAGTGATTGACTGCTGCCCTGTTTCTATTTTCAAACAGACAACCAGACATCATGTGTGGGGGCAGCTGCTAACACCCCATCATCAGTTAAGCACAGAGAAGCTGTGTCTCGGCTCAGTGGATTTCCTTCTTGAGGCATAAAATGCAGAGGCGGTCTGAAGGTGCAGACTGCAGTCTCAATTTATTCTACGTAGAAAACAGACGCTACTGAAGTCGCACTTGCAGTCAGAACTCCGGGCCCCTCGGGGCGTGACTGCCCAGCTGTGTCACCCGGAGCAGCTCATGCTGCTTCTAAGCTCAGCTTCCTTGTTGGCAAAGGGCCCTACTGTGTGGCACACGCCGTGCACGTCAGGACAAGCACAACGCATGGCGCACACCACCTGCTGGGAGAGGCAATTGTGCACTCTACAGCCACAGGGACAGGACACAGCGCGGTGAGCCCACCCGGTCCAGGAGCGCTGGGAAAGGGCCCCAGGAGAGGCAGCAGAGCTGAGACAGGACGACGACCAGGAGCGACCAGGAAGGGGAGGAGGAGAGTGCTCTGGGCAGAGGGGACAGCGTGTACAAAGGCCCGGAGGTGAGGGCACGGACAGAGGAGGAGAGAGGTTCAAGATGAGGCTGGGCTGACCACACAGGGCTGTGAGTCACAGGTCAGGGTCTGTCTTCACTCTGAGTGACAGGGGCCCAGAAGACTCCACAGCAGAGGAGGGAGTGACCAGATTTGCTTCTTTAAAAGGCACTCGTCCTGCTGTGGAGGGGAGGGCTGAAGGGGGCGGAGGAGCAGCTGTAGGCGTGGGGCACCAGTGAGGAGGTCCTGCAGGCCCCAGGCAAGAGCGGCCCTGTGTTCAGGTGGAGGCTAAGGAGCGGGAGCCGGTGCAGTGACATTTCCAAGGTGACGTGACCAGGTTGGTGAAGGAGAGAGCCTCAGGTAGAGCCACCTTCTCCAGAGCTGGGGGACACATGGCAAGCCCACCCTGCCCAGCGAGGGGCCACCACCGTGTCCTAGCCTCAGTCATTCAACAAACATGTTTATGGAGACCCTGTCATATGCCAGGTTCTGTTCTAGACTCAGGAAATAGCAATAAACATGACAGCCTCTCTCTTCCCCAACTCCCTCTCTCTCCTGCTCTTCTCTCTCTCTGTCCCTCTCTCTGCCTCCCTCCCTTCCTTCCTCCACCCCATGGAGTTTACTTTCTAGTGAAGGAGACAAAGAAGAAAGAATAAGCAAACACACAAGTAAGACAGTGCCGCCTTCCAGGAAAGAAAAGGAGCCAGCTGATGTGGCGAGTGGCTGGCGAGGCTGGGCTGGGCAGTGGAGGACAGTCAGGTCGGCAGTGGCGACTCTGGGAAGGTGTCAACCATGCGGGGACCCGGGGGAAGAGCATTCCATTCAAAAGGACAGGCGTGCAAAGGCCCTGGGGTGGGAATGCACTTGATGTGGCGCAGAGCAAGGCAGACGCATGGCGGGAGCGGAGTGGAATGGGCGGGGAGTGGCCCAGAGTGCGGCAGGGTGGGCAGGGGAAGAAGGGCGTGTAGATCTTACTTGAAATGCAGAGGAAGCCCCGAGAGGGTTCGAGCACAGGGTGACACCACCTGACGGCCACGTCGAATATTACTCTGGCTGCTGTGTGCAGCTGGGGGCGGCTGGGAGGCTGGCGCTGGCCTCCGGGGTAGACAGTGAAACCAGGGGCAAGGCTGGTGATGGTGACGATGGGTACCGGTGGAAATCGGACGTGAGCTGCAGGTGGAGCCGGCATCCCCCGGGGAGGACTGGCAGAGGGTGGAGCTCTGTCCTGCCAGGAGTGCCGTGAAAATGCACAGACGCTCACACCTAGATCCTGCAGATACCACGTGTCCCCAGCCTTCACCCACGCGGCTCAGGGAAGCTGCTTCCCCCTAGCAGACGCAGCAGCCGTGGAAATGACCACAGAGGACACACGGCTGTGCAGCCCTGGTTGGGCACCTGCTCCAGGGACCTGGCAACCACCACATCCCGTGCCCCTGCAAGCCCCTGTGGCCACCCAGGCCCACGGCCTGCCCCTCCAGGGCCGGCTCCAGTCCACTCCACCGGGACCCAGGCCTGTCAGCCAAGGCAAGAGGGACACACACTCCCGTCTTCACTGAGAACCTGCCTGGCTGCCTCCGTCACTGCACACCTGCGCAACCCAGCCCAGCAGAGGACAAGAATTCCCTGCGTTCAGGGGGCTCCGAAAAGACATAAGGAACCCAACCCTGCATGCCACGCTCTGAGCGGGAAGGAAGGCCGCATGTGGACGCCTGTCCTGCTCACTGTGCCTCCAGGGCTCTGACGGTGCTGAGCACAGATGTGGTGCTTGGGCAGTGCTTGTGGGGTGCATGATGGAAGGGCACCCTGGCCCCAGCAATGACCAGCTCTAGAAACCCCTCCGGCCTGGAAGTCCTTCCTTCCCACCCCACCCCAGCCCCTGCCACACAAAAACAAGACAATCCCATCTGGACACAGCTACAGGGGACCCACCCAACGGCCCTGCCCGCACAAAAAAAGAGCTCGGGCAGGGCCAGCCTGGTCTGCACACGGAGGGTGGGCATGCAGGAGACCCAGGGCACTGCCTGGCACGAGCCATGAATGTCCTGGAGGGCAGGGCGGGGCTCGTCGCGCGCCATTTAGCTCGGGAGGAGAGGAAGCTGCAAATGAAGTGGTCTCTGTGACGGGGTGGCGATTTCTCTAATAAGCGTCACCTCTGTGACGGGGTGGCGATTTCTCTAATAAGCGTCACCTCTGTGACGGGGTGGCGATTTCTCTAATAAGCGTCACCTCTGTGACGGGGTGGCGATTTCTCTAATAAGCGTCACCTCTGTGACGGGGTGGCGATTTCTCTAATAAGCGTCACCTCTGTGACGGGGTGGCGATTTCTCTAATAAGCGTCACCTCTGTGACGGGGTGGCGATTTCTCTAATAAGCGTCACCTCTGTGACGGGGTGGCGATTTCTCTAATAAACGTCATCTCTGTGATGGGGTGGCGATTTCTCTAATAAATGTCATCTCTGTGACGGGGTGGTGATTTCTCTAATAAGCATAATCGTCACTGCCCCACCATAGGGAGAGGAAGCAGAGGGGCCCTGGAGGAAGCACAGTGAGCAACCACGTGGAGCTGCAGAGCCCTCTCCGCTCACTGCTGTCCTAAGAGGGCAGCCGAGAGTTCGTGTGCAGGTGCTGGCACCCGGGCCTGCAGCAAGAACACTCGGGGAAAAGGCCACACAGCGGTGGGGGACGTGTCAGCGGAGGCATCGCATGTACTTCCAGGGTACCAAAGTGAGTTGTGAAACCTCCTACTACGCTGAATTTTCAAAGCAGGCGTCAGAACCCGTGAGATGATTCGTGCTCGTGGAGGATCTAGGCGGGGTCGCGAGTGGCACAATAAGCTGTGGACCTGTGAGACTGTCTTTGAATAGAGCTGTTTTGTGAGCTCTGCCTCCACCGCCAGGGTGGAGAGGGAACGTCTGCCGCCTACTGAATGCCTGTGTAGCCTAGGAGAGGGCTTCAGTAGAGCCTGGGGGAGCCCTGTGTGCCCCTTGCGGGGGACAGGGTTGGAGCTGGTGCCTGACACTTGGAGAAGGACATTTGGGCTGTGTCTCAGGGCTAAGGGCTGCATTTTGGAAAGCAATGTCACCCCCTCTATCTGTGGGGCACAGCGGCAGGAACCCCAGAGCCAAGGGTGGAGGCTGCGATAGGAGAGAAGTCAGGCTGGTTCATCTGAAGGCCTCCCTTCCGGGGCAGCAGTTCACCAAACAGACACAAATGGCTCCCCAGCTTCCCACAGGGAAGGCAGGTAGGCACCTGGCATGTGCGGGGACGAGGCAATGACACCTCTCAGGGTTTCCGAGTGTTGGCAGAAGTGACCCGGATGTTTGGTATGCAGAGCTGGCCCCTGGGGAGAAGCCAAGTCACTTCCTGAGGTTTTGGGGAGACAAGGTGTTGACACCCAGGCCCAACCCTGGGGGCACAAGAATCAAAGACACAGAGATCCATGGAGGTGGCCCTGGGGGTCCAGTACAATGGGATGGTGGAGAGGGGCCCCAGAACTCCTGCAGCCTCAAGGGGAGGGGCAGGTGGGTGACCTGGTTTAAGACCAGGCCTGAAGGAAGGGTGGGGGGGCCGTGTTTGCTAATCCTGGAACCTTGGGAAAACCACCGACAAACGCAAATCTGAGAAGCTGTGAGCAATGGGTGACTCGTCGACAGAACCGCATGGGTGAGGGACTGCATTTATGTCTCAAGCTGTGTAAATGGTCATCCCAGCAACAGGTCAGAACTCACCCCATTCCAGTCATGCCCCACAGTCTCCCCGAATTCTCCTGCACCTGGGCTCAGACCTGCAAGAGGCTAAGCCAGGCCTAAAGGGATGAAGGCCACCGTCCAGTGTTTGAGCCGCACCAGGGCAGCACGCAGTACCCAAGGCTGCCCCAGACGTGAGTGGGCTCCGCTGTCAGAGCCCCCAACAAATGACATGGCGCAGGAAGGGAGGGTGGGAGGCAGGGAGCAGCTTCGACAGGACCCCCCAAGGCAGCAGAGCTTCCGGCAGTGGAGCTCAGAGTTGAGACCGCCCAGCCCCTGGCTCCCCGGGGCCCAGTGTGGTGAGTTGGGATGAGGTGTTGCCCTTCCTGCGTTCCGGGCTCCCATGTGGCCTGTTCAGAAACCCTGGTGAAAAGAGCGGCCCTCGGTGGGGGCCCTGGCTGTGGGCGAGTGCTCCTCTGGAAGGAGACTCCGACACACTGCACATTGTGACAGAGGTGGCTGTAACCAAGGCGACCCCAGAACAACAGGCTGCAGATGCGGCTCAGTGTCTCTCCTACACAATAGCTGACCTGTGCTCTGCACACCCCGGCGTATTCAAAGCGATGAGCCCTCAGCCGCGGGTTAAAGTACTGGTGTCTTCTGTTCTTTACAGTCTCAGTGTGCCACATTGAGGTGTCACGCGCCACACTCCATGGCATCCACGCTACAGATGCCAAAGGCCACGGGAAAGCGAGTTCGCCATTCTGCTGAGGTGGGCAGGCTACTATTCCCCGGGACGTGGCTGACACCCCTCACCTGCCCCGATGTGCAGCTGAAGAGACCCCTCGTCCGGCCTTGGCCTCAGGGGAGGGACGATGTCCAGCAAGCTTCTGTCTGACCCTGTGTCTGCCACATCAACTGGAGCAGAGACAACTGGATACAGAAAATCCCATTCACCAAGGTGGGTGCCCTCAGGAGGAAGGGCCTGCGCACGCTGCAACGTTGGGGATGCATTCTGAGATCTAGCTGCATTCTCGGAGATAGAGCCACTGCCCCAACAATTTCAGCGGCACAGTCTGGAAGGGCTCCCCACAGATTCTTAATTTACCCTCTGCAGCTGACAAAACACAATCCCCACCCTCCACCAGAGGGGTCCACAACCTAACCCCAGAGCCTGGGAATGTCACCTACGACGGGTCCACAACCTAACCCCAGAGCCTGGGAATGTCACCTACGACGGGTCCACAACCTAACCCCAGAGCCTGGGAATGTCACCATACGACGGGTCCACAACCTAACCCCAGAGCCTGGGAATGTCACCGTATGAAGGGTCCACAACCTAACCCCAGAGCCTGGGAATGTCACCTACGACGGGTCCACAACCTAACCCCAGAGCCTGGAAATGTCACCATAAGAGGGGTCCACATCCTAACCCCAGAGCCTGGGAATGTTACCATAAGAGGGGTCCACAACCTAACCCCAGAGCCTGGGAATGTCACTGAACGAGGGGTCCACAACCTAACCCCAGAGCCTGGGAATGTCACCGAACGAGGGGTCCACAACCTAATCCCAGAGCCTGGGAATGTCACCGAACGAGGGGTCCGCAACCTAATCCCAGAGCCTGGGAATGTCACCGTTAAGAGGGGTCCACAACCTAACCCCAGAGCCTGGGAATGTCACCGAACAAGGGGTCCACAACCTAACCCCAGAGCCTGGGAATGTCACCGAACGAGGGGTCCACAACCTAATCCCAGAGCCTGGGAATGTCACCATACGAGGGGTCCATAACCTAACCCCAGAGCCTGGGAATGTCACCTACGACGGGTCCACAACCTAACCCCAGAGCCTGGGAATGTCACCACATGAGGGGTCCACAACCTAACCCCAGAGCCTGGGAATGTCACCGAACGAGGGGTCCACAACCTAATCCCAGAGCCTGGGAATGTCACCGTACGAGAGTCCCACAACCTAACCCCAGAGCCTGGGAATGTCACTTTACATGGCAAAAGGGACCTTTCTGATGTGGGTAAATTAAACGTCTGGAGGTGGGAGGTGATCCTGGATTAGCCACATGTATCCAGTGTGATCCCAAGGATCTTGACAGAGGGAGGCAGGAGCAGAGGAGGGGGAGGCACAGAGGCTGGGGTCAGGGGAACGGATTCGCACTGCAGGTTCAAGTGTTCATCCGCACTGACTATAATAGTCAATATAAAAATAAGCCTGGTAGATTACAGCAGCAGGCAATGAGTTAACGTTGGAACTACATCGAGAGCTCTCAGAAGTCACTAACAAAACAAACACTCCACTGGAGAAATCAGGAAAGAAGGTGGTTACAACATAAAGAAAAATGCAGATGGCCAGTTCACTTAGGAAGCCTCACCAATAACCAAAGCTACGCAGCTATGAATGACAACCAGGTGTGACTTCCTGTGCATCAGAGTCTGCAATGGCGTGGGAGAGGCGGCACTGCCGAGCCCCACCCATGGCTGGATAAATGGTTACGACCTTTCTGAAGGGCAGTTTCACGACGCGCATCAAATTTTTAAATGCGTCTCACCAAAAATAGCCGAGGCCGCCTGGAATAACAAGCTGGAGGGTTTACACGAGCCGGTCTCAGGCCTTGGCATAGGACGTGGCAGTTGCAATCGTACCGGCATGCAAATGGGATGACGGACAGAGCAGAGTCCAGAAACAGCCACGTCGCCCCTCCCGTGACTGACGGCAAAGGCGGCACCACAGCACTAGGGGAGAGGTTGGTCTTCCCACACGTGGAGCTGGGTAAATTACATATCCGTCTGGGGACAGTGGTCAGTCTCAACCCCTACTGCACTGCAGACACAGAAACAAGCAGAGAAGGACCACAGGCCCAAACACGAAAGTGAAAACAACAAATGTTCCAGGTAACACAGGAAACTACTTTCATGGCCTCGGGTTAGGCAGGATTCCTCCACCAAGACATAAAAGCACTGAATACAGAAGAGCTTGATAAACCGGACTGCACTGACGTTGAAAACTGCTGTCCACCAGCAGACACCATCGAAGTCAAAAGGGAAGACCCCGTGTAAGAGATATTTGCAATACGTATATCAAACAAATGACTCATACTCAAAATACACAAAAACTCCTTAAAAAATCAGTAAGAAAGAAAAGCAAACAGCACAACAGAAAAATGAGCAGAAGTCTTGAGTAGATTTTTTTAAAAGGATATTGATATCCAATAAACATAAAAAGGTCACCAACATCATTCAAGAAAAGCAAATAAAAAACAGAATGAGACAACATTAGCCACCAGAATGGCGGACCTGGAAAAGACGGGCCACACCCAATGCTGGACACTGGGCTTCTCACGCTCTGCCAAGGGGAGAGTGAACCAGTGCCCGCTCTGGAGAAGGCACCGGGCACCAGCTGTTCATGCTGAACATGCCCCTCGACCCAGCGACGCCATCCTGGGCAGATCCCACAAAGAAGGGCACAGTCAGGTTCACCAGCAGAAACGCGCTCACTAGAACATCCGGCAGCTCTGTTCTGCTGGCGTCTGGAAAAGGCATTCCATGGTGCTGGCCGTGTGCTGCTTCTTGACCTGAGGGGTGATTTCTTGGGTATGTTCGCTTTGTAAAAACTGTCATACCATACACACATATACGTGCTTTTCTGCAGGCATGTTATACTCCAATAACACGTTTGCTTTTAAAACATGGCTGGCAGGGGGATGCAGGGTGATGAGAAGTTTGGTCTGAGTAACCCTGAACCCCTAGCTCTAATTTGTTTCTCTGTGACTCTACAATTCTACCTGCTCCCCTCAGTAAATAAACACAGATCTGGATTAAACATCCAAAATAAATTTTAAAATGAGAAAAAAATGTGTAGACATTTAACAGAGCAATTCTACCTCTGAGAATTCATCCTACAGAGATAACCCAGCAAGAACACAGAAGATTCATTACAGCATTGTGAGAATGCAAACCCGAAGCCAGACGCACACCAGCAGGATGACAAACGTAGACTATTAAGCAGCCGTGAGAATGATGATACAGTCTGAGCTACTGGCACGGAAATATAGACATGGTAAATTTAAAAACTGAAGCTGCGAAACGGCACGGATAGCAGAACCCCATTTATATAAAATTGTGTGCACACACACACACACCTAGAGAAGCCCCGAAAGAAGTCACCACAATGTTGACACTGGTCATCTCTGAGGGATGGGATTTCAAACGATGTTTGGCTATGTGTGTGTGCATGTGTGTGCGTGTGTGTGTGTTATTTAAACAGCCTGCAGAGTAGGAATATCCTGGATCTACAGTGCACCAAGGAATGACCATGGGAAGAAAATGAACCTTGCTTCATTCACAATCAACCGTTTTTCCCTCATTCACAGCAAATCCTAGAGAAATAACAGCTGTGTGCCACAATCCCTACGAGAAAGTACCTGCCTCCAAGAGAAGCCACCCGCCTGCTTTCATCTCCCTCAAATATGGTTCTGAATCTGAGAAGCACAGGAAAGTGACTGTGTGTAATAGTCCGCAACTGGAAACAGCCAAATTATGGTTACAAGGACGAGTCAGCGGTGGCCTATTCATATAATGGAATATGGAATAGTGACGAGTAGCATCCAGCCGTGAACACTGCAATATCCCCTGGGAGACTCTCACCTGGGAGTCTCCCGGGTATATTGGCGATGCCTAGAGACGTATCTAGTTGTCAAACCTGGGGAGGGGCTGCTGGCATCAAGTGGGTAGAGGCCAGGGATGCTGCTCCACACCCTCCCTGCAATGCCCAGGCCAGCCCCACAGCCACAGTGCCCCAACACCAATGCATCTCAACACAGCAGAACCAGTTCCCTTGGAAGATTAAGCCCCAGAAACACAAGCCAACTTCAAAAGGCCAAAGTCTGGATTCCACTCTATGCCTGGGAACCTCCTCTGTTCCGGGGTGACATGGACGCTGGAGCTCCACACGGTCAGAAAGCGCTCCGGAGCTCGGCTCCACGCGGTCAGGAAGTGCTCTGGAGCTCACTCCCTTCCAATGCCCTGAGAGATCGGACAGACGATTGCTGACGTCAGTGGCAAAGGGCTGACGTCAGTGGCAAAGGACTCCCGCCCCCCCGCAGACATTAAAATGAGCCCTTTGGGAGAATAAGGGATTCCATCCAGCTCAGAAGGGCAGGAGTAATGAGGCCACCCAGCCCTCTGGAGGGCACCGGGAAAGGCTGGAAGCAGGGTCTGTGCCCTGAGACACAGTCCACTGAGACACAGTCCATGGCCCAGCCACACCCGCGGCTGCCCCGTTTGTCTGTAGAGTGCAGGCTCCCCAGCAGGGGAGAAGCACAGATGACACCTCACTGACCATTCCCACTTGCCCTCTGCAGCCTGAGGGCCCAGACACACTGATGGCACTGGCGCAATTGACATGAACCGGGCACAGTGACACAGTCACGTGTCCCAGGACCTCCGTGGGCTTCCGTGGTGCAGCCCTGGGGCATGTGGAGTGCCCAGCCTCACCCCCAGGCTTTACCAGGTGCCCCCTCAGAGCCTCCAGGATGGGCCTGCAACTCTGTCCCTCACACCCTGGGGAGCTTGCACCCCATTCTGTGCCAGCAAAAGAAGGTATCTCAGGCCAGGCACAGTGGCCCACGCCTGTAATCCCAGCACTTTGGGAGACGGAGGTGGATGGATCACTTGAGGCCAGGAGTTCGAGACCAGCCTGAACAACACGGTGAAACCCTGTCACTACTAAAATTACAAAAATTAGCAGGGAGCATGCCCGTAATCCCAGCTACTCAGGAGGCTGAGGCAGGAGAATTGCTTGAACCCAGGAGGTAGAAGTTGCAGTGAGCCGAGATCGTGCCATTGCACTCCAGCCCGGATGACAGAGCAAGACTCTGTATCAAAAAAAAAAAAAAAGAAAAGAAGGCATCTCAGCCTCGGGCCTCAAGACCTCAGCCCATGTTGGGAGAAAATTCCTGCAGCCTCCATGTCACGGTTCCCTGACAACGATGTGGGGGACAAATGTGTGACTCTCTTCTGAGTTCACCTCCTCCTCACGGCCCGTGACAGAGTGCCGCCAGGGGAAATCTTCCCATCAGACAAATCACTTTAACTTAGAAGAGCAGGCCCCCGCAACATCCTCAGAAATATAAAAGCAACCTTCAAAAGAAAAACCCCAAAACCCTAGAGAACGCTTGGCTAAGACAAGCCTTAATTACCATCCTCTTTCGGTATGATAAAAATTCCTCTCCACCTCTCTTCAAGACAGGATTCCTTATTCAAACACTTTCTTTTTTTAAAAATAACTGCAGTAACCAACCATTAAAACGGGGACTGCATTTTAATCCACGCTTTCTTTTTCTCTGGTTTTCAAACTGGCACCTTTCATACTTCACAGAAGACACAAACATGGCCTTCTACAAAACTTCCATCCACGGCATCAAGCCCCACAGGGCCTGTAATTCACTGGAGCCGGGAGGTGAGAAGTGCCTGCAGAGACGGTTCCCCCAGGCCACCATGCCGTCCCTGCCCTCGGGCCACAGCCAGCAGGCCTCAGGACCAGTGAGAAAATGGCCCGGAGAGCCCTGCCCGAGCTTCTCACACAGACACGCCTGCTGCATTGCTCCCTTCCCATTGCTCCCTTCTCGTGTCTGGGAGGCCTGAATGGTGCCTCAAGGAAAAGGAGTACAGTCTTGCATCACTTAATGACAAGGACACATTGTGAAAATGCATCATTAGGCGATTTCATCGTGCTGTGAACATCACAGAGGGGACTTACACAAAGCTAGACGACGCAGTCCACCACACACCTGGCTGTATGGAGTAGCCTATTGCTCCTAGGCTACAAACTGTGCCCACTACTGTACTGAATGCTGCCAGCGGCTGTAACACAATGGGAAGGATCTGTGCATTGAAATACATCAAAACATAGATGAGGTACAGGGAAAATCTGGTCTTACAGTCTGATGGGACCACTGTGGTATACGCAATCTATCACTGACCGGAACATGACTGAAATGTTTCCAAAACACACAGGATGCTCGGTTGGGTCTGCTGCAGCACCAGCCACACTGGAAACCCTGGTGGCTTTAGGGACCACTAGAAGCCACGCTCGACCTCCCCTCTGCCAGGAAAGCCAGCACACTGAGGAGCTAGCCATCAGGCACCAGCACCAGGCTCCAGCCCTCCATGTGGGCCTCTCTGACCCTGACGTCACAGAGAACCCCAGTGACCCGGCCAGCGGGGCTGCCTGCACCTGCTTCCTGCACAACTCCCCCCAGGCCGCTCTGCCGGGGGCAGGAAAGCACTGTCCCTCAGGGGTGGCTAATTCTAGGCTTTGCCTCTCCCAAAACCATTACTCGGATCATCCAGATGCTAACCCCAGATACATCATTCATCTCTCAGATCCGTTCTGTCTTCATCTGTGGTCGACAGCTCATCAGGTTGAATCTTCAGAAATGACTTAAATCCACACACCAGGGTCAGGAGCAGAAGGCGGCTAGCTGGGGACCATTCTGAGTTGTCTATTTGCAGAGACTGGTCATTTTCTCCCTGCTGTTTGTCACTTCATTGCCCCTCAACACTGCCCGAGGGTCAACATAAGGGGAAGAAGAAGGTCCATCTGCAGGTAAATAGAAACTTTCTGGGTTTCCAGAACAGAGGCTGGACCGCCCACTGCAGGAATATGCAGGTTCACAGGGTCATTTGCTGCAACAAGTTATTTATACAAAATATGGGTAACAACTTAAATGCCCATGAGTAGGAGATGAGCTGAATAAGCCGGCGATGGTTCAGTAAACCCACACAGTGGGGCTCTGCGCAGCTGAGAAGCTGGAAGGCCTCTGCGGATGGGTTTGGAGTGACTTCCAGGATAAACTGAGTACCAAAGAGTTTCTATGGTATACCACCCTTCACAGGAGACAGAAGGGGCTATTTAAAAAGTACATGTATCTGTTCATTTGGCACAAAAGAGATACAAAACACACACACACACGAATGGGACCGGCTTACCTGGGGAAGTGGGTGGGAACAGGGTGCAGGGAATGGAGGATGGAGACAGAGCGGGGGTGCGCCGTGGCTCGGAGGAAGCCTTCAGAACCACACGATGGTTCACATACCCCTCAAATACATCAACACTGAAAATCAACCAACCTGTGGGGGACCCAGAAGAGAGTACCAGTGACAGCAGATGAACTTGACTGTGTTCTAAGTGACACTACAGGAAGGGAGGCAGAAGAAAGGAGCCAGCTATGGAACGCAGAGAAATGGTATCTTAACTACATGGTGTAAGGCTAAAAGCAGAGAGGGTGGGAACAAACACTGTCCCCTCATCAGGACATACGTTTCCCACAAGGGTGTGGGTTAGCAATTCTGAACCTGTGTGTGCAGCACATTTATACAAATAAAATTATTGAGAATAATGAGAGACAGGTTTCCTACTTTGGGAGAAAGAAGAACATACAAGGAAAGGCTAAATGAATCCCACAGTCTTAGACCAGAAACAGGTATCAGAATGCAATCCTAGTTTGCAACACAGACACACATACAGACACACAGAAAAATGCAGGAAGATGCAGGTGCATGCGTGTGCTTCTGAGAGCACACACACACAGATTTCCCGGCTCTGTCCACCGAGAGAGGACTGAGAACAGTGACGCTCCAGCAGAAATGAGCACGCCTGTCCCTAATCCTGCTTTCTAAACGCCATTCTCCAACCAAAGGCACCAGGGCTCCTTAGGGAAAGAGCCGATTCCATGAGCCCAGCATATCTTTAATGCCTGAATGTAAGGAGGGACTCAGAAAATGAGGGAGGCATCAAAGGAGGCAGAAACCAACTGGACAGAGCTCCCGACGGTCACGGCCGCGACAACGGGAGCAACAGAATCCGTAATGATAGAGCCGGACAGCGCCCTGTGGGATGAAATAGTACCCCTGAGTCATAGCAACACCAGCAACTGAATAAATAAATCACGGTTTGTACTTATCACAGAATTCCAATTAATAAATGCAGAAGGAATGGTGGAAATAGAAAGTCATCATTAGGCAAACATTACAGTCAAAATTTTTGCAGGCAAGAGCAATCAAAATGTAGAAATTCATGAAGGAAGATGAGCTGAAGGAAGGTTGTGTAGTTTCACGGTATCTCCCCACCACCAAGATATTTATTCTAGGCAAAGGGGAAAACCATCCCTTTACAGTGGGTTCATCTGGCAGACACCACCTCACTCATGCCATCCACGTGAGCGTTACCGGCAACAATGAGCATTCACATCCCATATTTGCTATGCTGGAGCCGAATTGCTCCCCACTAAAGTCACCTGTTGAAGCCCTAACCCCCAAGACCTCAGAATGTGACAGTGTTTGGAGTCAGGGTCTTTGAAGGGGTGATTAAGATAAAATGAGGTCATTAGAGTAGGCCCTAATCCAACGTGACCAGTATCCTTATAAGAAGAGATCAGGGCCGAGCGCGGTGGCTCATACCTGTAATCCCAGCACTTTGGGAGGCTGAGGCAGAATCGCCTGAGCCCAGGAGTTCAAGACCAGCCTAAGCAACATAGTGAGATCTCATCTCTACAAATAACTGAAAAATGAGCAGGGCATTGTGATGCATGTCTGAGGTCCCAGATTCTCAGGAGGCTGACGCAGGAGGATGGTTTGAGCCCGGCGATCAGGGCTGCAGTGAGCCGTGACTGCACCTCTGCACTCCAGCCTGGGCAAGAGAGAGAGACTCTGTCTCAAAAAAAGAAAAAATGGAAGATCAGGACACAGACACGCACGAGGGACGACCATGTGAGGACATAGGGAGAAGACACTGTCTGCAAGCCGAGGAGAGAGGCCTTGGGAGAAACCAAACCTACCGACACCTTGATCTTGGATTTCCAACCCCTAGAACAACAAGAAAATAAATGTCTCTCGCTTGGTAGCCCACAGGCCGACTCACACAGCCTGATGCTGCGATAAGAAAGGACCATTTCACTTCCCTGGCGTTCTTGTCAAAGACGCACAGCATCGGCCTAATCAGGAGGAAGCATCGGACAGTGACCAGGGATGCTCCACAAAGCACCGGCCGGCCGCCGCGAAGTGTCAAAGTCATGGGAGACAACGGGAAGCTAAGAACCCGTACAGACTGCAGTTGCCTAGGAGACGTGACAACTAAGCGCTCTGTGCCAGCCGAGATGAGACCCCGGGACTGAAAAAAAGCTGCAAGTGAGGAAACTGACACCATTCAAAAAACGTCTGTCGTTAATATCAGTGTCAATTTACTGGTTTCAATCATTGTACTTAAAAATACCACCATCAGGGAAGACGGATGAATGATCTGTATGTCTGTAGACATACAGGGGCATTCTGTACTATTCTTGACATTTTTTTTCTGTAACTTTAAAATCATTTCAGAATAAAAAGCTTAAAACATTGAGGTTGTAAACTGTTGACCTCCTGGCTGAATGCAACCCACACATAGGGTTTCTTTGACAACACTGGAAACAAATTTGAATTAGCTGCCAACAAGACACATCCAGGGATATAATTTAAAGCCCAAATTCTGGGCTGCTCTTCGAAAGTCACAAGCTGTGGTGACGGTGACACCCCAAGGAGGCCAAAACCCAGCCCGAAGGCACCCTGTGTCCAGGGCTGCTCCTCACACTGGCCATCCCGGGCCTGGCCCCTGAGAGCCACACCTAGAGGAGGGCCTAGTTTGAGGAGGTGCCCAGTCCTGAGGACACAGGTCCCCCGCACTGCACAAGGACAGAGCCTGAGGGCTTCTTCACGGTCCAGGGGCCTCGGATAAATGTCCAGGGTTCAGCCTTACCCAGGGCTTCATGTGAGGGCATCCACAGCTCGGGCAACTGCCTCGTTCAGACCTGGCCCATGTCCAGGTGGGCATGGCCAACATTTCAGAGCACTCAGCTTACAGACCTCCTTTTGCCAACAGTGCCTCCGTTTCCCTCCTCAGATCACCAGTGCCCCACTGCGTGTGAGCCTGGGGAACCAAACCTCTTCCCTGACCTCAGCCCTGGGGTGCTATTAGGCATGCATGAGGGGCAGAGCCCTGCCCTGGCCGGAGCTTGGGGTCCTGGCCTGGAACATCTCCCTGAAGCACCCTCTGCCCTGGCCGGAGCTCAGGGTCTTGCCCCTGGAACATCTCCCTCGAGCACCCCCTGCCCTGGATGGAGCTTGGGGTCCTGCCCCTGGAATATCTCCCTCAAGCACCCCCTGCCCTGGATGGAGCTCGGGGTCCTGCCCCTGGAATATCTCCCTCGAGCACCCCCTGCCCTGGATGGAGCTCGCGGTCCTGCCCCTGGAATATCTCCCTCGAGCACCCCCTGCCCTGGACGGAGCTCAGGGTCCTGCCCCTGGAATATCTCTCTCGAGCACCCCCTGCCCTGGACGGAGCTCGGGGTCCTTCCCTGGAACATCTCCCTCGAGCACCCCCTGCCCTGGATGGAGCTCAGGGTCCTGCCCCTGGAATATCTCTCTCGAGCACCCCCTGCCCTGGACGGAGCTCGGGGTCCTTCCCTGGAACATCTCCCTCGAGCACCCCCTGCCCTTGATGGAGCTCAGGGTCCTGCCCCTGGAATATCTCTCTCGAGCACCCCCTGCCCTGGACGGAGCTCGGGGTCCTGCCCCTGGAATATCTCCCTGGAGCACCCCCTGCCCTGGATGGAGCTCGGGGTCCTTCCCTGGAGCATCTCCCTGGAACACCCTCATTACACTCAGTCCCTTCCAGAATTTGTGGTAGCCTGAGCGATGGCCTGGCTTTGGGACTGACTGACATTCAGGTGGAGCTGAGGCCGTCTGATGAGAAAATGTTTGACAACAGCCATCAAACTGGCAGCACTGGGCTCTTTGCAATACGTATTTTTGGTGCTTATTCTAATTCTGAAATTTCCCAAGACTCTGCTTCGCTCATTCCTTGCTCCCTTCTAAGGAAAAAGCTTTCATCTTCATTGACCTGGGAAACTGACATTTCAATGTTGAATTAAAACTTCAGCTTTTGGTTGAACGCAGTGAGCAATTTTGACTGAAGAGAACACTGCAGATTCTGACCGATCGTCGTGTCGAAAACCCCTGGCGTCCCAGGGTGGTGTGTGGGTAGCATCCCTGTCCAGAGCCTCAGTGGAACTGCTGGAAAGGCCTCCTGCGTAGCCCTGGGTGAGGCACCCTGGAGACCCGCTCTGCCCAACAGCATAGCCTGAGCTGCCGAAGGTCTCAGCCCACTGGGTGCCCCTAGAGCCGGGTGGGACAGTGGCCAGAGGTCAGGGTGACCAAGGAGGAGCAGCAGGAGCCGGTCCACCAGAGGCCACTGCTGAGTCGGCCCAAGGTCAGGGTCTGAATCTGGATTATTTGATAGTTTGGGGAGCAAACAATGTTAAAAAGCAAAATCCTGCAGAGGCGTCTGTGCAGGGCTCTGAAGTGTGCACACCCGGGCACAGGCTGGGCCACCACGGCTGTTCTGAACCGGAGGCCTACGAGTCTGTGCCCCGGCCTTGCTGAGACGCTGCCTGTCATGTCCTCAGGCCCCAGCTGGGCTCCTGCCCCCACCTGCAGGACCTCACAGAACCAGAACAACCCGGGAGCCAAAAGCAAAGTCCCTCTCAAACACCTCAGTCTGTCCTGAAAGAAAATGACTGAGCGTACTGAGAAAGGGTGGTGGAAATGAAACGGCTGTGCTTTGAGAAAGAAGTTCCACGAGAATGTCAACACCTCTGCTAACAGAAACGATCCAGGGGTGCCACTAAACAGCGTTAAGCAAAATACATTGATTTGCCCTTTGTGTGTAAAAGGCAAAACCCTCCATATCAGGGAGGTGGGCTCTTTTCTATTTTATTTTGCACCGGTCATAACTGACTCAAGCTGGTTTCCTAAGAAAATAGAAGAGCGGGATTGTTTAACATACGGGTCCTCGTGGCCTGAAGTCAGTGAATGATGGGGCAGCACGAGGGAAGCGCTGCGTGAGGCGGCCGACCCGAGGTGGAGCTTCCCTCCTGTCTCACTGGTGGACCCTCTCGGTGGGAAACCGCGGGGATGAACCGATCTCTAAGACTAAGGTTCACCAGGCACCACAGGGGGCGTCCTCCACAGCAGGGGCAAGGCGGGATTTAACCAAAACCCGAGCCGATGCCCCTCATCCCGGCGTGAAGGGTCAGACATGCAGACACCTGGGAGAATGCGGGCCTCAGCCCTGCAATCTAACCACGTGGCTGTGATTCAGTTTACTGCCACCCTGCCTTCCTGGGAGCTGGAGGAGTGGGAGAGGAGGGGGCTGCCTGGGCGGGAGAGCGGATAGGCGTGAGGCCCCTGGGTGAGGCACCCTGGAGACCCGCTCTGTGCACGAGAGGGAGAAGCCATACCAGACAAAACAAATCACTTTCCACTTTCCAAATTCCAGAGCTCCTACCTGCCGGCCCTGCAAGGATGGGATGTGGGTGTGTGTGTCGGTGTGTGTGGTGTACTGAGGCTGGGTATGTGCACATATGTGCCTATATGGGTGCTGGATGCAGGTACATGCACTGGGTGTGTACTGAGTGTGTGTCTGTGCTGGGTGTGTGTGCACTGGTTGTGTGTGTCTGTGCTGGCTGTGTGTATACTAAGTGTGTGTGCCTGTGCTGGGTGTGTGTGCACTGAGTGTGTGTGGACTGGGTGTGTGCACACTGGGTGTGTCTGTGTTGGGTGTGTGTGTACTGAGTGTGTGAGCACTGGGTATGTGTGCACTGGGTGTGTCTGTGCTGGGTATGTGTACTGGGTGTGTGAGCACTGGGTGTGTGTGCACTGGGTGTTTGTGTCTGTGTTGGTGTATCTGTGTTGGGTGTGTCTGTGCTGGGTGTGTGTGCACTAGGTGTTTGTGTGCTGGGTGTGTCTGTGCTGGGAGTGTGTGGACTGAGTGTGTGTGGACTGAGTGTGTGGAGTGAGTGTGTGTGCACTGGGTGTGTGTGTCTGTGCTGGGTGGGTGTAGATGGGGTGTGTGTGGACTGATTGTGTGTGGACTGGGTGTGTGTGTGTCTGTGCTGGGTGTATGTGGACTGGGTGTGTGGGGACTGGGTATGGACTGTGTGTGGACTGAGTGTATGTGGACTGGGTGTGTGTGGACTGTGTGCACTGGGTGTGTGTGGACTGGGTGTGTGTGGACTGTGTGCACTGGGTGTGTGTGGACTGGGTGTGTGTGGACTGTGTGCACTGGGTGTGTGTGGACTGGGTGTGTGTGGACTGAGTGTATGTGGACTGGGTGTGTGTGGACTGTGTGCATGTGCATGTGCATGTGTGTGTATGCGTGTGCATGTATGCTGTGTAACCTCACTGGCTGTGTGGCTCTCCTGCAGCCCTGGCACTCAAGCTGTGCTCTCATCTCCTGCCTCCCCTCTCTGCCCGTGCCCTCCCCTCTCCACTTGCCCCCGCCTCACCTTCTGGGATGATCCCTGACTCCTGCTCTTCAAAGTCCCTCAGGCCCTGTGGTCGGCTGTGCTTCACAGTGCCCACCTCACTCACAAGGACAACTTCAACCTCAGAGCACACAGAGGTTCCAGAGTCCTTCAGAACAAGCCTCCTGCCTTTACAGACTTTTTTTTTTTTTGAGGCAGAGTCTCACTCTATCGCCC